>NC_000007.14:101294657-101597688 GCF_000001405.40 Homo sapiens | reverse complement strand
GCTATTCTTTTTTTTTTTTTTTTTTTTGAGACGGAGTTCTGCTCTTGTTGCCCAGGCTGGAATGCAATGGCATGATCTTGGTTCACTGCAACCTCTGCCTTCCAGGTTCAAGCGATTCTCCTGCCTCAGCCTCCCGAGTAGCTGGGATTACACATAAGTGCCACCGCACCCAGCTAATTTTGTATTTTTAGTAGAGACGGGGTTTCTCCATGTTGGTAAGGCTGGTCTCGAACTCCCAACCTCAAGTGATTCACCCAGCTCCGCCTCCCAAAGTGCTAGGATTACAGGTGTGAGCCACCACACCCAGCTTGGGCCATTCTTATACTTCTGAAAGCTTTCAAACTTACAAACAAATAAATAGACCTGGCACCGTGGCTCACACCTGTAATCCCAGAACTCTGGGGGGCCAAGGTGGGAGGATTGCTTGAGCCCAGGAGTTTGAGACCAGCCTGGACAACATAGCAAGACCCTGTGTCTACAAAATAAAACATAAAAAATGTAGCTGGGCATGGTGGCATGCACCTGTAGTCCCAGCTACTCAGGAGGCTGAGGTGGTAGAATCACTTGAGCTTGGGACATGGAGGCTGCAGTGAGTTATGATTGCACAATTGCACTCCAGCCAGGTGATAGACTGAGATCGTGTCTCTATAAACATTAAAAATAAATAAGCAAAAATGCCCACTGTTGCTTTTTTGCTTTTTCCTTACAGGACTCAGTCAATAAGTTTCAGACACATACAAGTTCTTATATGCAGGATTTTAAGTTCAAAATGATGATACATATTTAATGGTCTAGAGAAGGGAGTTGGTGAACTTTTCCTGGAAAGGGCCAGACAGTAAATATTTTAGGTGCTGTGGTCCATATGGCCTCTGATACCACCATGGAACTCTACTGCTCTCATGACAAAGCAGCTGTGGACAAGCTATAAATGAATGAGCATGCCTGTATTCCAATCAAACTTTATTTGTGGATACTAAAATTCGAATTTTGTATAAATTTCTCACATAGCTCACAAAATAATATTCTTCTTTTGATTTTTTCCAGCCATGTTATAGTGTAAAAGCCTTGCTTACCTTGCAGGCTATACAAATACAGGCAGCAAATTATTGTTATAGTTTTCTGTAGTACAGAATGACTAATCTTTTTCAAAAAGTAGTAAATAAATACTTTAAAGTTTCATAAATGGGTATACTATATGTTTTGGTTTTCTGCATAACAAATTGCCCCAACACTTTGGTTTTCTGCATAACAAATTGTCCCAACACTTAGTGGTTTAAAGCAATAACCATCTTAAATCTCATTATCCTATGAGTTGACTGTGCTTGGCTGGGAGGTTCTTCTGCTTTATGTGATGTTGGTTGGGGATGCAGCCATCTGGGAGCTATAGCGAGCTGGAATATCCAAGATGGCCCATCCATATGACTGGCAGCTCATGTTGGATGTTGCCTGGGACTTTAGCGGGGCTGTCAACCAGAGTGCCTAAATGTGGCTTCTGTACGTCTTTTGGAGCATGATGGCTGGTTTCTGAGAAGCAGTGTCCCAAGAGCAAGTGTTCCAAGAGGGAGAAGCAGAAACTGCCAGTCTTCACAAAGACTAGGACCCTGACTGGCCACTGTTCCTTCCATTGCATTCTATTGGGTAAGCAGCCATGAGGATAGTCTAGACTAAACAGGAGGGGAAATAGATTTCTTGAAAGGCATGACAAATAATTTATAGCCATCTGTAATCCATCATACCATCTGTCCATGTCAACACTGAATGGATGAACTTGTGTGCATTTTAGGTGATCGTTGGATACTTGAATGTTTGTGGGCTTCATACATGAGTACCACAGCCAGCTAGACAGTGGGGACATGTTCCCAGAGAGTTAATGGCTAACATTAATTGAGTGCACCTGTAATCCCAGCTACTCAGGAGGCTGAGGCAGGAGAATCACTTGAACCCAGAATCCGGGAGGCGGAGGTTGCAGTGAGCTGAGATCACACCACTGCAGTGTGAGGAATCCATTGAGAGTATGATATTATTGTATCCTCACAATATTCTGTAAAGTAGAAACTACTGTTATCCAGTTTTTACACATGAGGAAACAGAGGCTTAGAGAGTTCCATCTGTGTTGCAATAAGTGGCAATGCTCATGGAACATCTTATGATGAAGCTCAAGTGACAGGGGATGGCAGGGTCTGGGGCTCAGAGCAATCAGGGCTGAGGGGCACAGAATGGCTTAGATCATGAGAAGTGACTTGCCCAAGGTCACCCTTGACATCCCCAGTGGAGCTGAGCCAAGAACTCAGGGCTCCCAACTCAAGGTTCCACCCCAGGAGTGGGGCTCATTTTGCACCACCACCTGGCTTAGGAGACAGAGTCCTGCATTTTCATTAAGCTTGCAAGTTGGACCGGTCAACATCCCTGAGCTTCAGGTTTTCCCCCTTGGCAAATAGAGCAATGAACAGCTTCCTCTCAGAGCCATAGTGAAGACCGAACAAGAAAAGAAAAAATCACCACCACTGTCATTTTGGAGTGGTAAGCCTGGGTCTTCGGAGTGGAACAGATAGAAATCACCCACTTGGCACTCCAGGCTCTGCAGTTTTCTCATCTATAAAATGGGCCCGGATGTTGTGAGGGTTAAATGAGATAGCATGAATCATGCACATGACATAGAGTGAGTCCCCTCAAGGCACTGGTAGAGAAGGCAGCTCTGTCCAATCTGTAAGTCCCCAGTCACAAGTCCCCAGCCTGGGGCCTGCCAGATAGTGGTGTTGAACATATGTTGAATGAATGGGTGCATGCTTGAAGCCCTGTGGCTCCTAAAAGAATACAGAGTAAGACAGCATGTGTGCACAGAGGAGAGTCACTTGAGGGGAAAGTCCTGTGAGAATAGAGCCCTGGTCTGCGTCTTGGGAGGATCAGAGTCTCTAGGATCAGGCAGTCCTCCTCACTTGACTGCTCTATGGGGAGAAGAAAGATGAGAGGCATATTCAGTTGTGTGCTGGAAAATGTAGTGGGGAAAGCCCTGACTGGTAGCGTTTGCCAATTCTCATGGTGTAAAGACCCTCACTGTGGTTGATTTTTTTTTTTTTTTGAGACAGAGTCTCATTCTGTCACCCAGGTTGGAGTGCAGTGGTGTGATCTCAGCTCACTGCAACCTCCGCCTCCCAGATTCCGGGTTCAAGTGATTCTCCTGCCTCAGCCTCCCGAGTAGCTGGGATTACAGGTGCGCACCATGACACCCAGCTAATTTTTCGTATTTTTAGTAGAGATAGGGTTTTGCCATGTTGGCCAGGCTGGTCTCGAACTCCTGGCCTCATGTGATCCACCCACCTCAGCCTCCCAAAGTGCTGGGATTACAGGCATGAGCCATCATGCCTGGCCACGATGGTTGATTTCAAGATATTGTCATTACATCAACTGGCCTGAAACTTACTAAAAGAATTAACAATTGTTTCTTGAAGCAGGCAAGAGAGAAAGGACCCAGATGTGATCATCCCCCAAAACTTAGGGGGGGTTAACTGGTACCTTTATTTATTACTTATCTCTACTCCCCAAAAGGAATCAAGGCATTTTATAGCAATGAAGACAATACATTAAGATGGAATGATTAAATCAAGATTTGGGGGCTGACGAAAGTTAATGTCTAGAAAACACAGGATAAGGCCAAGAGTGAGGCTAAGACCCTAAATTAGTGTCATAAGTTTTTTTCCTGATCTCCTAAGCTGCCTCCCCTCCCTTGTGGTCTCAACAATGCACTTGATCTTCTGTGCCAGACGGACAGCTGGGAGGTGAAAGGACTTGGGGGGAGCAGGGAAGAGTACCCATGTTGGGAAAGAGAAGGCTCAGAGACACACCACTGTCTTCAAGTTTCTGCACGGACATTCCAGGCCAGCAGGAATACAGGGTCCAGTGCGCCGAGCCAGGGCCAATGTGGATCCTCTATCCAAGAAAGAGCTTTTCACAGTCAGAGCCGTACACAGATGAGCCTCACTAGCCTGGAAAGGTAGTGAGTGTCTCGTCAGGGGAAGTATGTAACAGATGCTGGCCAGCCACTTATTGGAGGCTTTCCAAGCACTGGACTTGAGGGCCCATTTGATCCAGGATGTGGACCTGGTTAAGAATGTGGCTCAGGACTCACATCCCAATTCAACAGTAGTTGGGGGCATATTTCTTCACCTCTCTGTGTCTGGTTTTCCCTTCCTCTTTACCTCCACCTCCAGGTTCTCCAGGTGTCCTCCCAACTGGACCCCTGGCAGAAGTGTTCCTGGCCTCCTAGGGTTTCTGAAGCCGGCTGAGCATGACAAGAGCAGGTGCATTTGAGGCGGTGGGAAGCAGAGATTTGGGTAGTACTCTTTTTTGGTTTTGTTTTGTTTTTGAGACAGGGTCTCACTCTATTACCCAGACTGGAGTGCAGTGGTGTGATCTGGGCTCACTTCAGCTTCTGCTTCCCGGGGTCAAGTGATCCTCCTGCCTCAGCCTCCCGAGTAGCTGGGACTACAGACATGCGCCATCACGCTTGCCTAATTTTTTCTTTTCCTTTCTTTCTTTTCTTTTCTTTTTGTTTTTTTTTTTGTTGTTGTTGTTTTGTTTTGTTTTTTTTTTGAGACGGAGTCTTGCGCTGTCACCCAGGCTGGAGTGCAGTGGTATAATCTTGGCTCATTGCAACCTCCACCTCCCAGGTTCAAGCGATTCTCCTGCCTCAGCCTCCCAAGTAGCTGGGATTACAAGTGCACGACACCACACTCATCTAATTTTCGTATTTTTAGTAGAGACGGGGTTTCACCATTTTGGCCAGGCTGGTCTCGAACTCCTGACCTCAGGTGATCCGCCCACCTCGGCCTCCCAAAGTGCTGGGATTACAGGCATGAGCCACCGTGCCCGGCCTTGGCTAATATTTTCTAAAGACAGTTTCACCACGTTGCCTAGGCTGGTCTCGAACTCCTGGGCTCAAGCGATTTGCCTGCCTTAGCCTCCCACAGTGGTGGGATTACAGGTGTGAGCCACCACACCCAGCCTGGGCTGCACTCTTGAGATGGCATGCTCAGCCTCCTTCCTTTAGCTCCTGTCTGGGCTTCTCTGCTGCCACTGATGACCTCTCCCTGGGCAGGTACTTCTTCTGACCCCACACTGTCCCCCATTCCTCAACACAGGCCTGGCATGCAGGAGGTCTCAGTGAGTGGTTGTTAAAGGAATGGACAAGAGGATGGATGGATGGATGGATGGATGGATGGATGGATGGATGATGGATGGATAGATAATTGGATGGATAAATAAATGGGTGGATGAATGGATGGATGTGTGGATAACTGGATGGATAAATAGATGAGTGAATGGATGGATGGGTGGATAATTGGATGGATAAATAAATGAGTGAATGGATGGATGAATGGATGGATGGGTGGATAATTGGATGGATACCTAGATGGGTGAGGGGGTGAATGACTGTGTGAGTGCGTGGATGGATGAATGAGTGGATGGATGGTGGATGGGTGAATAGATGAATAGACGGGTGGATGGATGAGTGGATGGATGGATGAATTGATAATTGGATGAATGAGTAGATGGATGGATGGATGGAGGGAGGGATGAGTGGTACATGTAATTTTAATATAATTGCATGCTCAACCCCTTTATTTATTTCTTTATTTATTTAGAGATTAAGTCTCCTTCTGTCACCCAGGCTGGAATACAGTAGTGCCATCTCAGCTCACTGCAACCTCCACCTCCTGGGCTCAACAATTCTCCTGCCTCAGCCTCCTGAGTAGCTGGGATTACAGGCGCCCGCCACCATGCCCAGATAATTTTTGTATTTTTAGTAGAGACAGGGTTTCACCATGTTGGCCAGGCTGGTCTCGAACTTCTGACCTCAAATGATCCACCCACCTCGTCATCCCAAAGTGCTGGGATTACAGATGTGAGCCACCATGCCTGGCAACACCTTTATTTTGTTTTAGCCACACAACTGTTTTGAAGGCAGGGCTAAAACTATTAATCCCATTCTACAGAACTGAAAAATGAAGCCCAGAGAGGTAAAGCAACTTGCTCCATGTCACACAGGGAGGAAGTGACTGAATCATGATTCAAGATTAGTCTCTTGACACCTTGTTCCTGGTGCCTCTTCTAATCAGTCCCATTCATTCTTTCATTCTTTTATTTATTCAAACCATCATTATCATTGGGTGTCACTCATTCAAGCAGGAGCTTATTAAAGCCCATTCTGGGCCACCTGGTGCTGGGAACCTGGAGATGAAGCCGCCCTTCTCCCTGGCTTCGAGGAGTTTCTAGGGAAGAGAGCCCATGAGTAGCTCCTGATTAGCTCAGGACAGTGGCCTGGGCTAGGTGATGGAGATGCCAACTGTTCTCTTGGGTGGGGTCCAAGCCAGCATCCCTGAGAAGGTGAGGCAGGGCTGGGCCACCTGAGGAGGTGCAGGAGTCTGCCAGATAGAAAAAGAGAAGAAGGTCATTTACGTCAGGTCAGGGTGTGTGCCACCGTGGGTCATGGCGGCTGAGCTCCTGTCTGGAATAAGCCCAGCACCCTGGGCAAGTGGAGCGGGGGACATTTAGAGGAGGGGATGGGGGGAAGGGCCAGGGAAGCTGACGAGGATAGATCTGCAGGGCTTTGAGCGCCAGATTGGGAAGTTGAGGCTGCATCTGAGGCAGTGGGGAAAGACTGACGGGCGGAGAGCATGAGGGGTCCCCGCTGAGACAGGAAGGGTGTCAGTTCCCACTGAGTCCACCCCTTGGGCCTCTCCTCCACCCAAGAGTGCCCTCAGCACCCCTTCACCCCAGGTGCATGACGTCCGCCTGTAGCCCGGTGCCACCTCCCTTGGGCATCAGGGGGAGCCAGCCCCAGCAGAGGCCCACCCACCTCGGGAGAGCTGCCCTCAGCTGCCAAGGGCCCGCCAGCCTCTTTGGAAGACCTCAGGGCTGGGTTCAGGAGGCACAGGCCTCAGAAGCCGACTACCCCGGGCGAGGCTGTGATGCCAGGTGTGCCAGGCCCTCATTAGGCCTCAGTGCACAGCCCAGGCTCTCAGAGTGTCTTTCTGAGAATCCCCAGAGAAGAAAGAAATCAAAGGCTGGGGATTCAAAAACAAGGATGAGGAGATAGAAAACAAGATTTCTATCTGAATAATTTCCTCTAATTGCTGGTAAGAGACATTAATTTTCCTTTTGAAGCTCCCCGTGGCCTCGGGCGTCTTGGGACGTGCCAAGATGGCAGCCCGTCTAGCCGGATTATCTCACTGCCCGCCTGCAGGGCTGGCACCAGGCCACCGCGGGGGTGGCTGGCGGCAGGCTGGGTGCTGCTCTGGTCCCGTGGTGGGGCTCAGGGTGCAGGAGGAGCCCTGGATCTGGTTCCTTGAGGATGCCACACAAAAGGCCTTCAGAGTACCATGTCCTCCTGGCCTCTTTCTCCACCCTGGGTTGGACATAGGGGCGTCCTGGCCACCAGAAGCCCAGGCCCCACTGGGCTTTGGACACACAGGGCATCAGCTGGGTCTAGGCCTGTGCAACTGCATTTCCTCACCTCTCCTGCCCATGAGTGACTGCAGCCCCCACAGCAGATAGACCCAGGGGAGGCCGGCAAGGGGAAGGCCAGTGTGAGAGAGGCCCCGGAGAGCGTGAACCTGTCCATAGCTCCCCTGGGGGAAGTAGGGCTCATTATGATCTCCATTTTACAGATGAGGGCATTGAGGTTCAAAGGATGGGATTGGGGCTGGGCATGGTGGCTCACGCCTGCAATCCCAGCACTTTGGGAGGCTGAGGCGGGCTGATCCCTTGAGGCCAGAAGTTTGACACCAGCCTGGCCAACATGGTGAAATCCCATTTCTACTAAAAATGCAAAAATTAGCAGGGCGTGGTGGCGCATGCCTGTAATCTCAGCTACTCAGGAGGCTGAAGCAGGAGAACAGCTGGAACCCAGGAGGCAGAGGTTGCAGTGAGCCGAGATCGTGCCACTGCACTCCAACCTGGGTGACAGAGCGAGAGTCCATCTCAAAAAGAAAAAAAAAAATGAAAAACCCTACAAAGTATGGGATTGGCCTCACTGTAAGAGAAAAGCTGGATTGATTTTCTGTGCCCAGGGCTTTTGCCATTGTGCCCCCATCCTCAGATAGTAAGGGAGAAAAGTACAAGAGAAAAATAGAGATTCATTAGCTGTACATTCTAGACAGTCTCAGGCTGAGGCAGGAGAATTGCTTGAACCCAGGAGTCAGAGGTTGCAGTGAGCTGAGATCGTGCTACTGCACTCCAGCCTGGGTGACAGAAAGAGGCCCTGTCTCAAAAAAAAAAAAAAAAAAAAAAAAAAGACAGTCTTAATACATCCCCAGCCCACCCATTTGGTCTCCTCTCCAATTGTTCCTCCTCCTGTGTCTGAGACACTTAGAGGCCTTCTCTGGGTTCCCTCGGCCCTGGACTGTCCCTCCAGAGATTGTCATTGCCCCCTGCTGGGCCTGGTCCCCTGCTCCTGTCTGGGAGCATCTCAGGTCTGGGTCGTATCTAAGCCCACCCCATATCTCGTGCCCAGCCCATGCTCTCTCTCCAGGGAGGCACACCAGGACGCCGGGTGCAGGGAAGGCCCCCCAACTCCAAGACAGTGTGTGGAGTGTTCCAGCTGGTGATGGAACTCCCATTGTCTTTCACCCTAAGAGCATTTTCCTTTCCTTTTGATCCCTTGCAATTTACGAAAAATAGAACGCATGTGTTCCTGATTAATTTTTACAAAGATCACGGAACTGTTGACTTTTTACTTAAAAAAAAAAAAAGAGTCATTTTATGTGGTGCCTCCTTTCAGATTCTTGCAAGACTGCCTTTGCTCAGGAAGTGAAATGTGGGGAGAAAACAAGCCACCCTGCCACCAATACAAGAGTCAGTGCTGTCACAAAAGTTGGCCGTGGTGGACAGGTGTCCTGGGACGTCCCCGCCTCACTTGCACTGCTCCCTGGCTCCCCACTGTCCTGGAGATAAAGTCTGGTCTTCCACAACCCAGTCCTCCTGGCCTCTCCATCCCCAGGAACCCTAACATCCAGACTTCCGGAACTTCCAGTTGCTCCCAGAACACGCCAGTCCATTCCCATTCCTATCTCTCTGCACACTTTGCTCCCTCTGCCAGGAACACACTCAATTTTGTCACTTGACAAACTCCTATGCATCCTTCAAGGCCCAGACCCAATGTCTCCCTGTCTGTTCCCTCAACCTTGCCACTCGACAAACTCCTACGCATCCTTCCAGGCCCAGACCCAGCATCTCCCTGTCTGTTCACTGCGTGCTGCCTTCCCCAGACAGTCCCCTGTGCTTTCCTCAGCATTCAGAGGGGTAAGTCCTCATTTGACCCAAGAGGCCTGCATACACCGCCTTTGGCCTGCCTCCCAGGGTAGGGTCACAGACCCAGGCATGCAAAGATGAAAGACTGGTATGTTGTGGTAAGAAGTATTAAAGGAAAAAGATAAATCCTCCCCAAATGGAAGCCATGAACAGTGTTTATTTTTGGTATTTTATGGGGTGCTTTTGAGAATGGGAGCTGGAAAAAGAGAATTCCACCAGGACAAGCAACAGATTTCATCCTTAGGGTGGGAGAAGGAAGAAAGGAGGAACAGTCCCTCTGATCCAGGGCTGACCTCTGGGTCCTGCCTGGATTCCAAAGGAACAAAAATTGCTGCCCAGCCCAGAGCAGGTCACAGGCAAAATTTTATTTTATTTTATTTTTGAGACAAAGTCTCACTCTGTCACCCAGGCTGGAGTGCAATGAAGTGATCTCAGCTCACTGCAACCTCCACCTACCAGGTTCAAGTGAATCTCCTGCCTCAGCCTCCCAAGTAGCTGGGACTACAGGCAGGTGCCACCATGCCCAGCTAATTTTTTGTATTTTAGTAGAGACGGAGTTTCACCATGTTGCCCAGGCGGCCTCAAGTGATCCGCCCCCCTCGGCCTCCCAAAGTGCTCTGATTACAGGCATGAGCCACCACGCCCGGCCAATCTTATTTTAGGCTCATCTCTGACATCCCGAAGCTCTGCTAGACCCCTTCGGTGCCCTGCCCCGAGAACTGCATGTGATTGAACACTCACAACCACTCTTGCAGGAATGCAAATGTTCACCAATTAGCCATGTGCTTCTCTACCTCCCAGCATCCTTTGCAATTCACCTGGAGTCATGTGGCCAGTTCCAACCAATAGGATGTGAGCAGAAAGTGACTGCATCTCTTCTGGACTGGAGCAGTTAGGAGCCAAGGTCCTCTTTCTGTCTCTCTCCTCTCCTGCCGCGGTGATCTTAGAGGAATATCCACTCCAGAAAACAAAGCTGTAAGAGAGAAGGAAGCTGCCATACTGGATTTTGCATGGGGCAAAAATCAAACCTGTACATTGGGTTAAGCAACTGAGTTTTGGGGGTTTCTCTTACGTCGATTACCTGAGTATTATTACACTGAGATACAATCTGAGGAAGTAGGGTTTGTTATCTCTATCCTGCAGATGAGCACGCTGAGGCCCAGAGAAAGAACTCGGCTGAAATCTCTTAATTACAGAACCATTGCAGCCCACCGCGTCTGATTCCAAACCCCGTGAGGTTTTGCCTGCTCTTTGCATGGTTGGCTTGTTGAAAACAAAACAGCTCACAGGGGCACAGGCCAAGGAGAAGGTAGAAACCCAGGAGCAGCTCTCTCCAGTTTGCTTTTAAAACTTGCATGTCGTTAAAACCCAATCAGGCTTGTGTAATCTGTGATTTTGGGGGTAGGGGACAACTGCTATTCAGAAAAGCACGAGAGACAAGTAAAACTTCAGGGAACCTTGGCCCCCCAGGAGGGTGGCAGGATGCAGGGTTGGCCACGTGATGGATGTGCGTAGGGCATGAGGGCGGCGTGTGGGGCTGACTGTCAGATGCCCCACCTGCAGTGTAATGGATGGCAGGTAGGGGCCACCAGGACCCAGAAGGCGGAGATAGGGCCTGATTTACAGGCACCAGGGAAGAAAATGCAAACAAGATTTATGGCAGCTCAAATGACTCGTTGGAGCCGAGTTTCTTATCCATCACGTGCATCTGAATGTGTATTTATGGGTTTCCAAATGATCCTGTCTCGCGGAAAATTATGTCCAAAGAACATCAACAGCAATTAATCTGCGTTCGGAAGAGCTGATCCCAAGTGGAGTTCAAGGCCTCTTCTAGTCTCTCAGAGATGCCGAGGGCTGGTCCCATTTGTGCGTGCACAGGTTGGAGAAGCAGACACAGGCCAACAGATGCTCTGAGTCAAGCCTTGCATGGCAATCAATGTGCAGAGATGACCACATCTCACAGAGCCCTGCCTGCACCCGGCTGTATCTGATGCTGAGCTGCAAATGTTCACCAGTTAGCCACGTGCTTCTCTACCTCCCAGCCTCCTTCCCAATTCACCTGGGGTCATGTGACCAGTTCCAGCCAATAGGATGTGAGCGGAAATGACTGCATCTCTTCCAGGCGGGAGCTCACAGGTGCTACTAAGAAAACAGCCCAGGGAGAGGGCAAGAATACCAGCTCTGTCACCTAACTGCTGAGTGACCCCAGACAAGTTACTTAACCTCTCTGAGCCAGTGTCCTCATCAAGAAATTGGAAGTAACAGCAATAGCTACCATGGAGGGTAATTCTGAGGCATACAAGATCCTGCATATGAAGTGCTTAGTACAGGAAGGGCCCATAAATGGTTTCTTTTTCTGTTATCAACGTGATTATGACTCAAGCATCATATGTAATGCTTGGCACAATCTGACCACCCTACAAAACCAAACAAGACAAATTTCTGGCTGAAGCCCCATTTAGGAAAAGAGAGACCACTTACCAAGTGGCATACTCTGTATACCAGTGGCATAGGCCCCAGCCATTCAGATAATCACCTAAATGGAGGTTTTGTCTTGGAATGTTATGAATACATGAAAGAACTAGTTATGAATGGCTTGACCTGCGCGGTTCTCAGACCTGTAAATACTGTTTTTTATTTTTATTTATTTGAGACAAGGTCTCACTCTTGTCCAGGCTGGAGTGCAGTGCCACAATCATGGCTCACTGCAGCCTCGACCTCCTTGGCTCAAGCAATCCTCCCACCTCAGCCTCCCAAGTAGCTGGGACTACAGGTACATGCCACCATGCCTGGCTAATTTTTGTAATTTTTGTATAGATGGAGGGTCTCACTATGTTGCCTCAGGCTGGTCTCCAACTTCTGTGCCCAAGCTATCCTCCTGCTGCAGCTTCCCAAAGTGCTGGGATTACAAATGTGAGCCACCAGGCCCAGTTTAAGTACTTTTTTTTTTTTTTTTGCGGGGGGTGCGGGGAGGGCCAGAGTCTTGCTATGTCACCCAGGATGGAATGCAATGGCATGATCTCAGCCCGCTGCAACCTCTGCCTCCCAGGTTCAAGCGATTCTCCTGCCTCAGCTCCCTAGTAGCTGGGACTACAGGCATGTGCCACCACACCCAGCTAATTTTTTGTATTTTTAGTAGAGATAGGGTTTCACAGTATTAACCATGCTGATCTCAATCTCCTGACCTCATGATCCACCTGCCTCAGCCTCCCAAAGTTCTGGGATTACAGATGTGAGCCACCACGCCCTGTTTAAATACTTTTACTAAACCCTGAACTTTGGCACTGTTGAAGATAAGAGTCGACATTCCACCAGTACACACCAGTATGACTGTCTCTTTTATGTGTGTCAGTAAGTAGCAGTCACAAAACACTAGAAACTGTTGGCCAGACACCTGCTGCCCTGGGCCACCCCAGCCCTTCCACCAGGACTGCTTGATTACAGGGTGTCTTTGGCTAGGCACGGTGGCTCATGCCTGCAATCCTAGCACTTTGGAAAGCTGAGGTAGGAGGATCACTTGAGCCCAGGAGTTTTACTTTTTATTTTTATTTTTTTGAGATGGTGTCTTGCTCTGTCACCCAGGCTGGAGTGCAGTGGTGCGATCTCAGTTCACTGCAACCTCTGCCTCCCGGGTTCAAGTGATTCTCCTGTCTCAGCCTCCCAAGTAGCTGGGACTACGGGCATGCACCACATGCCCAGCTAATTTTTTTTGCATTTTTAGTAGAGACGGGGTTTCGCCATGTTGGCCAGGCTGGTCTCGAACTCCTGACCTCAAGTGACCACCCGCCTCAGCCTCCCAAAGTGCTAGGATTACAGGCATGAGCCACCACACCTGGCCATGAGCCCAGGAGTTTTAGACCAGCCTGGGCAACATAGTGAGATCCCATCTCAACAAAAAATTAGCTAGGCATGATGATGCATGCGTGTAGTCCCAGCTACTCAGGAGGCTGAGGTGGGAGGATCACTTGAACTTGGGAAGTCAAGGATGCAGTGAGCTATGATTGCACTAGTGCACTCCAGTTTGGGCAACAGAGCAAGACCCTGCCTCAAAAAACAAACAAACAGGCCAGGTGTGGTGGCTCATGCCTATAATCCCAGCACTTTGGGAGGCTGAGGCAGGCGGATGACCTGAGGTCGGGAGTTTGAGAACAGCCTGACCAACATGGAGAAACCCCGTCTCTACTAAAAAATACAAAATTAGCTGGACTTGGTGGCGCATGCCTGTAATTCCAGCTACTTGGGAGGCTGAGGCAGGAGAATCGCTTGAACCCGGGAGGCGGAGGTTGCAGTGAGCCAAGATCCTGCCATCGCACTCCAGCCTGGGCGACAAGAGTGAAAATCCGTCACAAACAAACAAACAAACAAAAACACGGGGGTGTCTTTGTTTGGGGGCCTTCATAGCAGAACCTAAGACAAGGTCTTGGGAGTTGGGAGTTTATTTGGGAGGCACCTCAAGGAACAGACAGAAGAAAAAAAGAGTGTTAAAGGGAAAGAGGAAAAGCTGGTGTCAGGGTGAGTTATCAAGGTCGCTGCTTCAGCAAAGGGGGCTTGATTCTGTAGGAACCCTTGCAAAGAGTACAGAATGTCTCCCAGAATTGTCCTTCTGCAAGAAGGAGCCTGGAGCATGTATCCACCTGTTCCTCCACCCCCCGAGAGGTAGAGGGTGTCCCTTGAGGACACTGACTTCCTCACAATCCTGGACAGAGCTTGCTCATAGCCTCAACAGACCCTTGTTGTTGAAAGGACCCTGAGCCAGAGAGGGAAAAGATGCTGTCACATGCTTGATGTGGGACACTCCCTGCATGCCTGTGCTTGCCCGTAACTGACCACCACTGCTGCTGCAGAAATCAGAAGGAAATTAATGGAAAGTGACACAGAGCACCAGAAAGTGTCTGCCACAGTCCACCCCTTGCACCACTCAGATCCACGTGTGCCCACCCCAAGTCCATGGTGGCACTGAGTCTTCGGGAGAGTGGACAGGCATGACCTACAGAGAGAGTGAATACAAAGATGTGTTGGAATGAGCTACATTCTGGGCAGCTGCAGCTGGTCCCAAGACCATAATTAATACTTGTCATCAGTCCCCTCTAGAGAGAACCCATGCAAGATTTCCTTCACCCTGAGCCAGCACTTCAGATGGTCTAAGGCTCTTGCCTGCTGGGGTGACCCAGGCCCTCATCCCTGAGGGACCCCAGCCTTTGGTTGCCTGTTCTCTGCCAGGCATGACTGCCCCCTGTTTACCGTTATCGCCAGGCACGAATGCACCAAGATCCTCATGGTCTGCTGGGCTCCTGGGGTCCTGGTAAAACCCCATGTTCCAGACAGACTCCTCCCTACCTCCACTGTGCAGCAGCCATCCATACCCCTCATAATACTCAGTAATGACCCCCATTAGTATGGCAGCTCCTTCCTTTGAATTCTATTTCATCGGCACAAGAAACCCAAAGTGACAGATAACATTTACACATGTACAGATGCAGGTTCAGAGGAACTTTTCATGGTTTTATTATTTATTTATTTATTTTGGAGACAAGGTCTCACTCTGTCACCCAGGCTGGAGTGCAGTGGTGCCATCATGGCTCACTGCAACCTCTGCCTCCCAGGCTCGGTAATCCTCCCACCTTAGTCTCCCAAGTAGCATGGACCACAGATGCACACCACTACAACTCAGCTAACTTTTTGGTTTTTTTTTTTTTTTTTTTTTTTTTTTTGGTAGAGATGAGGTTTCACCATGCTGCCCATGCTGGTCTCAAACTCCTGGGTTCAAGCGATCCACTGGCCTCGGCCTCCCAGAGTGCCGGGATTACAGCTGTGAACCACTGCACTTGGCCCATTTCAGTGAATTTTCTAATGGAAGTGTTTCTCTGGCAACTGGAAAATCGGGCTGTCTGGTGCCACTGGGGTCACTGGGAGTGATTTGGGAGGGGTCAGTCCTTGCTTTGGGAAAATTTCAATTCCAGCTACTGGGATACGGTGCATCAACTGTTGGTTCAATGCGTACGGCACATTGTAGAAGATAGCTCGTATCAGTAATATTTGTTTAAATTTTCTGTACTTTATGATGCTTTGACTTCTGGGGGCCTTGCTAATCCTGGAGAGACTGCTCCTTCCAGCGCTAGTGAATTCCTAGAGATGGTAAACAACTTTCCTGCGAGCGCTAGCACGCCTTTGGTATGCAAACCGACCAATCCAGAGCCTAAACTCAACCACCTTCTCCATCTGGATTTTGCACTCTTGGAGACAATATTCCTCTACCCCCAGCATCCCAGGGCCAGACATCAGACAGCTAGGAGTGGCCCCTATACCCTGGAGGCTGCTGAAATTACTCAAATGAGCCAATCCCAAACCCAATCAACCCATTCCCCCAGCCTTACCCGTTCCTTCTTGCACAAACCACAGTGAAGGCTCTTGCCCCGTTCCCCCTCCGCCTCTCCCTCCTGACCTACCCGAGTGCTTTCCTGAGTGGCTCCACGTGGCCTCCTGTTTCTAGGGATGGGTGAGTAAAAATTTTTGCTTCACGGCATTCATCTCCTGACCTGTTGGCCTCACCATACCTGATTAAAACAAATCCCAGGTACTTTCTTGGAGGCAGAGAGTTGGGGACAGAGTCTTGCTCTGTTGCCCAGGCTGGAATGCAGTGGCACAATCATGGCTCACTGTAGCTTTGAACTCCTGGGCTCAAGCGATCCTCCCACCTCAGCCTCCTGAATAGCTGGGACTACAGGCATCCACCAACATGGCTGGCTATTTTATATATATTTTTTAGAGTTGGGGTCTCACCGTGTTGCCCAGACTGGTCTTGAACTCCTGGCCTCAAAACGTTCCTCCTTCCTCGGGGTCCCAAAGTGCTGGGATTACAGGCATGAGCCACCAGATACATTTTAATTTAATACAAGCTCCAAACCCCACAGAGAAAGCTCAAATTGACCCCTTAGCCTAGCCTTTAATAAGCCATTTCAATGGTCATCCAGGCTGACTGTGTCCAGCTCATGTAGTTGTTGATAGGACCAATGGATCCCATTGCCATGTATCCATTGTGGACCTTTTGCTGTAAAATTGATCTCTTGGGCGGGGCGCAGTGGCTCATGCCTGTAATCTCAGCACTTTGGGAGGTCGAGGTGGGTGGATCACTTGAGGTCAGGAGTTCGAGACCAGCCTGGCCAACATGGCAAAACCCTGTTTCTACCAAAAATACAAAAATTAGCCAGGCGTGATGATGGGCACCTGTAATCCCAACTACTCAGGAGACTGAGGCAGGAGAATCACTTGAACCTGGGAGGCAGAGGTTGCAGTGAGCCGAGATTGCACCACTGCACTCCAGCCAGGGCAACAGAGCAAGACTGTCTCAAAAAAAAAAAGTATTTCTTGGTCCAAGGTGACATTGTGCAGGATTCTAGATTGAGAAATCAGTCACTTTTGAAATCCCATGTGTAGAGCTGGCAGGGTTGTGCCAAGGAAGACACATATCAATGTGGAGTAGGTGTTATTTACGAGGATAAATCATGCTCCCTCCACAGTGGAATGGATCCTCTGTAAATGCCTTGCTACTAAGCGTTGGGCTGGACTCCTCCAGGGCTCAGGGTGGGTCTCTGTGCTGACACATCAGACCTGCATCAGCAGCAGCATCTAGACCCGCCTCCACAGGGCAGCCCGTGCTGTGGGCCCTTGCACAGCTTCCACCCCTTCCCTCTCATCTAGGCCCATAGGTTCTGCCGCGGCATTTGTAAAGTCCTCACGTCATGCACCCTGATGGAGGGTTGTGCTGAAATCTGAAATATTGGCTGAGAGTATTTTCTAAGTTGGGTTCATGCTGGAAGTAGGCTTCCTTATTGCATAAAAATATGGAAACTGCAATGATTTCTTAGACAATATTTATGCCCCAGGCTACTGTAGTGCAAGGTGACAAGGCTGCTTTCTTCCAGCCCATGGTCACAATGCTGCAGAAGCAATGTGTCTGCCTAGGGCACCAGGGGAGGCCTCCCAGAGGTGGTGACACTTGGGCTGGTTCTTGTAGGAATGCAGAGGTGTACTGACAGGGGATGGAAAGGGTGGATATTTCAGGTAGGGGGAACAACATGTGCAAAGACATAGAGACATTCATCATTCATTCAGGAAACATTTTTGGAAGCCCTCTACATGTCAGACACCATTTTAGATTCTGGAAGCACAATGATGGACCAAAGTCAGATAGGGCTTATGGACCGAACAGGAAACTGGCAGCAATCTAAGAATTGTGCAAGTAAATGCAAGGTGACAACTCTAACCAGTGCTGGAAATGAAAAAGACATAGTGCTTCTGATACGGTTTGGCTGTGTCCCCACCCAAATCTCATATTGAATTGTAGTTCCCATAATCCCCATGTGGTGTGGGAGAAAGCCGGTGGGAGCTAATTGAATCATGGGGGTGGTTACCCCCATGCTGCTGTTCTCATGATAATTAGTGAGTTCTCACGAGATCTGATTGGTTTTGTTTTTTTTTGTTTTTTGAGAGGGAGTTTCGCTCTTGTTGCCCAGGCTGGAGTGCAATGGTGCAATCTAGATCTCATCTCACTGCAACCTCCGCCTCCTGGGTTCAAGCAGTTCTCCTGCCTCAGCCTCCCAAGTAGCTGGGATTACAGGCATGCGCCACCATGCCCAGGTAATTTTTTGTATTTTTAGTAGAGAGACAGGGTTTCACCATGTTGGTCAGGCTTGTCTTGAACTCCTGACCTCAAGTGATCTGCCCACTTCGGCCTCCAAGAGTGCAGGGATTACAGGCATGAGCCACCATGCCAGGCCTGATCTGATGGTCTTATAAGAGCTTTCCCTGCTTTTGTTAAGGCACTTCTCCTTGCTGCCACCATGTGAAGAAGGACATGTTTGCATCCCTTCCTGCCATGATTGTAAGTTTTCTGAGGCCTCTGCAGCTATGCAGAACTGTGAGTCAATTGAACCTCTTTCCTTTACAAATTACCCAGTCTCTGGTATGTCTTTATTAGCAGCATTTGAATGGACTAAATACAGCATCCAGTAGAGAGACTTGGCTAGTCAGAGAAGATGGCAAAAGCCATCTGAATGTTGGGTGGTGGAGTTAAGTAGACATCTCTTTGCAGGGGCAGGAAGAGTGTTCTTTGATGTTCCCTGAAGAGGAAATGGCATGTGCAACGGAAAATCCCAGGAGAAATGGGAGAGTGATTGGATATTAGGAGAGAAAAGACAAAAACACTAGAGGGTCAACCTACGAGGAGACATCCATTGAAAATGAGTTTCAGAAGAGAAGAGAGCAAATGGAGATGCAGTCAAAAGGGAAATAAAAAATAAAAATTTGGAGTTGCCCCCACCCCCTGACTCTTTGTCCCCCATTCCTGGTTCTCTGGCCAGAAAGACAAGGCATTTCCTCCAACCACTTCACAGCTCCAGGATTTGAGCTGTGCTAGAATCTATCTTATGGAATGTGGAGAAAAACCAACCAACCAACCAGTCCAGGAACTCACAGCAATGCCCATCATTCTTTCAGTTTTCATTTCCTTCCTTAATCTGCCACCTATGATCTACTTTTCAGAGTTCTCAGACAGTTACTATAGGCATTCTGTTCAGAATTTTTAGTCGTGATCACTGAGAGAGGCAGGGAGGGGTGTGTTCATAAGTCCTGCAGCTGAGTTTTGCATGCTAATGTAGTCAATGATCTTGCTAAATTCTCTTACTATTTTTTTTTTTTTTGGAAACACAGTCTCACTCTGTCACTCAGGCTGGAGTACAGTGGTACAATCATAGCTCACTGCAGCCTCCAACTCCCAGGCTCAAGCTATCCTCCTGCCTCAGCCTTCCAGTATCTGGGACTACAGGCAGGTGCCACCACACCCAGCTGATTTTTATTTTATTGTTTTTGTAGAGACAGGGTCTTGTTGTGTTTCCCAGGCTGGTCTTGAACTCCTGGCCTCAAGCAATCCTCCTGCCTCAGTCTCCCAAAGCGCTGGGATTATAGGCATTGAGTCACCATGTCCAGCCACTTACTAATTCTAACAAGTTGTTCACAGATTTTAAAATTTTCTGGGCTGGGTGCAATGGCTCATGCCTATAATCCTAGTACTCTGTGAGACCAAGATGGGAGGATCACTTGAGCCCAAGAGTTCAAGACCAGCCTGGGTGACATAGTGAGACCCTGTCTCTAAATAAATGAATAAATGATCAAAAAATAAAAAAATTCTAAATGCCAAAAAATTTCACCTGTGGATGATGGCACTTTACTTTTTCCTTGCAATCTGTATATCATTTTCTTGCCTTATGGTGGGGCTTGGCAAACCTTTTCCTAAAGGCCAGATAGTACATATTTTAGGCTTTGCAGGCCATATGGTTTCTGTCGCAACTGTCCAACTTTTCAGTTGTGTGTGAAAGCCACTATAGGCACTATGTAAATGAATGGGCAAACCTGCATTCCAATAAAACTTTAGGCACAAAAACAGGTGGAGGAGCATGACCAGAATGAGAGGATAATTAGAATAAGGACTTCTGAAATCTGTTCCTTCATAAAAGCAATGAGCATGCTGGCAAAAACAGTCAAAATCAATTTTTTCATACTTCTGCAAATTAACCAAAGGCTTGCAGCTACCTGAGGAGTGTTTATTATTACAATTATTATTTTTTAATAAGGCTGACTTTGGGAGGCTGAGGCAGGAGGATCGCTTGAGGCCAGGCGTTCGAGGCCAGCCCGGGCAACACAGTGACACCCCATCCTTACAAATACTATATATTTTTTAAAAAATATCAGGGTGCAGTGGTACATGGCTGTAGTCTTAGCTACTGGGGAGGGTGAGGCAGGAGGATCACTTGGGCTGGGAGTTCAAGGTTGCAGTGAGTTATGATCATGCTACTGCATTCCAGCCTGGGAGACAGAGTGAGACCCAGTCTCTAAAAAAAATAAAATAAGGCCGTATTGCAGTAAGAACAGCAAGCTTTGTGAAGTTTTAACTTGTCTTATTCCCACAGCCCTCTTTACAGTTCTGTTGCAGGCATGAAAACCAACAGCCTTGCAACTATGATGTCTGCGAAACCAGCCCACAAAAAGCTCTATCCCCAGAAAATGGCCACTATTTGACCTGTCTGGAAGCTGCCTGAAAAGCTCTGTTCCCAGGGATTGTCTTTATCTGACCTGACTCAGAGCTTACTCTGTGTGACCAGCCCTGGCCTCAGGGCACTTGTCAAAAACAATCAGCAGTAACTGTTCAACATCGTAGCTGCCTATGTGGCAATACCATTTGGGGTCAATAGGCTATGTAAAATCATGAAAGGAAAAACTGGGAAATGAGTTATCCTTTGGGTTTTTTTTTCCTTTGGGGGTTTTAAAAGTTTCGATACATTCCTGGGATGATAGGATAGAGGCTTCATGCATGTGCAGAGCAGTGCACATGCACAGAAAGACCTGATAAGACCCTGATGTCTCACCTCTGGCTGACCTTGAGGCTCTGCACAAGAAGGAAATGAAGGCTACGGCAGAGCTGCAAACTGCTTGATAAAGCATTGAAGTCAGGCTCCACACACACACAGTGTTCCTCAGCAAAGGCTGGGACACTTATGGGGTTAAGGGATTTAAAGAAATATCTGGGCTGGGCACAGTGGTTCACACCTGTAATCCCAGCCCTTTGGGAGGCCGAGGTGGGTGGATCACTTGAGGCCAGGAGTTTGAGACCAGCCTGGCCAACACGCAAAACCCCATCTCTACCAAAAATACAAAAATTAGCCAGGCATGGTGGTGTGTGCCTGTAGTCTCAGCCACTTGGGAGGCTGAGGCACGAGAATTGCTTAAACCCAGGAAGTAGAGGCTGCAGGGAGCCAAGATCACGCCACTGCACTCCAGCCTGGATGACAGAGCAAGACTCTGTCAAAAAAAAAAAAAAAAAAAAAGCCTGTGCAATCATTAGTTGACTACTAAGCTAACAGGAATTTTAGCAGCAAAACATGAAAAAGAACACAGACTTTATAGAATTAATCCAGAAAAATCACTAAGGAAACAAACAGCAATAGCAACAACAAACTCTTTGTGGTGGGGGGTCAGGGAATCTGATTTCCAAATTTGCTACATTATATTATTTTAAATGTCTAATATTCAACAACAAAAAATTATGAGACATGCAGAGAAACAGAAGAGTATGGTCCATTCACAGGAAACTGTCTCTGAGGAAGTCCAGACACTGGAATTACTAGGCAAAGTCTTCAAGTACACTGTTATGAATATGTGCAAAAACTAGAGGAAACCACGTCTTAAGAATTAAAGGAACGCTATTATTCAGTGGAACCTAACAGACACCTACAGAACACTCCAGTCAACAACATCAGAATACATGTTCTTCTCAAGTGTACATGGAACATTCTGCACTGTAAACCATATGTTAGGCCATAAAAAAGTACTCAGTAAGTTTAAAAAGATTGGAATCATACAAAGTATGTTTTCTAATCTCATGAGAATGCATAACAGAAGGAAATTGGGAAATTCAGGAACATGTGGAAATTAAACATCACACTCTTAAGTAACCAATGGATCAAAGAAGATACCACAAGGAAATTAGAGCATGCTTTAAATAAAAATGAAACAACTCACCAAAACTTGTAGAATGCAGCCATAAAGCAGTGCTTAGAGGAAAATTTATAGCTGTAATCACCTATATGAAAAAGAATAAGGATCTAAATCAGTCACTTAAACTTCCACTTCCTGTAACTTGAAAAAGAAGTCTAAACTAAACCTAAAACAAGTTGAAGAAAGGAAATAATAAAGATTGTGAAGGGGCATGGTTTGTCTGGGGAAAATACCCGAGGTTCATTGCCTCACACCAGGGAAACTGAATACACAAACACACACAAGGAATGAGTTTAAGAGCAGAGGTTTAATAAGTGAAAGGCAGAGAAAAGCTCTCTCTTCTGCAGAGGGAGAGGGACTCCCAAGTAGGGTCTTTGGGCTTCATGGTGAAATGCATGGGGTTTTATAGACGAGCTTGAGGAGGCAGTGTCTGATTTACATAGGACATGAGAGACTGGTCAGACCAGGTGTCCCATTTGCATAGTGTGCGAAGAAGCTGGCCATCCCACCCTAATCTTTTGTTATGCAGATGGGGTCTCTACTTGGCCAATGCCATGTTGCCTGCTTTTTTACTACACATGTGGCAACAAAGAAAAGGGAAGAAGGAACCTCCATGTTGAATATACCTAGCTTCCAGGTGTCCCTTTTCTATTGGCACAGCTGTTGGCATTTACCTATGCACGCTTTGAGCTTGCTTATCTATGCTTGAAGCTTGATTTTTCAGGCTGCTTTTTGTTAGAAAAGAAATTATTTGGGGGCTGCTTTTTATTAAAAGGAAACCTTACCTAGTAAGGGAAGAGACCACCCCTCATAATTGTCTTATGCCTAATTTCTGCCTCCAAAGAAAGAAGTAAAAACTGAAAGGCAGAAGTGAAATCCACAGGAAGACAGCCTGGCACCATGCTCTGGGCCTGATAGTTAAAGATCGACCCCGACCTAACCAGTTATGTTATCTATAGATTCCAGACATTGTATGGAAAATCATTGTAAAAATCCCTGTCCTGTTCTGTTTCGTTCTGATTACTGGTACATGCAGCCCCTAGTCACGTACCCCCTGCTTGCTCAATCGATCACAACCCTCTCATGTGGACCCCCTTAGAGTTGTAAGCCCTTAAAAGGGACAGGAATTGCTCACTCAGGGAGCTCAGCTCTTGAGACAGGAGTCTTGCCAATGCCCCCGGCTGAATAAACCCCTTCCTTATTTAACTCAGTGTCTGAGGAGTTTTGTCTGTGGCTCGTCCTGCTACACTAGGATTCTCTTACCCTCACTATCTTCCTAAATAATTTCTTTCTAGCTCCTGTATCTGTTGGAGTGAAGTAGATAAAATAGAGAATAGAAACACAGGCTCATGTGGATTCACTGGCGAATTCTACCAAAAATGCAGAGAATGTTATGGTTTGGATTTGTGTCCCCACCCAAATCTCACGTTGAATTGGAGGAGGGGCCTGATAGGAGGTAACTGGATCATGAGGGCAGATTTCCCCATTGCCGTTCTCATGATATTGAGTGAGTTCTCAACCAGGTGCAGTGGCTCACACCTGTAATCCCAGCACTTTGGGAGGCTGAGACCGGCAGATCACAAGGTCAGGAGATTGAGACCAGCCTGATCAACATGGTGAAACCGTGTCTCTACTAAAAATATAAAAATTAGCTGGGCATGTGCCTGGAATCCCAGCTACTCAGTAGGCTGAGGCAGGAGAATCGCTTGAACCCAGGAGGCGGAGGTTGCAGAGTGAGACTCCGTCTTGAAAAAAAAAAAAAATTGTGTGGCACTTCCTGCTTCCCTCACTCTCTCTCCTGCCACCATGTGAAGAAGGTGCTTGTTTCTCCTTTGCCTTCCATCATGACTATAAGTTTCCTGAGGCCTCCTCCTAGTCATGCTTCCTGGTAAGCCTGTGGAACTGAGAGTCAATTAAACCTCTTCATAAATTACCCAGTCTCAGGTAGTTCTTTATAGCACTGTGAAAATGGACTAACACAAATAATAAACTCAAATTCTTCACAAAACCTCCAGAAAATATGAGCTAATAGAACATTTTCCAACTCATTCTATGATGCCAGTATTACCCTGATAATAAAACTAGACAAAGACATCACCAGAAAGGAAATTTATGAACCAGTATCCATTATGAACATAGATGGAAATCCTCAATAAAATACTGGAAAACCAAATTCAGGAACATATAAGACGATTATGTATCACCACCAGGTGGGATTCATCCCAAGAATGCAAGATTGGTTTAACATCTGAAATCAATCAAAGTAATACACCATATTAATAGAAGAAAGGACAAAACACACAGGACCATCTCAAAATTTGCAGAAAAAGCATTTGATAAAATCTAACACACTGTCATGATAAAAACAAAACAAAACAAAACAATAAACTAAGAATATAAGGGAACCTCTTTAACCTGAAAAAGGGCATCTACAAAAAACCCATAGCTAACATCATATTTAATGGAGAAAGTATGAATGTTTCTACCCTAAAATCAAGAACACAACTAGGATGTCCTCTCTCACTATCTCTATTCAGCATTGTACTAGAGATTCTAGCCAGAGTAATTAGGCAAGAAAAATAAATAAAGCCATCCAGATTGGAAAAAGAGAAATAAAACTATTTCTATTCTCAGATGACAAGAACTTGTATATACAAAATCTTAAAGAATATGTACACACACTATTAGAACTAATAAACAAGTTCAGCAGTTTCAGGATATAAGGTTGGCATACAAAATTCAAGTTTACTTCTATAGACTAGCAATAAACAATCTGAAAATATTTCATTTTATTTTGTTTATTTTTTTTTTTTTTTGGAGACAGGGTCTCACTCTGCTGCCCAGGCTGGAGTGCAGTGGTTCAATCATAGCCCACTGCAGCCTCAAACTCATGAGCTGAAGCAAACCTTGAACCTCATCCTCCCAAGTAGCTAGGACTACCGGCATTTGCCACCTCACCTAGCTAATTTTTAAATTTTTTATGGAGACGGATCTCACTATATTGCCCAGGCTGGTCTGAAACTCCTGGCCTCAAGTGTTCCTCCCATCCTGGCCTCCCAAACTGCTGGGATCACAGGTGTGAGCCACTGTGACCACCTGAAAAAGTTTTAGCAAATCCATTTACAGTGGCATCAAAAAGAAGGAAATACTTAGGATTAAGTTTAACAAAAGTAGTGCAAGACTTTTATGTGGGAACCTATAAAACATTGCTGAAAGTAATTAAATAAAATACATAAATGGAAAGACATCTCATGTTCATGGATTGAAAGAGTTAATATTGTTAAGATAGCAATACTCCCCAAATTGATCAATCGCTATCAAAATTTCAGCTGGCTATTTTGGTAGAAATTGACAAACTAATGCCAAGATTATTATGGAAATACAAGGAACTGGGACTAGCCACAACAATCTTGACAAAGAAAAACAAAAGTTGGAAGATGTATACTTCCTAATTTCAAAACTGCTAAGGTACCATACTCAAGACAATGTCATGCTGGTATAAGAACAAAACATGTAGCTCAATAGAATCTAATTGGAGTCCAGCTATAAACACTTACACTTACGGTCAGCTGATATTCAACAAGGGTGTCAAGACTATTCAATGGGGAAAGAATAGTCTCTTCAAACAAAAGACTGAGACAATTGTATATCCACTTGAAAAAGAATGAAGTTGGATCCCCTATTAGTTTCCTCACTGCCATAACAAATTACTCTAAACCGTGTGGCTTAAGAGCAAAGAAATCTATTGTCACACAGTTCTGGATGCTAGAAGTCCAAAATTAGGGTGTCATAACAGGGCCTTGCTCTCTCTGAAGGTTCTTGGGGAGGATCCTTCCTTGCTTCTTCCTAGCTTCTGGCTTGTATATACTTTGCAATCCTTGGTTTGCAGACACTTTACTCTTATATCTGCCTCCATTGGCACATGGCATTCTTCTTGTGTATCTCTATATCCCTGTACATGGTGTTCTTATAAGGACACCAGTCATTGGATATAGGTCCAATCCTATCTTGTTTACATCTACAAAGACCCTATTTCCAAACAAGGTAATATTTACAGGTATTGGGAGCTGGAACTCTAATATATCTTTTGATGGAGGCGCAATTCCACCCACAGCAGGCTCCTACTTCCCACCATGTAAAAACTATCTCAAAATATATTATAGACCTACATGTAAGAGCTTCAACTACAAAACCTTTAGAAGAAACCATAGGTGTAAATTTTTATGACCTTGGATTAAGCAATGGTTTATTTGATGTGACATCCAAAATGTAAGAAAGAAAAGAAAAATTAGATAAATAGGAGTTTCTCAAAAATAAAACCTTTGTGCTCTAAAGGTACTATCAAAGAGTAAAAAGACAACCCTCAGAATGAGAGAATGGAAGAAAATGTTTACAAATCATATACCTGATAAGGGACTTTTTATCAAGAATATACAAAGAACTGTTACAACTCAACAGTAAAAATGCAAACATACCAATTAGAACTTCAATCCACAAGTTGCCTAATCCAGGGTCACCAAGATTTATATCAATGTTTTCATCCAAGCGTTTTATAGTTTTAGCTCCCACATTTAGGTGTATAATCTATTTTGAGTTCACTTTTTTATATGGTGGGAGGTAGAGGTCTGTTGTGGGCAAAGGATTTTAAGAGACATTTCTTCAAAGATAAACAATGGCCAATAAGTCATGAAAAGATGTTCAGTATTCTTAGTCATTAGGAAAATGCAAACCAAAACAGTGACCTACCACTTCATGTTCACTAATTTGCCTAAAATTTAAAAAGGCAATAACAAGTGTTGATGAGAATATAGAGAGGTTGTGGTCCTCATACATTGATGGTGGAATTGTAAAATGGTGCAGCCACTTTGGAAAATAGTCTGGCAGTGTTTCAAAAAGCTAAACAGAGAGTTACCAAATGGCCCTGCCATTCCACTCTAAGATAGCTATCCATGAAAAGCAAAAACATGTGTCAACACAAAAACGTGTACAAAAATGTACATAGTAGCATTATTCATAATAGTCAAAAAGTAGAAAGAGCCCAAACGTCAATCAACTGAGGAATGGATAAACAAAATCTGGTTTATCTATATGGTAGAATATTATGCAGCCATAAAAATGAATAAAATTTTATTTATTTGTTTTTAACATGGGTGAATCTTTAAAATATGCTAAATGAAAGAAGCCAGACACAAAAGACCACATATTGTATGATTCCATTGATATAACATGTCTAGAATAAGCAAATACTTCCCAGCCGCTGGCAACCACTAATCTACTATCTGTCTGTCTGTCTCTATGAGTTTCCTTGAATGTTTGGTAGAATTCATCACTTAAGCAATCTGAGGCTGGAGTTTTCTTTGTGGGAATGTTTCTAATTATGAATTCAATTTCTTTAGCAGATATAAAAGTATATCAATTTTTTATTTTTTCTTATAATGATTTTAGTACATTGTATTTTTCAATGAATTTATCCATTTCATCTAATTTTTTTTTTTTTTTTGAGACAGAGTCTCACTCTGTCGCCCAGGCTGGAGTGCAGTGGCATGATCTCGGCTCACTGCAAGCTCTGCCTCCTGGGTTCATGCCATTCTCCTGCCTCAGCCTCCCGAGTAGCTGGGACTACAGGGGCCCGCCATCATGCCTGGCTAATTTTTTGTATTTTTAGTAGAGACGGGGTTTCACCATGTTAGCCAGGATGGTCTCGATCTCCTGACCTTGTGATCTGCCCACCTTGGCTTTCCAAAGTGCTGGGATTACAGGTGTGAGCTGCTGCACCCGGCCATTTCATCTAAATTTTTAAATTATTGGCATAAAGCTGTTGACAATATCCTTTTGCTGTATCATGAAAGTCTTGGGGATCTGTAGTGATGTCTCCTGGCATGGCTAATTTATGTTTTCTCATTTCTTTTTCTTGATCCAGCCTGCTAAGTATTTATCAGTTTTATTAATCTTAATCGATGTGTGGCTTTTAAATTTTCTCTATACATTTGCTTTTGATTTTATTCATTTCTGCCATTATCTTTATTATTTCCTTTAGTTTTCCTTCTCCTTTTTCTAAATATGCTGTTTTTTCTTTAGCATCTTGAGATTAAAGCATAGATCATTCATTTTCTACCTTTTTTCTTTTCTAACATATTCATTTAAAGTTGTAAATATTCTTAGAAGAGCTGTGCTAACTGCATCCCACAAATTTTATACGTTACATTTTTATTTCCATGAATTTATAATTTATGTTGTGATTTCTTCTTTGACATATTGAATTATCTAAAAGAATGTGGATTATTTCCAAGGGTTTGGGATATTTTCTATTTTTTTTTGTTATTAGTTTCTAGTTTAATTTCAATGTAGTCAGAAAACATATTTTATTATTTTAATCATTTGAAATTTGTTGAGATTTATTTATGGCTAGGCATATGGTCTATTTTGGAAAATGTTCCATGTACACTTTAAAAGAGCACATATTATGCAATTGGTAGGCGTGTGTTCTATATATTGTCCATTGGGTGAAGCTGGATAACTGTATGCTTCAAATCTTCTATAGTGATCTTTTATTCAAAATGTGCTGCTTATAAACAGCATATAGTTGAGATTTTGAAAATCCAATCTGACCCTCGTCTCTTTGGGCTGTTAATAGCCCTAGCTCATCACATTCTCCCATTCTCCCTTCTGGTTCTTCTGCAGCCCACCCACACCTTTGAAAATAGTCTCCTTGAAATTAAATCTTCCTCAAATTATCCTAAATTAAGTGTACCATGTGTTTCAAATTGCAGCCTCAACTGGCTCACTGCCTTCTTTATCCCAGCCTCCATTGCAGTGAGGTTGGGGGCCATATGACTAGTGCTGCCCAATGGACTGTGAACAGAAATGACAGCATCACTCGCATGGAGACTCCTCCATCTCTGTCTTCCCTGTTGTGACAGTCTCAGAGCCTACGTTCTTTCAATGGCTGGGCTACAAGATGGTGACAGGCTGCCCAACCTGGTAAGTACTTACTTTGTGTGAGTAAGAAGGAAACATTGCAAGGGTTGAAGCACTGAGATTCCGGGATGAATTTGGTATTTCTGAATAGCCAATTTTGCCTTGACTTGGGATCATACCATATGTCTACTTTGGTACCGTAACTATAGCTGTTGATGGATGTTTGCCCTGTTTTGCCTTTTTGCTCCTTTCCTTCCTTCCTTGGTTCTTTCCTTCATTCTTCTTTCTCTCTTTCTTTTCTCTATATTTCCTTGCTTTCTCTCTCTTCCTCTATTTCTTTCTCTATTTTTCTTTCTTTCTCAGTTTAGTTCTCCTGTGTTCCTGTTGATTCCAAGCCCTACAATTTTCTTCCAATGAATTCCTTTTCTGCTTTATCCAGACAGCCAGAGTGGGTTTCTATTGCTGTCAGCTAAGAAACCCAAATGGTATACTATTTTCCGCTTAATATTATGTCATAGACATATTTCCATGCCATTAAGTATTATTCAAAATATTATTTTAATGGCTGCACAATAGTTCATCATATTTATGTATCATAATTTATTTAACCATGCCCACGTGTTTTAGTAAATTATAAACTTCTATTAAATACTTATAATGAATATTATCATATCTACATTTTTGGCTTCAATCCTGGACAGCACCTTAGGATATCTTCGGAGTGAAATTACCAGCTGAATAGTGTGAACATTTTAAAATCTCTTGTGGCATAAACTTAATTTTTTTCCTAGAAATTTTATACCAACTTGTATTTTCACATGTGAGATGAATAGGAATACTCAATTTTACTCCACTCAATGAGATTGAATGCTATAATTATATTTAAACGTTCTTTGATAAGCTATAGGAGAAAATCTCATTGATGTTTTAATGGGCATTTCTTTGATGACCAATGAAGCTGAATATTTAAAAATATTTTATTACATATTTTTATTTCATCTTTTGGGCATTTCTCATTCACTATTTTTCTATTGGACTGTTCATTTTTATTGATTTGTAATTACTTTTTACATATTAGAGGTATTAATCTTTTGTCATATTTCTTGCAACCATTTTATTCTTTTTTGTAGTCTCCCAATAAAATTAACTAAATAATTTTTAAAACAAGGAGATTTAAATTTTATGTATTAAATTCTACCTTAATCTTTGTTATTTTTTCTACTGCTTTTAGGTTTAAAATGTTTCCATGTACCCCCAAGATCAAACATTTGTTTGCTTTTTAATGATTTCCCTTTCTTACATTTAATTCTTTAGGTCCTCTGGAATTTATATTAATGTATGGTGTGAAGGAAAGAGCTAATTTTATTTCCTTCCAAATAGCTAACCAAATGTCCCGGCATCATTTATTGAATAATCCATTTCTTCCCTACAGGTTTGCAACGCCACCTCAGTAAGCTGAGACATGGTAATCGCCATGGCAACGGGGCTGCATTAAAAGCATTGTGCGCACAAAGTGAAAGGCTGCTGCCTGGCAGAGTTCAGTCTGGTCTCACTGCACCTGTTCCCTAATTAAGATGCACCTTTTGGTTTTGTCTTTTGAAAAAAACAAAATGCTCCCTTTATCGCCACGAGGCAAAAGAAAAATTAAGGCCAAGATCCTTTCATGCCCAATATGGGCCTGCCCGGTGGTTGGAGCATGGGGGATCATGGGCAGCAAGTGAGAAAGTGCACAGTGATTTGCTGCTGTTACATCCTGAGAAACTGGAGGGCTGTCATCAAAGTCCTCGAATAGCTGGAGAGTGGGTGTGGGATGGTTACGTTTGAAAATGCAGCTCTGATATAAAAGAAAGCAAAGACTGCACTGTTTTCCCAGCAAGAGCCTAGCTGGAGACTCTAAGCCTAAGATAGAAGCTTCTGCCATCAACAGGCCACAAAACCCATACTTCCTGCTCTATGAGGCTTCTGACCTTGGTTCCCTAGAATCCTCCCTCCTTATCAAGTATCTGTGTCTAGGCCTAGGGGAGACCAGACCGAGGTCTGTCCTTGTCTGCCTACAAGGACAAGGCATTCTACTGCTGTAGACCACTTGTTTATGTGCCCCTAAAATTTGTATGTTAAAGCCTGAATCCCCATTGTGATGACATTTGGAGGTGGGGCCATCGAAAGGTGATTAGGTTTATATGAGTTCATGAGGGTGGGGCCCTCATAATGGTATTAATGTCCTTATAAGAAGAGACACAACAGAGCTTGCTTCCTCTCTCTCTCCCCACCATGTGAAGACACAGCAAGAAGGCGGCCATCTGCAAACCAGAAAGAGAGCCCTCACCAGGAACCGGATCTGCTGGCACCTTGATCTTGGACTTCCTATCCTTTAGAGCTGTGAGAAATGTCGCCCCCAGGTCAATGGGATATTTGTTACAGCACCAGGTACTGCCTGAGAACTCTACCTTTAGGGAGCCTGCGTGCTGGGTCACTGGGGAGACAATGAAGGTGCTTGACACCCAGTTTGAATATTGTGTCACTGCAAAGCTGACTGCTGTTGAAGGATAGCCAGTGAGAGGTCATGGCAAGCCATCAGAAGAAGCAGAAGTCATGAGCATGCTGAAGCTATGAGGCCAAGACAAAATGTCACATTGCCACAAGAAGAGGGACAAACAGGCAACAGGCAGAGCCCATGGGAATCAGTAATCTCCTGCTGACACTGAGGCCTTGGGACTAACTCAGATCCAGTACTACTCTCTTGGGACCTGTTCTGACTCCAGCTCCTGTCCTTGGGGTCCACTGAGATCCCTGTAGCCTTGTAATAAGCCCACATTATCATATTTCCCCTGCCGGCTCCACCCTAGAGCATTTCCAACAATTTCCAGTGCTTTTCCCCTTCTCATACCACTGGGCCTTTGCACGTGCTCGTGCCTCCCCAACTTGCCCTGCCTTCTCCTTCACCCAGACAACTCCTACTAAATCTCTCAGACTCCTCAGCTGTGTCCCTTCCTAGGGGAGGACTCTCTTCCCTCCAGTGAGCCCGGTGGTCCTCCCTGGGATCCCCTGCTCCTTGTCTTCCCTGCCGTCCTTACTGCCATCCTTGTTCTCTACTCAGAAGGAGGCAGAGGCTGGCCTGCCCCCAATCCCCTGTAGACTGACCAGATGAATTGACCTGGGCTGGGCAGGGCAGGCGTGTTTGACCAGTTGTCTGGGCACCCCATGGCTCAGTCAAGTTGACACATAAAGTTCACCGCCCCAGGGCCCCTTCGTTGTATTTGTGTATGAATAAAACACAGCATCCACTCCAGGTATCTGAGGGTCCTGGAGGCAGGTTTTGTGATCCCTTTTTACAGATGAGGATGCGGAGGTCCAGTTGTCACTCACCCAGATCACACTCTCATCTGCTGATGGGAGGAGTATTTGATGGGATGTGTGAGCCCGGCCGTCTCCCTTGGGACACATCAGCTCATTAAATTTGCCAGCCCCTGCCTGAAAAAGTATTTAATTTGCCTTTTACAATGCACCCATTGCAAGTTAATTAACTGGCAATTGAAAGTTATAGGTGGCATTAGAATTTATTAATAACATTGGGAATAAATCTCCCTGGAATTCAATTAACTGAAAACCTCATGAAATTCTTTTTTTATATAATCCATAAAGCCGGTCTGGGAGAGAGGTGTTCCAGAAATCTCGGGGGTGGTGGAAACTGCAGGCGTGGAGGGTTGGAGTGGGGAGGGGGCTGCTGTTCTGATGTAGGCCAGTCTTGGCTCCCACCTGCCCCTGCCCATAACCTCCAACATGGCCTCTTAGGGTCAGGGAAGAAGCCACGCCCCCATCGTGAATGTCCCACCGTGTACCAGTGTCAGGGAAGAAGCCACGCCCCCGTCGTGAATGTCCCGCCTTGTGCCAGTGTCAGGGAAGAAGCCACACCCCCATCGTGAATGTCCTCCATGTGCCAGTGTCAGGGAGGAAGCCACGCCCCCATCGTGAATGTCCTGCTATGTGCCAGTGTCAGGGAAGAAGCCACGCCCCCACCGTGAATGTCCTGCCTTGTGCCAGTGATTCCTTTGCAGTCATTCATCTGCTCTGCACCTGGCCTGAGCTGGGCACGCAGACGTGACCTGGCACACAGGACGCTCACAGCCGACTGGAAGAGACAGAGTTGGGAGGGTGCGCTTTGGATTTAGGGAGGTGACGAGTGAAGCTGGGGGACCCCAATGGCACCTTGACCACCCTTGGCTGAGCCCAAAGCCAGAGTCGGGCTGTTTCTGCCATTCCGGTAGGACAGTTGCCCCTCGTGGGTCTTCAGGACATGCCAGGACCAGGCTAAGAAGAGCGTGCCTTCGTGGGAACCTCTGAGGTTCAGCCCAGCCCGAGCCACCTCCACACTGTGTGTACACACCGTAGCAGATACGAATACCCACACACATACATTCAAGCACACACACGTGCACATATGTGTATACGCACTGGACACGCACACACACATTCTCATGCATGTACACTCTTACACATGCACACACGTGCACATATGTGTACACACAGAACATGCACACACATGAACACACTCATTCTTATGCATGCACACACTTGCATATGCACACGCACATGTATAGCAGGGCCTAGAGCCAGTTGGCATTTCAGAAGAAATGTCAGGTTTGATCTGGACCCCGGGCCACAGAAGGGGGTATGCGCAGGAAACAGCGGCCGGAGGCAGAGGCAGGAAGCGCAGGAGAGCAGAGGAGACTCAGGCAGGAAATTCGAGACAGCCATGTCTGGGCCAGGCAAAGTGGAGACAGGGTGGAGCAGGGCGGGGCGAGGTGAGCAGGGGCCTATGCTAATTCTCCCTCCTTAGTGCCCAGGCAGGTGGCCTCAGACTGGGAGTTCTGGGCACCCAGGCAGTGAGGGCTCTAGCCAGCCTGTCCCCAGATCTGGCCCTCAAAGCTCAGCTGTGAGCCAGGAGGGGACCTGGAGGCTCCTGCCAGGACTGAGCTGACCCTGGTGAGTCCCCTTTCCCCAGGGGCTGTGGAGAGGGAGGAGGGAAGGCAATCTTGGGCAGGGGAGGATGACCACAGTCCAGCCCTGCAGCGTCCTAGCTGGGAGCCTGGGGTGCTTTGCTTCCTACTCCGAGTCTTGGGCCCTGTGGACAGCTTGGAAGTGCAAGCGGCGGTGTCCACACATGCATGCAAGAACCTTCCTGAAGCTGGGCAGAGGATCAGATGGGCCCGCCCTGTCTCCTTGGCTGCAGGGGTGAGAGGAGGTGAAGATTTGAGGGGGTCACACAAGGCCAAGAGCTGGGCTCCCCCTGGGGCTTTGAGGCCCTTCCCCCAACAGCGCTGTCCCATTTCCTGCAGACGCTTAGCACTGCTTTGCGCGGGGGGAGCCAGCCTCCACAGCTGGACAGAGATGAGGCCGGACAATGGGCAGACCTCCTGGCTGACTCCTGGGGCTGCAGCCACTATGTGTGCAGAAGGTGGTCAGGACAGGGACCCAGGTGACAGCACCAGGGGGCAGAGCTCAGGCTTGAGGCCAGGAACAGGGGAGCCACAGCAGATTCATGAGTGAGGGAGGAGCAACGCCAGGCTTGCACTTCAGAAAGGTCATTCTACGGCCAGATGGCAAGGAGAGGCCAGACTGAGACCCTCAGTGGTCAGTTTCCTCTCCCTCCAGCATCACGGTCCTCGGAGATCCCCACCCTGGCAGGTGCTTCAGTGTCCTGGGAGATTCGTTCCACCCCCACCCAAATCTCCTCTGCCCTTTATCCGCCCCCAGCCTTTGCTCACACTTGGCCTCTTCGGCAGCGCCATCCCTGGGTTTATGTGAACTCTCTTTTTTCCTTCCAGAACCGCTTTCTCGGGGGCAGAGCAGAGCATGGCTTCCCAAATCCCACAGACCTGATCTGGAACTCAGCTTCACCGCCAACCGCCTGTGTGACCTTGAGGAAGCTATGTAACCTCTCTGGGGCTCAGCTGACTCACCCCAAAATGAGAGAGGTGGCTGTGACGTTAAAGGAGGTGACATGTTTCACTGTTTAGCACTGGATCTGTCCTCACCATATTAAGGACCAACTCACACCCAGCCCCTTGGGGGAGACCTTCTCCCTCAGCTCTGTCTCAGACCTTCTCTGGGACCCACAGTATCTGCTACCCTGGCTCCATCGAACACACTCCGGGCTGGCCCGTCCACCCTGCTGGCGGGAGCTTGGAAGTTGTTTTTCCCCAAACATTCCTCATACAGCCCTTTCCCTACCCTCCTAGACTCTGCTGGTCCCATCCAGGCTCTCCCATAGCGGGATCCAGGGACCAGAGGAAAAATGAAGGCATCCCATGAGTCTATTTAAAAGTTACACATCGAGGCTGGGTGCGGTGGCTCACACCTGTAATCCCAGCCCTTTGGGAGGCTGAGATGGGTGGATCACCTGAGGTCAGGAGTTCGAGACCAGCCTAGACAACATGGTGAAACCCCGTCCCTACTAAAAATACAGGAAAAAAAAAATAGCTGGGTGTGGCGGCAGGCACCTGTAATCCCAGCTACTCAGGAGGCTGAAGCAAGAGAATTGTTTGAACTGGGAGGCGGAGGTTGCAGTGAGCCGAGATCGTGCCACTGCACTCCAGCCTGGGCGACAGAGAGAGAGAGAGAAAAAAAGTTATACATTGAGCTAACCAGCTGTTAAGTAACACAGGCTCTATCTTCCTACTTTGACAGATATCTTTTTCCAAGGACCTGGAAGGCCAGGTTTGACGTTGGAATTGTGACTGTCAGAGTCTTGTGCTGGAAGGTGACAGCCGGGAGAGCCAGCCCCTGTCATCCTCCAGCCCTTCTGCTTCCCTCACTAGCTTCCACCTTGCACCACGGGGGGCTTCGTGTGCCCACCTGAGGGTGCCCACCTGGAGCGTCTAAGCTCAGTTCACACCCTCCAAACTCAGCAACCCCTTGATTGAAAGACAAAGGTGTCATTGGGCGTGGAGTCTGCCTTTAAGACAAAAGGAAGGGGAAGACCTTGGGGGAAGTGGGGGCAGCCCTGGGGCAGGACGTTTTGGTGTCCTAGGTAATGCAGGCAAATCTCTCTCTTAGGATCCCATCTCTGCCACTGGGTCTGGGGGAATGAATGCCTGCTGGTCTGCTTCCCCAAGGAGGAGAGGAGGTGTTTTTTCACACACACACACAAAATTAAAATAAGTTTTAAAAATTAAAAAATAAGACTAATTGTCAGCTCCCAGTCCTTAGCGCTTCCATATTGCTGATCATCTGGACGTGGCTAGGCTTCTAGCCTATCATCTTATTGGCTTTAAAAATACATACACTTACCACCTATTTTGGTTTTGTTTTGTTTTGTTTTTGAGACGGGGTCTTGCTCTGTTGCCCAGGCTGGAATGCAGTGGTGTGATCTCAGCTCACTGCAGCCTTGACCTCCCAAGCTCAAGTGATCCTCCTGCCTCAGCCTCCAAGTGGCTGGGACAACAGGTGCATGCCACCACATCTGGCTAATTTTTTTTTTTTTAGAGATGGGGTCTCACTATGTTGTCCAGGCTGTTTATTGCCTATTTTGACTTCTTCCCCTTGAAGCGTTGGTTCATTGAGGGCAGAGATTCCTGTCTTTTGTTCATGGAAAGTTCTCAGGGCCTGGCTCAATTAAGGTGATCAATAAAAGATTTGTTACATGAAGGAAAGGAGGAAGGAAGGAAAGATGCGTGGTTTTGTAACTCCTGCCCTGGGAAAAGGAATAAAAGGGGCGAGGACATTTCTCCAGCCTAAACCTACTCACACTCCCTGCCTGGGACAGTTGCCCAGTGGTTCCTGCCAAGGTTTGACTTCAGGCACCTGCCCGACCCCGGGTCTCCCTGTTTGCTGAATGAGCTGTGCCTGCTGGGCCCAGGACCTGTGGCTGGAGGAAGTATCCCAGAGCCAATGGGGCTTGGAAGAAGAGGCTCCGGCTTAAGGAACGTGTTGCCTATTCACCAGCAAATAAAGACAGATGAAGCTCTGGCAGGCCATCTCTCTGTCTCTGTCTCTTGTTTCTCTCTCCCTCTCGCCTCTTGCTCTGTCTCTCTTTTCCCTTCCCTCCCTCTTTCTCTCTTTCTGTTTCCCTGCTCTCCCTGCCCTTTTGGTCTCTGGGTCCTGGACTCTCAGAGCAGCCTGGAATCTCCTTCCTCCACATGATTGCTGTGGTGTTTTTTTATGTTTAATTTTTAGAGACCGGATCTCGCTCTGTTGCCCAGGCTAGAGTGCAATGGCGGAATCATGGCTCACTGCAGCCTCCAACTCCTGGGTTCAAATGATCGTCCCACTTCAGCCTCCCAAGTATCTGGGACTACAGGGACAAGCCACCACCATGCCAGGCTAACTTTAAAAAAAAAAAAAAAAACACTTGTAGCAACAGGGTCTAGCTATGTTGTCCAGGCTGGTCTTGAATTCCTGACCTCAAGCAATCTTCCCACTTTGTCCTCTCTAAGTGCTGGGATTACAGGTGTGATCCACCATGCCTGGCCTGGTGTGGTGTTCAATGCTCACCCTCTCTATAGGATTTCAAGCTCCAGGCAGAGGCAGGCAGGGTTCTGTCTGTAGCTGAGCACTGGGCACTGGACACAGGGTGATATGGTTTGGCTGTGTCCTCACCCAGATCTCATGTTGAATTGTAGCTCCCATAATTCCCATGTGTTGTGGGAGGGACCTGTTGGGAGATAATTTAATCATGGGGGCGGTTCCTCCATACTGTTCTCATGGTAGTGAATAAGTAAGTCTCACGAGATCTGATGGTTTTATAAGGGGAAACCCCTTTTGCTTGGTTCTCATTCTCTCTCTTGCCTGCTGCCATGCAAGACGTGCCTTTCCCCTTCCACCATGATTGTGAAGCCTCCCCAGCCACATGGAACTGTAAGTCCATTAAACATCTTTTTCTTTATAAATTACCATAAATTACCCAGTCTCGGGTATATCTTTATTGGCAGAGTGAGAACAGACATAATACACAGGGCAAGAGCTTAATACCTACAAGGGTCACAGGGTGATTCAGCAGTGGTTTGGGTCTCTGTGTTGTACCTGGGACTTGTCATCAGGGTATATGGGTCTCCCTGGGGTCTCTGATATGTCACTGACCCCAGACCTGGACAGGAGCATGGAGCAGGATCAGGGTTGCTCCTCCAAGAGCCCTGAGGCCGCCCCAACTTAACTCACCTTCTTGCAGAGCTGGGGGCCAGGCCCAGTTTATAGACAGTGTGGTTGGGTGGAGGGGTGAGGTGGCCTCTGAAGGGGCTTCCCTCACCCTCTGGAGGTAAGAAACAGATCTTGACTCTGGAGGTAGGGCTCAGACACAGGACCAAATTGAGGACTAGCCAAAACAGGGACAGAGCGGAAGCATCTTTCCATTGGACACGCCCACCAGTGTGCCATGTCAGTTTGCCATCACCATGGCAACACTCAGGAGCCACTGCCCTTTTCCATGGCAAAGACCTGATGACCCGGAAATAACCACCCTTTCCCTAGAAATTTCTGCATAAACCAGCCCTTAATCTGCATGCAATTAAAAGTAGGTATAAATATGGTGCAGAACTGCCCTGAGCTGCTATTCTCTGCCTGGGGAGAAGCCCTGCTCTGCACGAGCAGTCATGGAGCTGTAGTCCTGCCCCTCCAATAAAGCTGTTTCTCTTGCCTCCAGCTTGCCCTTGAATTCTTTGCTGGGTGAAGCCAAGAGCCCTTGCAGGTTAAGCCCCAATCCGGGGCTTGCCTATCGTGTGTCACTCCCAGCCCCCTCCCTGGAGGTCCTGAGGGCAGAGCTGGACCTCCCTGCCACAGAGGCCCTGTGGTCACCCCGGGCCTGGCTGGAGCTGCTCACAGCTTCCCTGGCACCTGGCCGGTAAGATGCAGACCAGCCTCCTGCAGAGCTGTCACCACACAAACAGACCCACAGTGGGGAGAGCACCTTTATTGTCACATATAATAATAACGCTACAGGCTGGTGGTCCCGCCCGCCTCTGACCACCCCTCCATGAAGACAGAGACTGCCTCTCCAGACCTGCCTCAAGGGCCAGAAGAAGATCCCAGGGCCCAGAGGGACCAGGCCACAGCCAAACAGGAGTACCAAGAGCACTGGAGACAGTCACTCCTGCTGTGAAGACAGAGTGCCCCAGGGTGGCGCCAGCACCTTCAATTCTCTGAGTTTGCTGCCGTGGCTGTGTCCCAGGTCCCAGCCCAGCAAGAGAGGAACACCAGGGCTGAGCTGATCACGGAGACCCTGGCCCCAGAGGCCTTGAGGGCTCCAGTCAGAGCTGTTCTGGGCTGCTAGGGACCTGGTGCCTGCCATGGAGCCTGCCAGGCCCCCAACTCTGGAAGGTGGGAGGCAGGAGCATCTCTTCCCAGCAGGCCTGGGACTCTGTTTCCCTCTCTGCAGCTTGCAAAGGGGACACTGGGCTTGCTGTGTCATGCAAAAGTAGCAAACCTATAGAGTCCACTGAGAGACAAACTCGTGGGGCAGAGGCTGCAAGTCCCACCTCTGATAGACATGCCCATGAAATGCTGCCTCCCCTGGCTCAGGGATGGGATGGACCCAGAGAGAGCGGGTGGGCTCAGCAAGACTGGGAGGCAGTGGCCAGGGATGCCTATCTGGTTTGGTGGACACTTGCACCCCCAATGCTTCTCTCTCAAGGTCCTCAAGTCCGTATGGCTGGCAGTGATTTATTCAGGGTCTCCCTGGCCTCTGAGAGCTGCAGTCCAGGCTGCTCCCCCAGCCAGTGGGGAAGGGGGATGAGGAAGGGAAGCCCCAGGCCCTGCAGGACCCTGCCTACCCCCTCAGGCTGGCTGGCCCAGCCTCCCCGCAGCCCTGCCTGCCTTAAGGAGCCGTTCTGGCCCTGCGCCCTCCCTGTCTGAGTTTTCTCTCGAAGAGGGGAAGCTGGCAGGGTCGAGAGAACATGGCTTCAGGAACTGAGGGTCCTGGGTTCAAATCCTGCCCCTGCCACCCGTGATCTGGTGGCCAAGAGAGGGTTATTTCTACCGTCTGAGCCTCGGTCCCCTTGTGAAGTGGGGATAATAAGCTTACCTCCTAAGGGTTAAATAATGAGACAACGTAACGAAAGTTCCCTGGACAGGGCCAGTTACAGCAGGGACTCAATAAATGATGGGTATTAGGATTATTCTCATTCCCAGCACCCAGCCCACCCAGACCCCGTCTCCAGCCGGGAGTGGGGGTAGGGGAGGGGACAGGCCAGAGGAGGGCTCTGATGAGGGTGTTGGCCCCTCCAGACCCTGCCCCTGGAGACATTATCTGTCCCCAAAGCCCCCCATGTCCTCACAATCATCCATGCCTGGAGCCCAGTTCCCCTGGGGGCATCTTTAGGAAACAGCGGCGGCTCAGGCCTCTGGGGCTGGGTCTCTAGCCAGGACAGGGTGTCCTGGAGCAGTGGGCTCTCACTTCCTGCTGCTGGCCTGGTCCACGCTCTTCTGTCCAGGGTCGGGCCCAAGCAGGGCAGCAAGGACCCCATCGGGTTGGGCGCCACCCCTCTTCATCTTGAGGTTGGCTCTCAGGGCAGCATCCTGGCCAGAACCTCCCTCTGGGGAGGCCAGGGGATCTGGAAGGAGAGCAGGAGGGTGGACTCGAGGTAGAGCCTTAGGAACACTTGGGGGTACATTTGATCATGATATGTGGCCACGGAGAGATGCTCTTGCCCAGCGTGGAGAAGCAAGGCAGCAGCAGGCTTTCAGCCCCTTATGCATTCATTCATTCATGGATCCATGCATCCATCCATTCATTCACTCATTCACCCATCCACCTGTCCATTGACCCATTCATCCATCTGTGTATCCACCCATTCATCCATTCACCCATTCATCCACCCACTCAGTCACTCATTTATCTATGCATCTATCCATTCATTCACTCATTTACCTGCCCGTCCATCCATCCATCCATCCATCCATCCATCCATCCATCCATCCATCCATCCACCCATCCATCCACTCACTTATCCACCCACCCACCTATCCACTCATTGATTCATCTATGCATCTATCCATCCATCCATCCATCCATCCATCCATCCATCCACTCAGTCATTCATTTATCTATGCATCTATCCATTCATTCACTCATTTACCCATCCATCTATCATCCATCCATCCATCCATTCACTCACTTATTCACCCACCTACCTGTCCACTCACCCGCCCATCCACCCATTCATTCATTCATCCATGCATCTATTCACTCATTTACCCACCCACCTGCCCACTTATCCATCCACTCATTTATCCACCCACCTGTTCACTCATCCATCATCCATCCATCCATCCATTCACTCATTCACCCACCCACCTGTCCACTCATCCATCCATCCATCCATTTATCCATCTATCCATCCACCCATTCATTTATTCATCCATGCATCTACCCATCCACTCACTCATCCACCTATCCACCTGTCCATTCAACAATTCATTCATTCATTCATTCATCTATCTATGCATCCACCCATGCATACATTCATCCAGGCAACCAGCCATTCGTTCACTCACTCACTCACCCACCCACCTGTCCATTCACCTATTCATTCATCCATTCATTTTCCAGCAAATGCTGATGGGCCTCTACTCCAGGCCCTGCAGAGGTATCATTCACTGTTCTGCACAAGGGACTCCCAGAGGGTCACAGAAACCCCAGCATGGAATGGAAGCCTCCCCTATGTCACCATAGGGACAAAGAGGAGGGTTCAGAGAAGGCTTCACAGAGGCCGAGATCTTTGAGCAGGTCCCGAAGTGGCAGTCAGTGTTCACCAGGCAGAGGCATGGCCCGAGCAAAGGCATGGAGGTGGGAGGGGCCTCAACATGGCTGGGCAGGGCTCTGCCCACCATGGCTATACTAGGGAGGGGCTGGGAAACTGGGCTGATGCACTTGGAAGTCTGTCAAGGGCAGCAGGGAGCCACTGAGGGTCCTTGAGCAGGGGAGGGGGAGGGTCAGACTAGGGGCAAGGGAGGGAGACCAGAGACCCTAGGCAGCAGCCATGAGGGCAGCATTGGGAGAGGAAGGAGGGGAGAGAGATTCCCAGCCCGCTGATCCTGGTCACTGCTCACCGTGGATCCCAATCATGTGCTCCAGGATGAGGACTCGCTCTGCCAGGATCTTCAGGGCCTCTCTCAGCTGCTGCACCCCCTCGCCCTGGCGGGGAGGAAACAGGCAGGGTCAGGGCCGGCCATGAGGAAGGGGTCAGGGCCATCCTGATACAGTGACAGTGTATGTGTCCTCAAAGCCCCCCACCCCTGCCTCTTCCCACCCGACACCCTCACCACTGCAAATAAGCATAGACTGAACATCATCAACTATGTGCCAGACAGGGCTTCAAACCCTGTTCACAGACAAAGAGCTTGAAACACAGAGAGGGCAGGCAACCTCCCCACGGCCACACAGCCTGGCAAAGCGGCCGATCCAGACTGCAGATCCACACCTGTCAGCCTCCAGCCTGAGCTTTTCCTTCCACCATAGCTGCCTGTCAGCTTCCCCCACATGTCCTGAAAATACCCTAACCAGGACAGAGCACCTATCCCAGGGCCCGAAGGTAGGAAGTTCTTTGCTTGTTTCCTTCCTTGAATGCCCAAGAGCTCGCCACCAAACAGCAGGCAAGGGGCAGGGTAGGTGTGGCCATGCCAGGCAAGAAAGACAGCAGAGAAAGCCACCATTTCAAAGTGCAGGCAGGCAGGCTGGCGTGATGGCAGAGTCTGTATTTCAAGGGCCCGGTCTGCACACAAGCAGAGGACCTTGTGCACAGAGACACCTGAGTCAGCCAAGACAGGGTGCTGACTTATTGAGAAGGCAGGTGTCGAGGCCACTCTGAAAAGTGATGATGAGGAGACAAAGCCACTGTCCCCATCCTGCCCAGCCCTGGGAGTTGGCAGCAGAATGGGTGCCTTTTGCTGGTGTAACATGACAGATCTGTCTTATGTTCAGATTAATTTAGCTTAAAATGAAACAAAAGGAAACCAAAAAGCATCCTACTGGGTTATAGGAGAAAGGTCTGCCCACCAGGGGACCAAAGACAATGGGAAGTTGAGCCAATTACAGGGTCTGGGACAGGGATGTCAGTGTCGTGTCCCCAACTCAGAGAAGGAGCAGGGGAGACCAAGGGACCTGGCTGAGCCTCATGTTCCTAAGCCACAGGTGGTTGGTTTTTTTGTTTTTGTTTTTTGGGGTTTTTTTAGGTTTTAGAGACAAGGTCTTGCTTTGTCACCCAGACTGGAGTACAGTGGCACGATTGTAGTTCACTGCAGCCTCAACCTCCTGGGCTCAAGCAATCCTCCTGCCTCAGCCTCCCAAGTAGCTGGGACTATAAGCACACACTACCACGCCTGTCTCATTACTTTTTTTTTTTTTTTTTTTTTTTAAGAAATGGGGTCTCGCTAGGTTTCCCAGGCTGGTCTTGATCTCATGGGCTCAAGCGATTCTCCTACCTCAGCCTCCCAAAGTGCTGGGATTACAGGCCAGGCAGGTTGCTGTTATGAAATGGAGGGGGTCACAGTCACCTCTCAGAGTACTGCTGTGAGTGACCAGTGTATCAGGCTCATGCCTCAGCCCCTCTTACTACCTCCTGCACCCCTCACAGCGGCCTTGATTCCAGCCTCTTCCCTTTCTCTGGTCTTGCAAGGACTTCCTGAAGGTCCCCTGGACCCGCCCTGGCCCTCCCAGCTGTTTTGCCCACCCAGCTTTGACACACTCAAGGGAAACCCTGCTCAGGCACTTTCGCTTTTAGCTTTCAAGGCCCCCCCTGCCGGCCCCATCTCAGTGGCACCCCCACGCAACAACCTTCTCATTCTCTGGCAATCACTGCTGTCCTCAGCTGTGTCCCTCACTGGGCTGTGAACTTCTCAGGGCAGGGACCCTGTACACCTGGTGGCCCAGCACCTAGCTCAGGGCCAGCTGAGGGGAGGAATTTGACTTTGGACCTCAGATGAGCCCTTCATCCCCTTCATCCACTACCCCAGCTTCAGCCTCCCCTCCTCCTCCCAGAAGCCGCAGGTCCCCACAGCCAAGCCCGTGCCCTGGCTGCCCCCTCCCACTGGCCCCAGCCTCCGCTTGCTCCAATCTTCTCTCCTCAGATTCCCAGTTTGCAAGTCCCTCTTCCTCCATCCATCCTCTACCACATCCAGCAGCCCTGTCCCCTTCAGTCCCCCAGCACCCTTGACCTTGTAAGCACGCCCATGCCGAGACGCCATTCACGGGAGAACCCGGTCCGTTGAGAGGGACTCTGCAGCCTGACGCCTCCTCCAGGGAGACTGTCTTTCCTACAAGTTTGCGACTCCTCTCCCTGTCCCGGGAAGCCCCCCCAAGGGCCAATCACCCCCTCTGTGGCATCCCCACCCAGCCACCTTCTCACTCTCTTGCAATCACTGCTGTACTCAGCTGAGTTCCCATGGGGCTGTGAACTTCTCAGGGCAGGGGCCCTGTACACCCGGTGGCCCAGCACCCAGCTCGGGGCTGGCTGACGGTCAGCGCAGATCTGTGGGGCACCTGCCCTCCCGTGACAGTGCTCACAGCCAAGGAGGCGGGAGGGAACGTGAAGGGCAGCCATGGTTACCTCTGCAGTGGCGGCTTTCTCTCCTTCTTCCCCCTTCACGCCAGGTTCACCCTAAGAAGCAAGTCACACAGTCAACACTGGAACGGGAGGTGGGGGCACCTCTCCACCCTCTCCAGTTCCCTGGGGGCCTGCAGGGAGTCAGGGGCAGGCTGGGCAGGCAGGGCCTGGGAAACGGGTGCTGGGCCCAGGGGACTCCTGCCCTGGGCTGAGCACAGCAGGGGAGGCCACGGCTCCGGGGCACAGCCTGCTCAGCCTGGCATGGCAGGGAAGTGTCCAGGGTTGGCTGTAAGTGCTTCATTCTGCTTCTGGGGCAGAAGAGACTCAGGCTAGGAAGCCGGCAAGTTCATGCCTGGGCCCTTCCAGGATTGAGTAGCCTGCCTGGAAGGGCTGCTGTCTGTCTCCAACACAAGGCCAGTAATACCAGATTCAAAGTCACATATTTTATTGTATTTTATTTATTTATTTATTTGAGATGGAGTTTCACTCTTGTCACCCAGGCTGGGGTGCAGTGTTGTGATCTCGGCTCACTGCAATCTCTGCCTCCTGTGTTCAAGCGATTCTCCTGCCTCAGCCTCCTGAGTAGCTGAGATTACAGGCATGCGCCACCATGTCTGGCTAATTTTTGTATTTGTAGTAGAGACGGGGTTTCACCATGTTGGCCAGGCTCATCTCGAACTCCTGACTTCAGGTGATCTGCCTGCCTTGGCCTCCCAAAGTGCTGGGATTACAGGCGTGAGCCACCGCACCCAGCCAATTTTTTGAGACAGGGTCTTGCTCTGTTGCCCAGGCTGGAGTATAGTGACGCGATCATGGCTCACTGCAGCCTCTACCTCCTGGGTTCAAGTGATCCTCCAACCTCAGCCTCCTGAGTAACTAGGACTATGGGCACGCACCACCACAACCCAGCTAATTTTTTAATATTTTTATAGAGATGGGGGTGGGTCTCACTATGTTGTCCAGGGTGGCCTTGAACTCCTGGCCTCAAAATGATCCTCCTGCCTTGGCCTCCCAAAGCACTGGGGTTACAGGTATGAGCCACCACCATGCCCAGCTCACAGTAACATGTAAATGTCCAGCTACTACTGTGTGGCCTTGAGTGGGTCACTGTACTTCTTGGTGCCTCAGTTTTCCCAACTGTAAAATGGGATCAGTAATAGTATCTATCTCATCTGTTGTTAGGAGGATTAAGTTAATCAATAGGGACAATGAGCTTAGATTAGAGCCTGGCACCTAGAAGTGCCATCATTGTGTCTCCTGTGTTGTGTTTGGTCACTAGACAAGCACGGGAGGAGGCATGGCTTGGGAGCTTGACACTCCCTGGTTCAAATCCAGGCTCCACCACTGCCTCGCTGTGTGGCTTTGGGCAAGTTACTTAACCTCTCTGAGCCTTAGTGGCCAGTTTTGGCAAACGGGGATAATAAAGCATGGTCTCTTGGGGTCGCTGTGAAGCTTACATGCGCTGTGGGGGAAGAGAGCACCTCCACTGTGGCCAGCACATAGTAGGTGCTCAGCAAAGCTCCACTCCTCCTCCCCGCCCCACACCCCTACAGTGAGGCTTGGGCATCAAGGAAGCGCCTGACTCCTTGGCCCTAGAGGCAGGAGTCTATACTCATAATTTTTTTTTTTTTTTTGAGATGGAGTCTCACTCTGTCACCCAGGCTGCAGTGCAGTGGCGTGATCCTGGCTCGCTGCAACCTCTGCCTCCGGGTTCAAGCAATTCTTCTGTCTCAGCCTTCAGAGTGGCTGGGACTGCAGATGCGTACCACCACACTCAGCTAATTTTTGTATTTTTAGTAGAGACAGGGTTTCACCATGTTGGTCAGGCTGGGAGACTCATAAGTTCTTGTTTCCAAGAAAGTCGATTAAAGGAAGGCTGTCTAAGCCTATTTCTGGGAGGTTCAGAGAAAAGAAGGGACTTCCCAGGTCACACGGCATGTTAACCTATGGCCCCAGGCCACACAGCGCATGAATGAAAGGCCAGGGTCACACAGTGCATTAATCCAGGGCTGCAGGCACTCAGGACTGTCAGCGCACTCTCTGGAGGTCGCTTCCCTCCTCACCCCGCAGCAGGAGGCGATTTGAGTCCTTTCTCAGTCCCTCCCTGTTGCCTGAGCTCCAGCAGGGCCACCCAGGGCTGAACCCCCCCACCAACCCCCGCCACCCAGTGCCCTGGGCTTGCATCAGAGCCTCTGCCTGGGAGTGGCCCAGGCCCATCTGCACAGCCCACACTTACGGACGGCCCCACTGTGCCTCGCTCTCCAGCCAGGCCCTGCAGAAAACCAAAGGAAGCGTGTGAGGCCTGCCGGTCCTGGCCAAGTCTCCAGTGCCCTCTGGCCACCCCCCTCCCCGCCCACTGTGCTCTGAGTCTGCAGAAGAGGAAGGGAGAGGAGGATGGCCCGGCCGGCACGGGAAGGGCAGACTCAAAGGCCTCCAGTCCTGGAGCCACCTGGAGCTGCTATTGACTAGGGACCCCAGCTGAGCCCTCAGTCTTCTCACCTGCAAAATGGGCCAATGCCACGTACGGCTGTCAGGCAGAGAAGGGGAGCAGGTGGTCCGGTGTGTGGAGAGAACTAGTGATACTAACAGCGATGGCCAGGGTCCCACGTGTGCTGATGTCAGCCCAGACGGCTCCCGGGAGCCCCAGGCCCGTGTCCAGCTGTCCCCTGACATCGCCACCCAGCTGACCATGAGGTGCCCACTCCCCCTCTCTCCAAAGGGAACTCCTGGTGCCCCCCATCCCGAAGCCTCCCCTTCTCAGGAAATGCCTCCCTGGTCCTCCCAGCTGCTCCTGACAGACACCAGGGAGTGAAACTACAGCCTTCCCTGCCCTTCTCACCAGACTTATTCCATTGGCCAGACATGCCGAGTCTACTTTCTATTTTTACATATTTAATTAATTAATTAATTTTTTTTAATGAGACAGGGTCTTGCTCTGTCACCCAGGCTGGAGGGCAGTGGTGCCATGAGAGCTCACTGCAGCCTCCAACTCCTGGGCTCAAGCCATCCTCCCATCTCAGCCTCCCAAGTAGCTGGGACTACAGGCGCACGCCACCACACCAGGCTAATTTTTAAATTTTTTATAGAGATGGGGTCTTGCTATGTTGCCCAGGCTGGTCTCAAACTCCCGGGCTCAAGCGATCCTCCCACCTTAGCCTCCCAAAGTGCTGGGATTACAGGCGTCAGCCATCTCACCTGGCCCCTCAGAGGAGCTTTTTAAAGATGTAAATAAGATCATGGAATCACCCTCCCTGAAACTCAATAATTCCATCCACTGTAACAAAAGCCCACACCTGGGACCCGTAGATAAGGCCCTGCCCACTGTGCCTCATCCGACACCACACACTCCATTGCTCACTACCTGCCAGCCTTTTCCCTGCCTCAGGGCCTTTGTACCTGCTCTTCCTGACTTCTGACAGCTGCAGAGGCAGGGCGAACCTGGGGTTAGGGGCTGAGTCAGGCTTGGGGTGCCGCCTCCCCATGGGCAATTCTCAGGGCAAGGTGAGGGGCTGAGGCAGAGATTCTGTGACCTGGCCCAACTCTGCCTACACCCTCTGTACAACCTCAGGCAGCATCTGGTCTCTCTGGGACTCAGTTAGCTCATCTGTGAAATGCGAGTGATGCTAACACCTCCCTGGCATAACAGGAGGAGGATATACTCAGCAAAGAGTCACTGCTGCTAATAAAATTAAAATCTCGGCTGGGCGCAGTGGCTCACACCTGTAATCCCAGCACTTTGGGAGGCTGAGGCGGATGGATTACTTGAGGTCGGATGTTCGAGACCAGCCTGGGCAACATGGTGAAATCCCATCTCTTACTAAAAATACAAAAATTAGCTGGGCGTGGTGGCGTGCGCCTGTGGTCCCGGCTAATCCGGAGGCTGAGGCAGGAGAATCACTTGAATCCAGGAGGTGGAGGTTGCATGAGCTGAGATGGCGCCACTGCACTCCAGCCTGGGTGACAGAGAGAGACTCCATCTCAAAAATAAATTTAAAAATAAATAAAACAAAATAAAATAAAATCTCACCGGCCAGGCCGACTGGCTCCTTCCTGAGTGACTCTTGCTGGTAAAAAGGTGCTTCTTCTCCCCTAGGGAGACAAGGCCACCCGCCACCCGCCGCCTCCCACACCCTACCTAAAATGGCAAAGTCCTTACCTGGGATCCAGGTGTTCCTGGGGGTCCTGGGGGACCTCGAGGCCCAGGGGGACCTGTGGGCAGAGTCACAGATGGTCACCTGGGGCCAGAGAGGGGGCGCCCCCAGCCTCCCACCCCAGCACCTGTTCTTGATCTGTCTCCATGGGAAGTAAAGGAGGGTTTGGGAATGAATGGTGTGGGGAGGAGGGAGGCACACCCCCTCTCAACGAGGTCTCCATCCTCGGAGCCCAGGGTCCTCTCCACCGGCTGCCCACAGCTCCCACACCTCCTCCTCCCAGGGCCTCGTCCACGACGCAGCCCCAATCCCGAGACCCGGCAGGCAAGGGAGGAAGTCCGTCCAGACTGCTCCCACGCCCCAGCCAGTTGGTCCCCTGGTACGTCTCTCCGGTCTTTCCCGCCTCGGGACCTGGGACCCATCCCTCTTGCTGGGGTTACTATAACAGCCTCCTGATCATCGACCCTTCCTATGGCCCCCAAGAGTACACTCTCAAAAATCCAAGCCCAGTTACATCCCTTTCAGGGCTCCTGAAGTCCTCAGCCCGGCCCCTTCCCACCCTCCCTGCCCCAGCCAGACACCCTCCTGGCGTCTCTGCTAAAGCTGTCCTTCCTCCTGGAGCCTCCCTATTCCTCCACTCTCCCAGCAAACCCTTTCCTACTGGTTTTCCTACCAGTCTGACACAGAGCATCACCTCTTCCAGGAAGCCTTCCCAGCTTTCCACTGCTTCTCCAGGCAAATCCCTTATGTAAACCAGCCACCGCCCATGGCCACTGAGGTTTACACGTCTGTCTGCCCCATGGGATGTGGAGTACCCAGAGGGCCGGGCTGGGTCTCATGTGTGTGCCCAGCTCAGGGAGGGAGATTCATGACTAATCTCCAGCCTGCTAGGAAGAGTAAGGTCTTGGTCTCTCATGACCCCACACGGGCCCAGGGAGGGTCTCTCATGATCCCTCCCTGTGGTGCAGGGAGCCGCATGTTGGGCTGTCCAGCATGGCCTGGCTCCCAGGTTTGGAGAGGGCATGTGAGGACAGGCACTCCAGGGGACAAATGTCAGGAGTCTGTCCAGTTCTCCAGAGACCTGGCATGTCACCTGAAGGCCCCCAGGTACCCTCTGAGCTTACTCCCTCTCCTCCCTAGAGCATCTTCTGAAATGTCACGTTTTGACGGCGCCTCCCCGCCACGCCCCAGCTTCTCCCTTGTAGCTCCCTCAGATCCTGTCGAAGTCACAATTTATGATGATATTCCTGTCCTCCACCAGAATGAGAGTTTCTCGATGATGTTTGTTTTGATTATTCAGGAGTTCCGGGAACCTAGATCACTGTCTGGCACATGTAGTGGCAGATGTTCAATGAATGTTTGTGAGACGCACAGAGAAATGAATGAATGAATGAATAAACGAATGAATGAATGAACGAATGAATGAATGGACAAATGAATGAATGAATGAACGAATGAATGAATAAATGAATGAATAAAAGAATGAATGAATCAGTGAATAAACAAATGAATGAATGAATGAATGACTCCCTTCCCGGGCAGAAAGGGACAAGGCAGTCAGCCCTGCATTCTTCCCCCAATGAGGAATGTGGATGATGGAAGGTCAGGCCAGGACTGACAGCCAGGTCCCAGCCCCTTTGAACCCCTTGGTTTCTGCCTCAAAGGTAGGGACTTCCTGCCACCTCTGTCCTGACCCCATCCCCCACTGGTGTGTGTCCCACTCTGGCCCATGCAAGGGCAGCCTCATGCAGGCATCTTATTCCAGCAGAATCACGTGGGTTTCATGCATCCAGTCCCCCAGGGGCACTGCCACTAGGAAACGAGGGGCTTCATTTCCTGCCACACAGCGGGTGGGACAGACCCAGTCCCCAGCATTGCCCAGAAGCCATGGACCGCCAGCCGACCTCCAGCTCCCCTCAAGGCCCCATGGCTCAGGCCAGCCCTGGGGGGATGGAGTCCTCAATGCAGGCCAGCCCACCATTCACTTACCTGGTGGACCAGGGGGACCCCGGGGTCCTGGGACACCTGCCAGCACTGTGTCCACGATGGCAGAGGCCAGCCTTGAGTCTCCATCTGTGGGAAGAGCGGAGCGGCCAGGGGTCTGGTGGGGCAGACCTGGCAGTGCTGGGAGGCTGGTCCGGGGCACTGAGCCCTGAGCCAGGCCACACGAAGCCCAGGGGGGCTCCTCCCATCACCCTGGGGCCCGCTGCAGATACTGTTGCCCCCACTGCTCAGAGGAGCACGGAGAGGCCCAGACAAAGAGCAGGGAAAGCCAGGTCGGTCAGCTTCATATAAAACATAAATACCTTCTAGAACATTCCAGGCTCTTCAGACTCTGGGTCTGCCCTGCTCACTTCTCCAATGCCCCAGGCTGGCATCTTCTTCCAGGCTCCATCCCACAGGCCCATCCTGCTGCACCCAACTGGCTCACTCCTCCAGGAAGCCCTCCATGCCCACCCCTCTGAGCTGTGCCTGGGGAGTCTGATTACATCATGGCGACCACACTGCCTGGAGCAGGGGTGGAGTCTGTTTAACAACCCATCTCCCATGGCCCTCCAGGATGAGCCCCTCACCTGATTCACCCTGGCCAATCCTGAACCAGACCCAGGGCCCCAGGGCAATGCCATCACCTTCCTCATAAAACCCTTCCCCAGGCTGGGCACAGTGGCTCACACCTGTACTCCCAGCACTTTGGGAGGCTGAGGAGGGAGGATCACTTGAGGCCAGGAGTTCAAGACCAGCCTGCCCAACATAGTGAGACCACATCTCCAGACCAGCCTGGGCAACATTGTGAGACCCCATCTCCACTCAAAAAAAAAAAAAAAAATTAGTTAGATGTGGCGATACATGCCTAGGGTCCTAGCTACTCAGGAGGCTGAGGTGGGAGGATCCCTTGAGCCCAGGAGTGAGAGGCTGCAGGGAGCTATGATGGCGCCACTGCATTCCAGCCTGGGCAACAGACCCTATGTCAAAAAAAATTAAAGTAAAAATCTTCCCCAGTTGCCGGGACACTTAACCAGAAATGATGCTCCTCTCAGGGCTCACGGACTCCTCTGCCTGGCCTCCCACTACCTCATGGTCCCTTAGGCCCAGAGTCCTGGTCCCGTCCACTCTCTGCACCTCCTTGTCCCCACCTCCCAAGGTAGAAGTGGACATTTCTGTGTGTTCAGAGGCTCTCTTGGACTGGCCGGTGCCCCCGAGGGCCGGAGTTTGTTTTGCACATTGCTGTGTCCCCAGTGGCTAAAATCCTGTGCCTTGCACATAGTAGGTGCTCACTAAACACCTGCTGAATGACCTGCAGTGAGGGCGGGTGAGGAACAAGTACAATAAGGGATAACCTTGGTGGGGTGGGGTAGCCAGGTAGGGAATCTGGGCCAAGTCAGCCAGCAGAGTGAACTTTGGGGCTCACAACCCCAAAGGCAGGGAGCTGAGCACTGAGGCAGAGACAGGCCACTTTGGGGCCAAAAGCAGGGCTTGGGGCTAGCCCTGGGTCCACTTGAGGATGCTTAGCCCCAGGACCAAGCCTTGCTCCCAAGCTGTTCCCTGTCATCGTCACTGGCAGGCCCTGGACACTGCATGGAGGGCTTCCTGGAGGAGGCCTGCAGGAGTGAGCCAGTTGGGTGCAGCAGGATGGGCATGTGGTGGGGTCCACTTCCCAGGATCCTTTAAGGAAGGCTGATCCCTCCCAGAACACAGCGTAGCTCAGCCCTCCCTTGGCCCCCCAGGGGCATTACTCACTGTCTTTGTCTGTAGGCGGCTGCAGGGAGTAGAGGGCGCCCTGGGGGCTGTTTGGTGAGGGGCCTGGGTTGCCTGCTGGGCCGGGTGGTCCTGGGGGGCCGGGGCGCCCCATCTCTCCAGGAAGCCCACGGGGCCCTGGAGGCCCCAGGAGCCCTGCAATGAGGAAAAGAACAGTCACTGTGGCAGCCGGAGCCTGGCGGGTGGCTGCAACTTACAAATGGGGAAACTGAGGCCTTGAAAGAAACAGGGTTGGTCAGGGGCCCACAGGCAGTCAGTGGTGACCTCCGATCCACAGTCTTCCTTGGGGGTGTCCTGGGGTGTAAATGAAATGGGCTTCCCTTCCCAGCCCAGTCCAGAGGGGACACTTAGTGGCAGCTTGGGAGGGTGAGGGGGGCAGGGACGGTGAAATCAGCAAAGGCTCTGGCCAGAGGCCCATTGGTCCCTCCCAGGGACTTCAGCCCTGTGGCAGGAACACCAAGTATAAGCCACCATCCTGGGCTGGCCCTGTACCTGCTGAACCAGGGGTCCTTCCCCGGCAGGACCCAGGAGGAGTTGAGAGGGTGGTCTCTGGAGGTGTTTAAATGGCTGAGAACTGCTCCTGGCCCCTGACAGCCTCGATGCTCATGCCTGTACCCGAAGCCCCTGAAGACCCTGTTTTGGCCAGGTGTTGTGGCTCACCCCTGTAATCCCAGCACTTTGGGAGGCCAAGGCAGGCAGGTCACCTGAGGTCAGGAGTTCAAGACCAGCCTGGCCAACATGGTGAAACCCTGTCTCTACTAAAAATACAAAAATTAGCCAGGCATGGTGGCAGGCACCTGTAATCCTAGTTACTCAGTAGGCTGAGGCAGGACAGTTGCTTGAACCTGGGAGGTGGAGGTGTCAGTGAGCTGAGATTGTGCCACCGTGCTCCAGTCTGGGCGACACAGCACAAGACTCCATCTCAAAAAAAAAAAAAAAAAAAAGCCAGGTGAGGTGGTGGCTCACGCCTGTAATCCCAGCACTTTGGGAGGCCAAGGTGGGTGGATCATCTGAGGTCAGGAGTTCGAGACCAGCCTGACCAACATGGTGAAATCCTGTCTCTATTGAAAATACAAAATTAGCCAGGTGTGGTGGCGCATGCCTGTAATCCCAGCTACTCAGGAGGCTGAGGCAGGAGAATTGCTTGAACCCGGGAGGCAGAGGTGGCAATGAGCCGAGATGGCATCACTGCACTCCAGCCTGGACAACAGAGCGAGACTCCCTCTCAAAAAATTAAAAAAAAAAGACCCCGTTTTTCTGGTACCCAGCAAGATCAGGGCTGTGGGTGCGTGGGACACCTCGCCTGTTCCAGTAGAGAAGAAAGCCCAGCCCCTTCCGCAGGTTGACAACATCACATATGTGGGGGGTTTTCTTACCAGGCGGCCCCGCTGGACCCTTCTCTCCTGTCTGGCCTCGGTCACCTTTAGACCCGGGGGGGCCTGCAGGCCCTGGTGGTCCTGTCTGCCCCGGGGGCCCTGGGGAGAGAAGGAGACAGGGCATCAGAACATGGTGGACCCCCAGCCTCCAGTGGCTCCAGGCCTGGCCCCCTGGGCTGTCAGCCTACGTTCCCCCAGGAGCCCTGCCTACCTGGGACTCCCTAAACAGGCAAAGGCACTCACATCACCTTGGAGCTGGTTATTACAACTTACAAACCAGCTTTGCACTTACAAACATCTATGATTCTAAGAACTGCTTTCGTTCCCATTTTCAATGTGGGGAAACTGAGGCTCAGGAAGGTTGGTCCCTTGCCCAAGCTCACACAGCCAGGCTGCAGATGAAGTTGCTTAGCTCCAGGTCCCTCTCTCACACCCTGCTGTCTCTCTGCTTAGGGTCAAGAACCGGGCTTGTGGCAAAGTGCTCCCCAACAGGTGGCCTCCGAGGAGGCCCCAGGAGGTCCTGAAGGATGGATCTTCCCAGCTACAGATCTCTAAACCCCAAGGGTGGACAAGGAGATGGAGAGGTAAGGCTTGCTGTGTGGCCAGGGGACAGCCTTTTCTCCCTCTGGCCCAGAGAGGATGCTGAAAAATGTTTGCTCAGCACCTTAGGAGGCTGAGGCAGGAAGATCACTTGAGCCCAGGAGTTTGAGACCAGCCTGGGCCACATAGTGAGACCCCATCTCTACAAAAGATACAAAAGTTAACCGGGCATAGTGGTGCACGCCTGTGGCCCCAGCTACTGGGGACGTTGAGGTGGGAGGATGGCTTGAGCCCAGGAGGTCTGGGCTGCAGTGAGCTATAATCACACCACTGCATTCCAGCTTGGCTTACAGAGCGAGACCGTCTCAGAAAAAAAAAAAAAGTTTGCTGATCTGATGAAGGGACCTGCACTGAGTCTTAGGGCCCTTTGCACTCTGCCTGCATGGGACTGTGGTATGGTGGGGAGGGCCTGGCTGGGGGCTGCTGGCCTCGGAAGAGCCCCACCTGCGCTCTGGAATCCAGGTTGGCTGCAGGTGTCACCATGTGTAGAGTGTGTGCCCCACCTGGTGGCCATTCTTGAAACTGCATTTTCCCCTGGTTGGAAAGGTCTTGCCAGGCATGCGCTTTCGTGGGCCTGGGTCCCCGGTGGGATGGGAAGCCCCTCCTCCTCCATCCCCCAAGAAAGATCTGAAGAATGTGGGCATGAGGTAACGCTCTGGGGGTGAGACCTTAGGGACAGCGGCTCGAGGGGTAGGCCGGGGGCCAGAGTGAGAGAGGTCCCCCTTCCCGTAGGAGACCTGAGCTCGGCCCTCCTCCCGCAGCCTTCAGTCCCTTTCCAAGAATGCAGGATACCCTACTCTCCTTCCCCGGCCCTGGGACTGGCCACTGGAGGCCACCTGTGTCATGCATCTCTCCTCCCTGCTCTGCCCCTGCTCCCCAACCCAGCATCAGAATAGACACTCAGAACAGAGGGCAGAGGGAGAGCGCCCCCTCCAAAGGGCTCTAAGGGCAGAGAATCATGGAGGCAAAATGCCCCCAGCTTGCTGGCTTGCTGGGTGACCCCAGGGGTGTCACTTAACTTCTCTGAGCCTCAGGTGTCTCCCCTGTAACCTCAAGGCTTCCAAGCTTTGTGTGAAGATTAAGAGTGATATCTGTAGGCTGGGTGCGCTAGCTCACACCTGTAATTCCACACTTTGGAGGCCGAGGCGGGTGGATCACTTGAGGTCAGGAGTTTGAGGCCAGCCTGGCCGACATGGTGAAACCCCGTCTCTACTAAAAATACAAAAATTAGGCTGCGTGTGCTGGCTCACACCTGTAATCCCAGCACTTTGGGAGGCCAAGGAGGGCAGATCATTTGAGGTCAGGAGTTCAAGACCAGCCTGGCCAACATGACAAAACCCCTTCTGTATTAAAAATGCAAAAAGTAGCGGGGCTTGGTGGTGCGTGCCTGTAATCCCAGTTATTAGGGAGGCTGAGGCAGGGGAATCCCTTGAGCCCAGGAGGCAGAGGTTGCAGTGAGCCGAGATCACGACACTGCACTCCAGCCTGAGTGATAGAGTGAGACTCCATGTCAAAAAAAAAAATTATATCTGTATTTGAAATATTTTCATATCTGATATGAAAATATTTAATAACTGGCACAGTGCAGATCCTGACCACTCATGGTAGACCTCAGCCTTCAACCCCTGGATTCAGCCTTATAGACAGGTGTTGTTTGCTAAATGTCCTCCAGGATAAAGCCCCACCTCAGTGTCTGGCAACCAGGAGGGCTTCATCGATTGCAACTATGATTATTACAATTGTGATTAAAGCAAAGGTAATTACAGCCCCAGGTGGCAGAGCCCAGACCAGTAGGTAGAATCTGCAGAGGGAAAATTCTTCCCCTTAACTTTAAAATGTGGCCAGGGCCAAGCATGGTGGCTCACACCTGTAAATCCCAGCACTTTGGGAAGCCGAGGCATGAGGATTGCTTAAGGCCAGGAGTTTGAGACCAGCCTGGCAACGCAGTGAGACCTCGTCTCTACTAAAAATTAAAAAAAAAAAAAAAAGCCAAGTGTGGTGGTGTGCACTCGTAGTCCCAACTACTTGGGAGGCTGAGGCAGGAGGATCACCTGAGCCTCGGAGATGAAGGCTGCAGTGAACTATGATCATACTACTGTGCTCCAGCCTCAGTGACAGAGCAATACATTGTCTCAAAATAAAATAATAAAATAAAATAAAATTGTAAAAGTGTGGCAGGAAGGCAGGGGGGCAGATGTCCTCCAATTCCAGCCAGAGAGTTCAGAGAGCAAACCCCAGAAAGAGGTGGGAAGCAGTAAGTTCCTGCTCCCTGGCCAGGCAGAATGCTGCAAAATTGAACCCAGCAAGGCTGGGCTGGGGGCCATAAGTGCAGAAGCCAAGGAGCAGGGCAGATACTGAAGACAGTAGCTGAGCTGTAAGACAATAGGGAATGGTGGGGACTGCGGCAAACTGCACAGCCTGGACTGGACCTACAGTGGCAACCCAGTAGCTGGTTGTTTCCATGAGGGACTGCCAGCCCTGATGGCCAATTTTCTCATTTTTATTTTTATAATTTTTTGTAGAGACAGGGTCTCACTATGTTGCCCAGGCTGGTCTTGAGCTCCTGGCTTCATGCAATCCTCCCACCTCAGCCTTCCAAAGTGCTGGGATTATAGGTGTGAGCCACTGCACCTGCCCAAGATCATCTATTTTTTTGAGACAGGGTTTCACCCCGTCTTCCAGGCTGGATTGCAGTGGCATGATCTTGGCTCACTACAGCCTCCACCTCCCCAGCTCAAGCAATTCTCATGCCTCAGCCTTAGGAGTAGCTGGGATTAATCATGCTGGGCTAATTTTTGTATTTTCAGTAGAAATGGGGGTTTTACCATGTTGCCCAGGTTGGTCTCGAACTCCTGACCTCAAATGATCCACCTGCCTTGACCTTCCAAAGTGCTAGGATTACAAGCATGAGTGAGCCACTATGCTCGGCCAGATGGTCTACTTTTTTTTTTTTTTTTTTAGACGGAATTTTGCTCTTGTCCCCCAGGCTGGAGTGCAGTGGCGTGATCTCGGCTCACTGCAACCTCCGCCTTCCGGGTTCAAGCGATTCTCCTGCCTCAGCCTCCTGAGTAGCTGGGATTACAGGCACCTGCCTCCACGCCTGGCTAATTTTTGTATTTTTAGTAGAGACAGGGTTTCACCATGTTGGCCAGGCTGGTCTCGAACTCCTGACCTCAAATGATCCACCCTTCTCGGCCTCCCAAAGTGTTGGGATTACAGGCATGAGCCACTGCACCTGACCAGATCGTCTACTTCTTAAGAGAAACTAGAAATCCTGGCTTTTAGGTGAAATACCCATTTTCAACTGTTAGCTTAATTTTTCAAAATGCCACATGGCATGTTGGAACTAGAGTGTCTAGTGTGTGGCCTCTCTAGGGAGGCCCTGGGAGGCCATGCCCAAGGTCCCTTCGGCTGCCCCAGCCTGTCCTCTCTGCAGCCCTCACTCACCGGCTGGGCCCGTGGGCCTTCTCTGTCGTGGCACAGGGTGAGCAAGAGGGATGGCGTCGGGGAGGAAGTCCTCATTCCAGGTCGGCGGAGTGCTCTCGGGGGCTGGCAGGTCGTTGTCCGGGCTGGAGGGCCGTTCTGCTGCTTCTAGCAGGAGGACCTGGGCCAAAGGAGATAGAGAGTCAGGTCCCAGTTGGGCCTGACACATAGGGACATGCGTGACACACAGGGACATGCATGTGCACCCCATGAGACCTGCAGCTGTCCACGCTGTGTGTGCCCCGTCACGCTCCTTAGTGGGAGAACCTCACTCGTGGCCCAGGTTCCCTCCATCCCAGCCCTCTCCTCCTTCTGACATCAGGAAAGTCTTTCTGGACCCTCAGGTTCAAGGAGTGCCCTTCAGACACCGTCAAAGTCCCTGTGCTGGCTGGGAGTGGTGGCTCATGCCTGTAATCCCAGCACTTTAAGAGGCTGAGGCTGGAGGATCACTTGAGGCCAGGAGTTTGAGACCAGCCTGGGCAACACAGTGAGACCCCCATCTCTACAAAAAATAAAGAAAATTAGCCAGGCGTGGTGGCACACGCCTGCAGTCCCAGTTACTCAGGAGGCTGAGCCCAGGAGTTCAAGGCTACAGTGAGTTATGATTGTGCCACTGCGCTCCAGCCTGGGTGACAGATCGAGACCACATCTACAAAAAGAGAGAGAGAGAAAAAAAAAGCACACACACATACGCACACACACACACACACACACACACATACACACACACACACAGACAGAAAAGGAAGGGAAGAAAGGGAGGGAGGAGAGTGAAAGGGTGGGTATAAATAGGCCCCTTGTGGCACATGACCTTTAGAAGACTTTCCAGAAAAACAAAAGTGGCCACGATTGCTTGGGACCAGCCTGCAATGCGGCCCCATCTGTCCCTCCTTGAGGGAGGCAGGAGTCAAAGGTGGCTGAGACCCAGATCCCGGGACCGGGAGACTTTCTCCTTCCTTTAAACAACTTGAGAGCCAGGACTCAGAGGCCCCGTGAGTCTCTGCTGCCCCCGAAGAGGCCAGCAGGGGGCGCTGTGTGCCAGAAATAGGCTCAGGGTGGGTGGAGATCCCTGCTGGGAACTTGGGTGGGTCCTGGGGCCGAGGGGCGTGAAGGACCTGCTGGGCTGAGCTGAGAGTCCATGGTGCACAGGCAGATGGTCTGCCTGAGTAGCTCCCTCACCAGTTCTGCAGTGCCCCTGGGCCTGGGGGACAGTCCTGGGATCCCTGGGGACAAAGTGGCCTGCTCTGGGCTCCTCCCCAGCAGGGGTGTCTCCAGGGTGCACTTAGCGGCTGCTCAGGGCTCTGACCCTGCACCCAGGGTTCTGGCTGGGCCCCCTGGGCTCAGGCCCTGCTGTGGGCTGCAGAACGGGCTCCCCCTCCACCCCTCTATGGGACACAGTCCTCCGATGGCCTGGATGCCTGGCCCAGGGCCCCTTAACCCCCCAGAGCCAATTCTTTCAGCCCCTCCCCTTTCTGGTCCTTAGAAGGGTCCATGAAACTGGGAGGGTCACTGCGGCGACATCACAAATGAGGTGGAGACAGAGGCTCAGAGACTGCAAGTGACTTGCCTGAGATCACCCAGCAAATGGGCGGTGAGGCCGGGGCCCCTAGTGGTGCCTCATCCACCAAACCACAGTTTATCCTCCCAACAGTTCTGTCTCAACCCCGGCTGAGCTTCGTGGAGGCACAGAGAGCGGGGACAGCTGGCTCAGATCACACGGCAGTGAAGGGTGGACCCCGTTCTCCTGAATCTCCAGGAGGAGAGAAGGGTTCCGATTCCTGCCCCAGCCACTGGCACCCCTGAAGAAGCTGACGGGCCACAGCCAAGTTTAGGGGCTCTGGAGAGGAGCAAGAAGACGGTGGCTGTCAGGTCACGTGATGGAAGGGGCCTGGGATGGCCAGCGCAGGGGATTTGGAGGAGCGTCAGGCCCTGGTGCTCCTGGGGCTGGGGGCAGGAGGTGGGGTGAAGGTTGGAGTGTGTCTCCCCTTTCAGGCCTGGCTGCTGGGAATAGTAGAAATGCCCCCAGTCGAACAAGGGCACGGGAGAGGGGCAGGCTTGGGAGTGAAGGTGATAAGTTGGCGGGGGTGGGTTGCAGTATCCCAAGGGGAACTCAGATGGCCATATTTAACAGGGGGTGGTCCCAAGGGCTGGGAAGTGGAGGTAGAGGACCATGAGAGGAGGCAGGGATGGTGTGGGGAGGCTAGGGTGGAGGAGGAGGGAGCAGGGTGAAGCCTGGAGAGATCTGGGGAGGGGTCCCGCCTTGGCCTCCTACAGGCAACCTCTAGTGTTCCCCATTCTGGGCAAAGCTCTGGCTTCCCCCGAAGTGACCTGCCAGCCAGTACAAAAGGCCTAGCTCTCTCCTTCATGGGGCACCTCCCACTGGGACACCCCTGCCCACAGAGCCTGCAGACCTGGGCAGAGGAGCCCTGGTTGGAATCTGCCCCTGCCAGCGTCTCAGCCCTCCTGGCCTGGCTGTGTCTGACCTGGAGAAACTGATCCCATTTCTGTCCAGGCATGAGCTCACCCGGGTGGGCAGCCATGGGCGTGGGGCCAAGAAAACCAGGCCACGGCCTTCGGGGGCAGTGGCCCTGATGATGTCATTGTGGCCTGGCAGACTAGCCGGGACACTGCCCTCTGCACCAGAGACTGCTGGGACTCTGAGGCTTCTGTGACTCTTGTGTACTGTTTGTGGTCCATGAGGTCAGAGAGTAAAGCCCGGGGCAGGAGAGGGGAGGGCAAGCAGGAATCTTCCCCGGTACCCTGCTGGCCTTCTGCCTGCCAGCCTGTCCCAGGAATAGAGGGTGGCAGAAATCCTGGACCAGCTTCTAGGTCTGCACCAGTGGGAGAGCAGATGGAGCAGACTCTGTGGGTTGCCTGGCCCCCAATGCCCCTTCTTCTCTTGCCCCAGAACTCCCTCTTGTGACTCTGTACATGTGACCCAGGAAAGGAATCAGGACCAGCCTGAGCCAGGCAGAGCCATCCCTTTCTGTTTGGCCAGGTACTCAGTTTCCCAGCTCCCTTGCAACCAGGAGGTGGTCACATTGCCCCAGCACAGGCTCATGAAACGTAAGGAGTCTGTTTGGGTGCTTCACCTCACCCTCCACTTCCTGCCTTTACATACAAGGTGAGGATGTGATGCCTGGAGCTGCAGCAGCCACTTTATAATCATGAGGCATCAACCAGCTCACTAAGAAGTCAGCGAAGAGCCTGGCTTCTTTGGACACCAAACCAATCCCGAGACCACCTCTGCTCCTGGACTTCTTGTGGAATAAACAATAAATGTCCTTATGGAATAAGCTACCATTGGCCAGGTTTCTCTCATTTGCCTCCTTCCCGACATACCAAAGCAGACTTCTTGTCTAAGGGAGCAGAAGCCCCAGTGTCCAGGCTCTGGGTTGCTGCTGTTTTATGCAAGCCATCTGATTTCTGCTTCCCTGTCTGGGATCTGCCTGCCTGGCTCCTGTCCTGGCTCTGCCTTCACCCTGCTAGGATCCCAGCCTCTGCCCTGGCTGACCCCTAGCCTCTGATCTAAGCTGAAAACCCAGCTCCGTGTCCTGGCTCCTGCAGACTCGCCTGACCTCGGCATGGCCTCTGGTGCCGCTGGGCTGTCTTGGCAACTAGCCCAGCTGGTGTTCCCTTCCCCTCTCCAGGCCGCTGCCTCTCAGGGCCCTCTGATCTGGGCCATCAAAGCTGCCAGTGGGGCCAGGCACAGTGGCTCATGCCTGTAGTCCCAACACTGGGAGGCCAAGGCGAGCAGATCACTTGAGGTCAGGAGTTTGAGACCAGCCTGGCCAACATAGGGAAACCCCGTCTCTACTAAAAATACAAAAATTAGCCGGATGTGGTGGATCACACCTGTAATCCCAACTACTCAGGAGGCTGAGGCGGGAGAATCACTTGAACCTGTCCCAGGAGGCAGAGGTTGCAGTGAGCTGAGATCACGCCACCACACTGAGATAGCACGAGACCTTGTCTAAAAAAACCTCCTAGAGGCCCTCTCAACATACGTGGGCATGGAGTGGGCAGGTGGGCGGCCAGAAGGTGCTCCAGACAAGACGGGGGAGCTAAGATAGGAGTCTCCCAGCCCCTACTTAGAAATGCAGACAACTGTCAAAAGGACGGGGGCTGCAGAGCTACCCCATCTCTGCACACTCCAGGCCCAAGCTACCAACCCCAGCTCCCCACTCGAGAGCTGCCTGAGCTTCCCCACTCTGGACCAGCCTCAAAACGAAGTGACTCCAATTTCCATTTTCCAGGCCATCCGACTGAGATCCAGAGGGAAGGGCTGGCCAAGATGGAGTGGAGGAAGGGTGGGAATCTTGGCCTGGGCTCCTCCCACGCACTGCTGTCCCTCCCTCCAGCCCTCGAGGCACACAGAGAGGACACAGTCCTCTCACTCAGGGTCACAGGACAAAGCTCTGCCCCGGGCCTGCTGCTGGAGGCCATGGAGCTGGGGCCCTTGGTGGAGAGGGTGTCAGGGCCGGGAAGACCACAGGGAGGAATTGCTCATGATGGGAGGATGTGGGCCAGGTGGGTGGGGGACAGCTGGCAATGTGGCCATCCTACCCTAGAGCTGCGACTTTTAACACCCACAATACTGGGCTGAGGCCAGGGCTGCTGCTCTGTGCCAAACCACACAGAGGCTTCCGGTACTAGGAAAATGTCCATCAGGCTGGGCATGGCTCGGGGACCCTGCCTTTTCTAAAATCTCAGGTGCCAGAAGCTTACCGGCTCAACATCTTCCCCTATACTCATTCTAGGGGGTCCTGGCCCCGGCTCAGCCCATGTGGAAACATTTGCTCCCTGGAGCCCTCCAATCCTGCCCCACAAGAGCTAAGACTCCAAGGAGAGCAGCTGGGTCTCTCCCATCCCAGGCCTGTGCCCAGGGGCCTGGGCTGCTGGGAGACCCTGCCCGCCCATGGAAGGGCTGGAGGACAAGGGAAGCCGCGAATGCATGCCGTGGGGCTCCCCGTCATTGCTCTGCACAGATGTCTCCCGCACACCTGTGTTCATATCTGTAAGGCGGGAACAGTGACGTGGCTGGCGTGGGTGACAGCACTAATCCTTGACTCCTGGTCAGCATTAGACCATTTCCAAAGCCGGTTCCCACTGCCATCTCCCTGGAGGCTCTCAACAGCCCTGCAGGGCTGATGCTCTGATCCATTCTACAGATGAGGAAGGGGGCTCTGAGAGAGTCACCCAGCTGGCGGGTGGTGGTCCCACAAATGTCTGACTCCAAGCCACACTCACCTGCAACCCCCAGGGCGGAAGTCAGGGCCAAGGGTAATGTGGAGTTGTCAAGGGCTGTGTGTGTTAATGTGTGCACAGTTGTGTCATGTGTGTGTGTGTGTGTGTGTGTATATGTATGTGTGCCCATTGACATGCATGCTTGTGTGTGTGTGTATGTATGCCTGAGTATCCGTGCATGTGACCATGGGTATTACATATGTGTGTCCCTGTTTTTGTGTGTGTGCATGTGTCTGTGTGCACATGTGCAAATGTGTGTGTCTGTATGTGTATATATGTATGTGTGTCTCCACATGCACACAGATGTGTGTGCACAGGTGCCTATGTGTGCATGTGTGTGCACATGTATTATGTGGGTATGCATGCGTGTGTATGTGTGCTCTTCTGGGTGGAGGCATGGCTGACCCTGGCCCTGCTCTCTTCTAGGGGTTCTTGCTGCCTGGGGCTCCAGCCCCACCGTCTCAGGTCCCTGGTCCTCCCTGCCACGTGGCCCTGTTCACACACTCTCTCTGGACAATGCCACGTGCTCTGGTCACCACAGTTCTTCCCCGGAGAGAGCTCTGCCTCAGGCTCAGGTGATTCCAGCCTCCTGGTGCTGGCTCTCCCCTGGGGGGCCAGGCAGTGCAGCCAACCCTGCTGTCCCAAGAGGCTTTGTAGATATTTGGAGGCTGCCTCATCCCTCCAGACCTGTCCTCCCTCAGGTCGAGCCCCTCTGGCTAAACACCAGAGCCTGCTTACCAAGCCCTCTGGGTGAGAACGGGGCTTGTCCCCATCGGGGCAGACACTGTTGGCGCCCCACACGCACCCTTCAGCCCCACCTGGCTTTGGCTTTTGCCTGTGGCCACCTGCAACTCTGCCAAGGGCTTTCTCCAGCCACAGGAGCTGGCATGAGCCTGCTGAGACAGAGGTACCCTCGGGTAAGTGTTACCCAGTGAGGAGCAGGAGAGATGCCTGGCTTCATCGCCCTAAGGTGGCTGCCCCTGAAACGTTCTCAAAACCACCGTCTCCCAGAGGGAGCGTGGGATGGAGCCCCAGGTGCTCCCACAGGTCACCTGCCCATGAACACACCTGTACTGGGCATACCCTTCTTGGCCTCTCTCCCTGCCCAGTGCTGCCTGGGGTCACTGCCAGGTAAATTACTTGTCCTTTGTGGATTCCTTCTGCCTCTGGGTTGACTCCACTTAGGGAGTCCTGTTCTTATAGACTGGGCCAAAAGCTGGTCACTTCCCAGCAGTTCCTCCTCCACGGAGTCTTTTCCCATCGGTTCCTCTGTGCCCAGCCCCATTCTGGAGGTGGGAACAGTGGCCCTGGAGGGACAGAGACTCCCTCCTCTTTCCACTGTCTTCTGGGTGTCCAGCCTCCCAGCCCCCGGGTCCTGGGAGCTCAGCACCATTCTGACCTGCCCAAAACCAGCCTGCTGCCCGGGACCTCCCAGCCCAAGAAGGCCACCCAGAGCCACCAAGGCCTGAACAGTACCCAGTACCTGGGACCGGCTGTCCAAGCCTGCTTGGAAACCCGGGGCTGGGAATTCCACGGCCACACCCAGTGGTTGCCTGATGCCTCCCTCCACCACCCAAGGTCCCCAGGCAGCTCCCCAGGCCCAGACTCCCCAGCCCGACTGACCTTGGCCTCCAGTGTGGTCAGTCGCTCACTCATGTCACTGAGCCGGGTGCAGTTCATGCATTCTGAAAGAGAAGAGGAACTTATATGAGAGCAGAGTGTAGACCCTAGGAAGACAGCAGCCCAGTCACCAGGATAGCCTCTGGGCAGGCAGGCAAGCAGAGAAATCTCCAGTCATTTTGCCTGGAAAACTCCTATTCATCCTTCAAAGCCTTACCCTCAGAGCCCCCTCCTCCATGCAGCCTGCTGGACCACTGAGCCTCCCTTCTGAGCACGCGCAGTACACTATACTGTCTGTTTATTCAGACAAGGTGATGCCATGAGCTGGTGAGCACAATGAAGGCAGGGGTCTTTTTCTATTGTGTTCACCCATGAATCTCAGTGACTGGCACAAAGCAGAGACTCAAAAAATATCTGACAATTGATGAACAGATAGTGAGGTGGGCCCCTGACTTTGAGAACCAGAGTCTGGGGAAGGAGTTGGGCTAATAGACACAGGGTAGGAAGGGGATGCCAAAGCCAGTCCAATCAGGGGGACAATCAAGGAGGACGTCCTGGAGGCAGTGGCATCAAAGATGAGACCTGAGAAATGCACAATAGCTGGCCAGGTTCAGCAGAGAGAAGAGCAAATGCATTCTAAAAGAAAAAGGAATGCATTCTGAAAGAGTACATTTTCTGAGGCTGGGAGGGGAGTGAGAACAGGGCAGGTTGGCCAACTCAGAACACACTTGAGGACTGCCAAGGCTGGAAAGGTCAAGGATCTCTAACACCAGGGGCCTGGGAAGGGCTGTGGCAGTGTCTGTAGGTCACTGGAGGGTCTTAGGCGGGTGAAATTCGAGGTCAAGTTTGCATTTGTAGATGCTCACTCTGGCAGCAGAGTGTGCAGTGGATGGAAGTGGGAGGGACTGGAGCCCGGAAGGCCAATTAGGAGCCTTGTGATGCTGACCCCGCCCAAGAGCACATCTCTCTGGGCTGTAATTACCTTTTTATGTCTGTCTCCCCCGAGGCCCGAGACCTGGAGCTCTTTAATGATGAAATAGATGGTTCAAAGCTGTTCTAAAGAGCTTTTATTGCTCTAGAAGTCAGGGGATGCCTAAAGTCTCTTTCTTCAGCTCATTTCAAAGCCTGACCCTGCACATCCCCATCACTGTTAAACAGATGCCTAAGAGGTATTTGGGTAACTGAATAGCTCCCACTCTGCGTGCTGGGGCTGACCACGATCCTGCTTGGGAGAGGTGAGAACTGCAGCCCACACGCACAGTCCACGGCCCCCCGACACTGTCAGCCTCCCCCTTGTTCTTGGAGCTATCCCCGTCTTTGTCATCGAACGCAAATCACCTTGAAATGTTCCCTGTCCTTAAAAAAAAAAACAAAAAACAAAGGGCGATTCCTCTGCAATAGATGTTTGGGGAGAAACCACGGGGAGTTGGGGGGAGTCTCAGGACCCTGGGAATAGGTGGTCGAGGCTGTACCCTCAGGGTGCTCAGTCTCGGGTCAAGAGGGGGCAACACCCTACTCGCTGCTCCTCAGTGACATGTGGCCTAGCAGAGGGCCCCTCTCCCTCCTTCCCTCCCTTCTACCCCTGGCTGGCCCAAATCAGTGATTTATAAGCATTTGTTAAGGAATAGAACTCTTTCTCCTCCATAAAACCTTGTCAGTACCTCTGATGCATAAAACAGATTGAAGACTGAGGTATAAACACTGAACATTCAAACAACTAGAGGAATATATACAGTTTTCTGACTCTGGGACCAGGCAGGACTTCACCAAAGACACATGATACAGGGATGTGGTTTTCTAGTTAAACATGGTGGATTGAACACAGGTTCCCTTCTGTTTCCTCTCAGGAAAGGGCTGATAAAGAAATAAAAAGGTAGGCCGGGTGTGGTGGCTCACGCCTATAATCCCAGCACTTTGGGAGGCCAAGGCGGGAGGATCATGAGGTCAGGAGATCGAGACAATCCTGGCTAACATGGTGAAACCCCGTCTCTACTAAAAAATACAAAAAATTAGCCAGGCATGGTGGCGGGCGCCTGTAGTCTCAGCTACTCGGGAGGCTGAGGCAGGAGACTGGCATGAAGCCAGGAGGCAGAGCTTGCAGTGAGCCGAGATCGCACCACTGCACTCCAGCCTGGGTGACAGAGTGAGACTTCTTCTCAAAACAAAAAAACAAAAAAACAAAAAACAAAAAAAAACAAGAAATAAAAAAGGTATAAAATCCACAAAGCAAAGGGAAAGGCGGAGGGACCTCTTGGCAGATGAACAATGCAAATACTATTTTGCAAGGTGCATGCAGCCAGGTGCACCAGCCAGCCTTGCAAACCCAAGGCGGGGATGGAGACTGGGAGCCACTGGCTCTCCTGGGGCTCAAAATGCCCCAGATGGGGCAGAGGAGGGAGTCCTCCCTGGAAACAGGGGCCTGCCAAAGAGGAAAGACCCACCGACGCTGACATTTGGGAACATCCCTGATGAAACGGTGGAGTCCCTGAAAGGCCAGCCTCCAGGAAGTCCCCAGTCAACAAGGCCCTGGCGTCCAGGGGGCTTTCAGTGCCTGCTTTTTTTTTTTTTTTTTTTTTTTTTAAAGACAGAGTCTCACTCTTGTCACCCAGGCTGGAGTACAGTGATGCAATCTTGCTCACTGCAACCTCCGCCTCAAGTTCAAGTGATTCTCCTGCCTCAGCCTCCCGGGTAGCTAGGATTACAGGCACGCATCACCACGCCCGGCTAGTTGTGTATTTTTAGTAGAGACGGGGTTTTACCATGTTGCCCAGGCTGGTCTCGAACTTCTGACCTCAAGGGATCCGCCCACCTCAGCCTCCCAAAGTGCTGGGATTACAAGTGAGAGCCACCACGCCCAGCCTAGTGCCTTCCTCTTAAACTTACACAACCAATGATTCCTGTGCGGCTGAAAGAAGTCCTTAATGGGAAAGGCAGAGATCAAAATGAACAGGGTTCCATTTGTTCACCTATTCACTCACCCACCCAGCTACCCATCCTACACCTTAAGCTACCCCAGCCCTAAACACCCCCATCTACCCACCTATACATTCACCCTGCTCCCCATCTGTCCACCTCCTCTCCTCTACCTCTAATCATCCCTCATCCACCCGAAGGCTCTGTGGATGTTCCTGCGACTGGATGACACTGTGCCAACACTCTAATACTGGTGGGGAGAGGGTCAGGGCTGCACAGACCCGAATGCCTGCCTTCAGGGGTTGTCTACTTGAAAGCAGAGATGCATGACCCCTCTCTAGTAGCTGTGTTCTGTGGGTTGACCAGGATCACTTGGAAAAAGCAAGATGGAACCTAAGCGTCCACCAATGGTGGATTGGATAAAGAAAATGAGGTGCATATACACTGTAGAATATTACACAGCCATGAAAAAGAATAAAATCATGTCCTTTGCAGCAACATGGACGCAGCTGGAGGTTGTCATTCTGAGCGAACAAACTCAGAAGCAGAAGATCAAATATTGCATGTTCTCACCTATAAGTAGGAGCTGAACAAGGGGTATATATGGACATAAAGATGGGGTATGAGGATTGAAAAATAATCTCTCTGGTACAGTGTTCAACATTTGGGTGATGAGGCCGGGCATGGTGGCTCACGCCTGTAATCTCAGCACTTTGGGAGGCCGAGGTGAGAGGATCAGGAGTTCGAGACCAGCCTGGCCAACATGGTGAAACCCTGTCTCTACTAAAAATACAAATATTAGCCAGGTGTGGTGGCAGATGCCTAAAATCCCAGCTACTAGGGAGGCTGAGGCACGAGGATCGCTTGAACCCGGGAGGCAGAGGCTGCAGTGAGCCAAGATCAAGCCATCGCACTCCAGCCTGGCCAAGAGAGCAAAACTCCGTTTCAAAAACAAAAAACAAAAAATATTTGGGTGATGGGTGCACTACAAGCCCAATCCCTACTATTATGCATGTAACAAACAAGCACATATAACCCCCTGAATCTAACATAAAATAATTTTCTTTTGACACAGAATCTTGCTCTGTTGCCTGGGCTGAAGTGCAGTGGTACAATCTTGGCTCACTGTAACCTTTGCCACCGGGGTTCAAGTGATTCTCCTGCCTCAGCCTCCCAAGTAGCTGGGACTACAGTCACGTGCCACCGTGCCTGGCTAATTTTTGTATTTTTAGTAGAGATAGGGTTTCGCTGTGTTGGCCAGGCTGGTCTCGAACTCCTGACCTCAAGTGATCCACCCGGCTTGGCCTCCCAAAGAGCTGAGATGACAGGCGTGAGCCACAGCACCTAGCCTTAAAATAAAATAACATATTTAAAAAAGAAAAGAAGGATGGGTGTGGTGGCTCATGGCTGGAATCCCTGTACTTTGGGAGGTTGAGGTGGGTGGATCGCTTGAGCCCGGGAGTTTGAGATCAGCCTGGTGAACACAGTGAGACCCTGTCTGTACAAAAAGATACAAAAGTTAGCCAGGCATGGTGGTGCGTGCCAGTAGTCTCAGCTACTTTGGAGGCTGAGGCAGGAGGATCACCTGAGTCCAGAAGGTTGAGGCTGCAGTGAGCCATGTTGGCGCCACTGCACTACAGTTTGGGCAACAGAGCCAGACCCTGTCAGAGAGGGGAGGGGAAGGGAGAGGACAGGAGGGGAGAGGAGGGGAGGAGAGGGAAGGGGAGGGAAGGGAAAAGCAACTCTCCAGCTCGAGCCACACAGGAAGACACCACCCCACCCTTGGGGCCTGAGGGAAGAGGAGGAGGAGGTGGACATGGGGAAGTTACAAATGACAGCCCTGGCCTGTCCAGGAACTCTGGGCAAACTGCACAATCTGGAGGCTTTTAGGGGCCTTGAGCAGAGTGTTTCAAGGGCCTGAGGCAACAAATAGGATCCCCTGCATGGTGGAAGTTCAGCGGATGGAGGGGGAGGCCCAGCTCTCTCAAAGACCTATTTCTGGAAATTATGCTGGGCCTGGGCCCAGTTTGCTCTGGCACTGGGCACCCTGCTTGGCAGGTGAGGAGCAGCTTGGCCAACGGTGGACATGGGGGTTGTGGGGTGGGTCCAGCTCCCCAGCTGTGGTGAGGCCCTAGAGGCCCAGCCAGCTCGGACTCCCCACACCACCCCCATCCCCGGGCAGGCGCTCCAGAACCGGACGGGATTTTCATTCCCTTGGCATCTGTCATCGACAGGCAATTAAAGCATGTTTGTTTAACTTTCTTTGATTATTCACTGGAGTGCTGGAAACATGGAAATGGTGATGGGGGTGCTGATCCTGCCCCCTCCTGGCTCTGTGACCAGAGGAGGCCCTGCCCGAACTACTCTACGATGTGGTCGCTAACTTTCCAGGATTATGAAGTGTCCCAAATGCCTGGCCCCTCCGAGAACACACTGGCCCTGGAGCACCTGGGGCCACAGTGCCTTTCCCAGCGTCTAGGACCCACACAGAAACCAGCGGGGTAAACCTTTGCCAATAGGTGTATGTTGGAAGTGTCAACGTACCAGGCAAACTAGTCTGTGTTTGTGGGTGCACAAGCAAGTGTGTGTGTGAAAGACACAGGCTGGCGTGGTGGCTCACGCCTGTAATCCAAGCACTTTGGGAGGCTGAGGTGGGCGGATCACGAGGTTAAGAGATCAAGACCATCCTGGCCAACATGGTGAAACCCCGTCGCTACTAAAAATACAAAAAAAAAAAAATCAGCTGGACGTGGTGGTGCGTGCCTGTAATCCAAGCTACTCGGGAGGCTGAGGCAGGAGAATTGCTTGAACCTGGGAGGCAGAGGTTTCAGTGAGCCGAGATCGTGCCACTGCACTCCAGTCTGGCAACAGAGCTAGACTCCATCTCAAAAAGAGAAAAAAATAAAAAGAAAAAAGAAAAAGAAAAGAGAAAGAGACAGACAGAGACATAGAGAGAGAGAGCAGGCCAGGTGGGGTGGCTCATGCGTGTCATCCCAGCCCTTTGGGAGGTCAAGGTGGGAGGATCGCTTGGGCCCAGGAGTTGGAGACCAGTCGGGGCAACATGGCAGGACCCCGTCTCTAGAAAAAATTTTAAAATTAGCTAGATATGGTGGCGTGTGCCTGTAATCCTAGCTACTCAGGAGGCTGAGGTGGGAGGATTGCTTGAGCCTGGGAGGTGGAGGCTGCAGTGAGTTGTCATTGTGCCACTGCACTCCAGCCTGGGCTGGAGATGTAGTGTCCTTTTGAGACGCTGTCTCAAAAGAGAGAGAGAGTTGATTGTGCGGTGTGTTCATTGTAAAGAGAACTATAGAGACCTGGGTCTAAGTTGGCCAGGAACTCACCGTGTGGCTTGAGACGCCCTCTCTCTCTCCACACCTCAGTTTTCCCATCTATAAAGGGGGTTTACACTGGATCAGCTCCAGTGGCTTCAGGCTCCAGGACTCTTCACTCTTGCCACCGGTGACCTCCTCCTCGGCCTCTCACTTCCGGGCTCTGCCCACCCACAGCAGGACAACAGTTGTCAAGTCCACCTGCCATCTGCCTTTGGTCAGCACTGCTCCTGGTGATGGCTCTGCTCCCAGAATTCAGGACCCACCTCCCAAATGAGGCTGGATTCCCAAGGCCTGGGCCCTGAGAGGGGATTTGCAGATAGGGCAGGAGTTGGTTATTGCAGGGAAATGGAAAGAGGCAGCTGGAGTCTACTTGAGCCACAAGATCCCAGTGGGAGGCAAGGCACATGGATGGTCCTGTCCCCAGAGGCCCAGCTCCCTCTGTGAGAGGTCTCAGAGGGGTCTGCAGGCAGAGGGCATGTGCAGGGCAAGTGCCACCAGCAGGCCACCCCAACCAGGGCCCAGCTGGAGGCGATCCTTAAAAATCCATCCAGAAGGCTGGGAGCAGTGGCTTATGCTTATAATCCCAGCACTTTGGGCAGTTGAGGTGGGTGGATCATCTGAGGTTGAGAGGTCAAGACCAGCCTGGCCAACATGGAGAGACCCCGTCTCTACTAAAAATACAAAAATTAGCTGGATGTGGTGGCGGGCACCTGTAATCCCAACTACTCGGGAGGCTGAAGCAGGAGAATCGCTTGAACCCAGGAGGCGGAGGTTGCAGTGAGCCGAGATCACGCCATTGCACTCCAGCCTGGGCAACAAGAGCGAAACTCTGTCTCAAAAAAAAAAGAAAAAGGAAAAGAAAAGAAAAAGAAAACGCAGTTCTGCTCCAGCTAAAAAGATACCATGGCCAATAGGAGGGCAGCATGGCCCACTGTGGCTGTCCCCAAGGAGACTGGCTGGATCCCCATTATCAAAATCCCATTGAGAGGTGAGCCAGCAGGGTAGCATTGGGGTGTCAGTGTAAAGGCTGGACTGCCATGTAGGAGGGGGGTCAAAGGAAGAAAGTCTCTACGTTTGGTCACTTTCTAACTTAAGTAAGAATGAAGTGCCAGGTGCAGTGGCTCACACCTGTAATCCCAGCACTTTGGGAGGCCAAGGTGGGCGGATCACGAGGTCAGGAGATCGAGACCATCCTGGCTAACACAGTGAAACCCCGTCTCTACTAAAAATACAAAAAATTAGCCGGGCGTGATGGTGGGCACCTGTAGTCCCAGCTACTCAGGAGGCTGAGGCAGGAGAATTGCTTGAACCCGGGAGGCGGAGCTTGCAGTGAGCCAAGATCATGCCACTGCACTCCAGCCTGGGTGACAGAGAGAGACTCCATCTCAAAAAAAAAAAACCAAAAAAACAGTGAAGTCAGAGGCCAGGCTCAGTGGCTCACACCTGTAATCTCAGCACTTTGGGAGGCTGAGGAGGGCAGATCACGACTTCAGGAGATCAAGACCATCCTGGCTAACACAGTGAAACCCCGTTTCTATTAAAAATACAAAAAATTAGCTGGGCATGGCGGCACACGCCTGTAGTCCCAGCTACTCAAGAGGCTGAGGCAGGAGAATGGCTTGAACCCAGGAGACAGAGGTTGTAGAGAGCTGAGATCACGCCACTGCATTCCAGCCTGGGTGACAGAGCAAGACTCTGTCTCAAAAAAAAAAAAAAAAAAAAAAAAAAAAGAATGAAGTCAAACTATGGATACTGAGTGGGAACTATCTCAGCACTCTTGCTCCACCTGGCTCTTAGAAAGCTGGCATCAAAGGCCATGCCACACACTCACAAATCATAAGATTCATAAGATTCTTCTCTGGGGCACCCATTCTCAATGATATGAAAGCAAGTGCCTGGACCATGACTGGGCATGGACAAAGTCTGTCTATAACCCTGGGGGTTCTGTTGACTTGGCTGGCAGAGTCTGTTTTTCTCCCTCTCTGCCTCCACATCCAACCCTTATTCAAGGTTGATGGGTCTTGCACCATGGCTGGACCACAGGCCAAAGCATCTTCCCCCCAGCAAGATCTAATGAAAAACTACTGTTATAGAATTATTAAGCTAGTTTAGCAAGGTGGCTGGAATATAAAGACAGTTTACAAAAATCAATCATATTCCTACCTACGACAAGCAAATAGAAAAAGAAATTAAGTGATACCATGTACAAAAGCATCATAAAGTATGAAATTACATAGGACTAAATCTCCTGAAAACTATAAAACACCACTGAGAGAAATTAAATAACTAAATAAATGGAAAGATATACTATGTTCATGGATTGGAAGACTCAATATTATAAAGATGTTAATTCTCCCCATCCCAGTAAAAATTGCAGCTGGTGTGTTACACTAGTACATTGAACATGTCAGTGTCTATACCACTGGGTTGGTGTGTTACGCTGGGACATCAAACATGTCAGGTCTATACCTCTGGAAACAACAGAGCATTTTCTGGCTGTAGGTGCCTGATAAATTGTCTTGATTTTCCTTTGTAACTCAACTGTATAGAAGGTTTTTCCCTTAGCAGTAGGGGGAGTACAGGTGATTAATCATCGATGTCACTGCAATAGTCGTTTTTTTTTTTTTCTTTGAGACAGAGTCTCACTCTGTCACCCAGGCTGGAGTGCAGTGATGCCATCTTAGCTCACTGCAACCTCTGCCTCCTGGGTTCAAGCAACTCTAGTGCCTCAGCCTCACGAGTAGCTGAGATTACAGCCACCCACCACCATGCCCGGCTAATTTTTTGTATTTTTAGTAGAGACAGGGTTTCACCATGTTGGTCATGCTGGTCTCGAACTCCTGACCTAAAGTGATCCGCCCACTTGAGCCTCCCAAAGTGCTGGGATTACAGGTATGAGCCACTGTGCCTGGCCACAATTGTTGTTTTTGAAAATAAATAAATAAATATATATAAATTCTTCCAGTTGATCTATAGAGTCAATGCAATCCCAGTCAAAATCCCAGTAGACTTTTTTTTTTGGTGGAAATTGTCCGATTGATTCCAAAATGTATATGAAAATACAAATGTCCAAGACTAGTCAAGGCAGTCTTGAAGAAGAACAAAAGTAAAAGATTTATACTACTAGAATTGAGACCTTGTTACAAAACTATAGTAATTAAGACACGAGACAGATGGATGGTACAAAGTTAGACAAATAGATCCACACTTACACATCACTTGGCTTATGAAAAAGGCGCAAATGCAGTATAGAAGACAAAGGATAGACATATCAATAAATGGTGCTGGTCAATTGGATATACAAATGAAAAAGAAAAGTAAAAGAATCTGACTCCTAATCCATACCACGTGCAAAAGTCAATTCCAGTTGGATTGTAGATCTAAACATAAAGGGTAAAAAAATACAGCATTTGGAAGAAAACATAGGTGACTACCTATATGACCTCAAAATAGAGTTCTTAAGCAGGATGCAAGAAGCATTACCATTTAAAAAAATTGATAAAGTAGACCACATTAAAATTAAGAATTTCTCGGGCCAGGTGTGGTGGCTCACGCCTGTAATTCCAGCACTTTGGGAGGCTGAGGCAGGTGGATTATTTGAGGTCAGGAGTTTGAGACCAGCCTGGCCAACATAGTGAAACCTCATCTCTACTAAAAATACAAAATTAGCCAGGCATGGTGGCGCATGCCTGTAATCCCAGCTACTCGGGAGACTGAGGCAGGAGAATGGCTTGAACCCGGGAGGCGGAGGTTGTGGTGAGCCGAGATCGTGCCATTGCACTCCAGACTGGGCAACAAGAGCAAAACTCCACCTCAAAAAAAAAAAAAAAGAATTTCTTTTCATCAAAAGACACCATTAAGAGAATGAATGAAGAAGTATATCACCAACTGGAAGAGGATTCTTGGAATATGTGTATGCACAAAATAAGAGCTCCAAATGGCCAATGATCATATGAAGAGGGGGTCAAGTTCATTTGCCATATCAGGGAAATGTAAATTAAACCACAATGTGATACTCCCACATAGCCACTAGAATGGCTGATATTAAAAAGACTAACAGTTACTCTTTTTTTTTTTTTTAACCAAGTATTAGAGAGGATGCGGAGCAACTGGAACTGTCTGTCATACACTGCGGGTGGGAGTATCAATGGTACAACCACTTTTAAAACCCCTTTGGCAGTCTCTAATAAGGCTGAATATAAGCCCGCTCTATGACACAACAACTCCATTCCCAGATATCTCCTCCCTTCCCATGAAAATACAAGCCAGGATATAATAAACTTCAGCATCAAACATCTTCCTGATCTCTGTCTTAAGTCCCTGTTACTCCAGTGGAAGCCCCTCTCTGCTTTTTCTAGACTTAGTGGAAATGGGAAATAGTTGCTGGGGGCTGCAGGAGAAGCTGTTCCCAAACATGGTGAGGAAGCCTCACCAGATGCCTGATTTTGATCTTAGACTTCTCAGCCCCCAGAGCTGTGAGGAAATAAACTTCTGTTCCTTATAAATTACCCAGTGTCCAATATTTTGTTCTAGTAGCACAAAACAGACTGAGACAGATGGATATACGAAAAGTTATCCCATCCAGAGGGCTAAGTGCTGTAAGCCAGTTGGGCACAGGTGCAAGGCAATTGGCGAGAAGGTGGGTGCCTAAGTTCCCTTGGAGTGGTCAAGGAAGGCTTCCTGGAGGAGGTGGTGCTTAATTAGGAGCCAGCTGACCAATGCGGGTGTGAGGGAGGGTTGGGAGCCACTTCTAGATGAGAGAACAAGACAGGCACGAAATTCATTCACAAAATGAATAAATATGTTCACTGAAAGGCATGCACAAGAACGTTCATGGCAGCATTGCTCAGAATAACCCAAAATTAGAAACAGCCCAAATTCCTATTAATGGCCAACTGGATAAATAAATTGCATATCACAAAATGAAATGCAACACGGTCAGAACAGTAGGCAAACCACATGCAACAGTGTGGACGAGTCTCACAGAACACGTCAGGTGAAGGCGGACAGACTCAAACAAGTACCTACTGTCTGATTCCATTTATCTGAAGTTCAGAAACAAGCGGAAGAGTCTAAGGTGTTGGAATTCAGGTGAGTGGTTACCCGTGGGGAGAGTCACAGTTGAAAGAGGCAAGAAGAGGGCTTTCAAGATCATGAGAACGTTCTTTGTTAATGTGGGTGCTGGTTACACAGGCATGATCAGTTTGTAATAAACATGCCAAAGTGTTCTCTTAATTGTCCTCAAATGCCAATCCAACCTTGTCACCCTATGTGCTGCTGCTGTGGCCTACTTGCCATGCTCTGTGCACCTCTTGCTCTCCTAAGCCTTTACCAGTCTTGTACTCTCATCTAGAAATGGCTCCCAACCCTCCCTCACACCTGCATTGGTCAGCTAGCACCACCTCTTTCAGGAAGCCTTCCTTGACCACCCCAAGGGCACTTAGGCACCCACCTTCCCACCAATTGCCATGCACCCTGTACACAACTGGCTTACAGAATTTAGCACCCTGGATGGGATCACTTTTTGTATATCCACCTGTCTCAGTCTATTTTGCATTATGAGAACCAAATACCTGAGATAGGGTAATATGGTTTGGCTCTGTGTCCCCACCCAAATCTCATCTCGAATTGTAATCCCCATGTATCAAGGGAGGGACACGGTGGGAGGTGACTGGATCATGGGGGTGGTCTCCCCGTGCTGTTTTTGTGATAGTGAAGGAGTTCTTATGAGATCTGATGGTTTAAAAAGTGGCAGTTCCCCCTGCACACATTCTCTCTCCTGCTGCCTTGTGAAGACACGCCTTGCTTCCCCTTTGCCTTCCACCATGATTGTAAGTTTCCTGAGGCCTCCCCAGCCATGTAGAGTTGTGAGTCAGTTGGGCCTCTTTTCTTCGTCAATTACCCAGTCTGAGGTAGTATCTTTATAGCAGTGTGAAGACAGGCTAATACACTGGGTAATTTATAAAGAACAGAAGTTTATTTCCTCACAGCTCTGGGGGCTGGGAAGTCCAAGATCAAGATCAGCCATCTGGTGAGGCTTCCTTACTGTGCATGGGAACTGCTTCTCCCTGCAGCCCCCAGCAGCTGTTTCCCATTTCCACTAAGTCCAGAAAAAACATAAAGGGGCTTATAGAGAGAGTCAGGGCCCTGCTGCTGGGGAAGGAGCATGAGAGGGGAGCAAAAGGAAGACCACTCCACATGTCCCCCTGCTGGAGCAAAAACATGCAAGAACACGGGGGTGTGTGTGTGTGTGTGTGTGTGTGTGTGTATGTGTCTGTGCTTGTCTGTCAACCTGGTTCTCTTCCTCCCACCTTTGCCTCCTGAGTAGCTGGGAGTACAGGTGTGCACCACCATGCCCAGCTAATTTTTAAAAATTTTTTTGTACAGACGAAGTCTCAGTATGTTGCCCAGGGTGGTCGCGTCTCCTGGCCGCAAGCAATTCTCCCACCTCGGCCTCTCAAAGTGTAGGGATTACAGGTATGAGCCATTGCACCTGGCCAGTTCTTAAATGAGTCTCTCTCCAAAATGATTTGGCTATAAAAGGCTCTGCTATCAGGAGGCTGGGAGGGTCCCCAAGGACCCTGTGTTCTGCACCGTCTCTAGCTGAGCTGCCCTGCCTGCCCCAGGCAGGTGTTGGGTGGGCTTGACTCAAGAGCGTACCCTGAGACCTTCAGACCCCATCTTCAGCTTATGATGCTCCGGGGGGACTTCTGGATGTAGCAATGGTGGTCTCTACTCAGCATGCACACAGAGAGCTTGTCCCTTCCTGCACATCCTCCCTGGATAAACAGCTGGGACTAAAGATAAGGACACTCCCTGCAGGCTGAGGGTAAAGATCTGGACCAGGCAATAGACCAGGGGATTATTGCCCCATTTTATTGTGGAGGAAAACTGAGGGCCACTGAGAGGGAGCAGATGAGCTGAAATGGAACCAGGGCATCTGGCTGCTCATCCTGTAGCCCTGCCTGGACTGGAGGGCCTGGGATGCTTCACAGGGGATCACATTTCACCATGGAAGCTTGAGAATGAGCCGCGGTGATGTGATCCATCTGCTCTCAGCAAGCAAAACTCAGCTCCTTTTCCCGAGGAGAGAGGAGGGAACACTGGACGCCCAGATGACGTGACTTCTAGCTCCGTTAGTTACTGACTCAGAATGACGAGGTTGAACGGGCTTTAAAAGAGTGTCCAGGTGGTCCCTGCCTCTGATCTATGGGTGGCTGAGGCACAGAGAGGGCTGTGCTCTGCCTGAGGATGCACAGGGCAGTTCCCAGTGCCTGACCCCGCTCCCTGTTCAGTGTCCCCCAGCTGGCAGTGGCTGAGTGGGATCTCAGAAGGTGCACATGCATAGAGCAGGAAGCCTGTCCCCTGGCCTCAGCAGCCTGTGCAGAGTGGCAGGGAGCCACCAGCAGGGCCCGGCAGCCTCTCCCTCTGCAGCCTCCTAATGCTCACTTTGGTTCCTTTTGTTGGAGAGGCTGAGGTGGAATGATCGCTTGAGCCCAGAAGTTGGAGGCAGCAGTGAGCTATGATGACACTACTGCACTCCAGCCTGGGCCACAGAGCGAGACCCTGTCTCTAGGGGAAAAACTAAAAAAAGAATTTGTGGCTCCTGATTGCTTTGGGCCACTTTGGAAACCTCAGGAGTCAGTGAGTTAGAACTGTAACATCCGGGAGAGCTCCCAAAAAGGTGCATGAGCATTAGTGCCCAGATCCTGACACCTCCTGGGGCCATATCTGTACCTGTGTCACCTGCCAGACAGATTACCTGGAGATGAGTTTAGCTCGCCTCTTCTGGACAGGCAAGTGTAACAGGTCATGGCAGGTCTGTTTGATTAAATTAATATATTAATTTATCAGCAACACTGTTCCATAGACCAGCTTTCCTTCAGACCAGCCATGAATGGGAGATGTCCCCAGAATGAAGGTGTGAGTATAGAGGGACGAGACTCTTTCAGGATCAAGTACTTCTTGGCCCTCCGTTGGGGACAGATTGGGGTCCCCACAGCTGGGGATGCTTGGATGAAGGAAGCTGGGTTACAATGTGCTCGGTGGAGAGATTTCAAGTCTTCCAGGAATGTCCCTCAGGACTTGACGGGGATTTCATTGCAACAAAAATAAGTGATCAGTCCCAGCAGTTGTTTGGGGCAGCAAGGATACCAGGAGAGGGGAACATCACTGTACATGTTTATCTTGCCGGTTTCAGCGATTCAATTGCTTCTCTTGGGTGGATTTCTGAGGATCGCATTGTTCATCTGAAGTTATTGCTTCAAGTGCTCTAACCCTTTCTTCCTCATCCAGAAAGAAATCATAAATAACTCCAGGGCCCCGCAAAGCTGGCAGCTGGCCCCGCCTGGGCCTGAAAGATGACACCAAGTGCAGGGGGAGACGGACTCTGTGGTTCCTGACCCACTTGGACACGGGGAGTTGGCGCTGCCATTGCTCTTCATCACTGGGAAAGAATTTGTCTTAATGGTGCTCCAAGCCCAAGGTCAAGGTTCAAAGGGTCATGAAACAAAGCTGGCAGCCTTGGAGCCTCCAGGCTGTGGTGGGGTGGGGAGCGGCCTGACACTGCCAGGCACTCTGAACCCCAGAGGGCTGAGGGGCACCCACAGCCTTGGGACTAGGTGAGGCCTCATCTTCCTGTAGCACCCACTGGTCAAGGCTCAGGAGGAGGCAATCGCCTCTCAAGGAACAGACAAATTCCCAAAAATACAGCAAGATGCGGGCAAGGTTCTCTGGCCATTGGGGCTTTCAGAGAGAAATGGCAGCAGAGTTTTAAAAACAAAAGACAGGCTGGGTGCAGTGGCTCACACCTGTAATCCCAGTACTTTGGGAGGTAGAGGTGGGAGAATCTCTTGAGCCAAGAAGTTCAAGACTAGCCTAAGCAACTTAGCAAGACATCGTCTCTCAAAGTTTTTTAGAACAAGCTAGGCCTGGGTGGTGCATGCCTGTAGTCCCAGCTACTCGGGAGGCCGAGGTGGGAGGATCGCTTGAGTCCAGGAGTTCGAAGCTGTAGTGAGCTATGATTGCACCACTGCACTCCAGCCTGGGACACAGAGCAAGACCTCATCTCAAAAAAAAAAAAAAAAAAAAAAAAAAAAAAAAATGCGGGGAGAAGGGAAGCTTCTCTGACTGCAGTGGGGGAAGCCCTGGAGCACCCCAACCCTGTCTTCCAGCCCAGCTATCTTCTATCCCCTGGGATCAAGATGGGCAAGAGATGGTGAAATGGTTTGGCTGTGTCCTCACCCAAATCTCATCTTGAATTCCCACATGTTGTGGGAGGGACCCAGTGGGAGCTAATTGAATCATGGGGCAGGTCTTTCTCATGCCGTTCTCGTGATAGTGAGTAAGTCTCGCGAGATCTGATGATTATATAAGTGGGAGTTTCCCTGCACCCAGCACAAGCTCTCTCGTGGCTGGGGAAGTCTCACAATCATGGCGGAAGGCAAGGAGGAGCAAGTCACCTCGCAGTGATTGTGAGGCTCCCCCAGCCACGTGGAGCTGTAAGTCCATTAAACCTCTTTTTTTCTGTAAATTGCCCAATCTTGGGTATGTCTTTATCAGCAACGTGAAAACGGACCAATACAGATGGGCAGGCAGGTGTCAGAGCCCCATTGCCCAGGTTCCTAGACACCCAACGGAGGAACAGGTGAAGGAGATCCATCCACATCTCTGGGGAATACTGCGCTCACACGGAAGCTACCTGCTTGGTGGCATTTGGCAGCCTGGGCTCAGCTTCCCTAGGGCAGTGATGTCAGCTCAGGCGGGAGATGGGATGGGTGAAGGAGACAGGAAGGGAAGAATCACGGGGCAAGTGAAGGAGACTCCTTGAGTCTCAGGGTCAGACTCAGGATCACACCTTTCCTGGCAGGAGGCAGTTGCCATGGTAATCCGAGGAGCACTCGACAAGGCCCCTCCCCTTACCAGGCACCGACCTTCACCAAGGATGAATTTTTTCTTCCACTTGCCTGGATTTTCCAGCCTGGGAAATCACCCAAACACGATCTGGCTCTTTCTTAGGGAGACTTTCTGTGTATTGCTGCCCCGAATAGTTCTTTAAAATGCCTTCGAACAACATGACGGCCTCTGTGCAGGATTTTACAGTGGTTGCCTAATAGCTTAAGGCCTAGTCATCTCTCTGGGCCCTGCCCCCGACACGCTGTGTGACCCTGAGAAAGTTTTTCGGCTCTCTGAACCTCAGTTGTTTGGCCCTTAAGACACGAATGATCAAAGCCGTCTCCTGGGCCCCTGAACTGGTTAGAGAATGTGGGACTAGACTGCATGGCTGAGAAAAGACAGCTGTAATTTGTACTCTTATATTAAAAAGCAAATCTCACCAGGTGCACTAGCTTATGCCTATAATCACAGCACTTTGGGAGCTGAGGCCGGAGGATCACTTGAGCCCAGGAGTTTGAGACTAGGTGGGGCAACCTAGTGAGACCCCATCTCTAAAAAAAAAATTAAAACTAGCCATGCATGGTGGTGCGCACCTGTAGTCCCGGCTATTCGAGAGGCTGAGGTGGGAGGATTGCTTGAGCTAAGGAGGTCAAGGCTGCAGTGAGCTATGACTATTGCCACTGCACTCCAGTCTGGGCAACAGAGCAAAACTCTCTTTCTCTCTCTAAAAAAACAAAACAAAACAAAACAAAAAACAACAAAAAAGCAAATCTCCCATACAGTTGTAAAGACAAGAAGGATCTTAGAATGATCTCACTCAGCCCTTTCTTCGTACAGATTAGAAAAGATATCTGGATGTTAAGTGGCTCACGGCCACAATCACACATTTGAATGGTGGCCAACCCAGGGCTAAAACCAGGTTCACCCTCCCAGGGCAGCAACTCCTTACTTCCCCCTCAGTTATTTACACCAAAGTAAGAATTAATCCTCAGTTCCACAGGGGGCACGATGCGTTACAAAGCATCCCCCTCGCCTTCCAGATGCCTGAGAGGTAGTTCTGTCCCCACAGTGAAGGACGGGAGAGAGATGGCCAAGCCCAGAAAAGGTAAGAGAGGGTCTGGCCGGGTGCAGCAGCTCATGCCTGTAATCCCAGCACTTTGGGAGGCTGAAGTGGGCAGATCACTGGAGGCCAGAAGTTCAAGACCAGCCTGGGCAACCTAGCAAAACCTTGTCTCTACCAATAATACAAAAATTACCTGGTTGTGGTGGCACACACCTGTAATCCCAGCTACTTGGGAGGCTGAGGCATGAGAATCACTTGAGCCAGGGAGGCAAAGCTTGCAGCAAGCCGAGGGATCAACCCACTGCACTCTAGCCTGGGTGACAGAAAGAGACTCTGTCTCAAAAAAAGAAAAAAAAAAAAGAGCCAGACATGGTGGCTCATGCCTGTAATCCCAGCACTTTGGGAGACCAAGGCGGGCAGATCACTTGAAGCCAGCAGTTCCAGACCAGCCTGGCCAACATGGCAAAACCCTGTCTCTACTAAAAATACAAAAATTAGCTGAGTGTGGTGGCACACACCTGTAGTCCTAGCTATTCAGGAGGCTGAGGCAGGAGAATCACTTGAACCAGAAGTTGTAGGTTGCAGCGAGCCGATCGCGCCACTGCACTCCAGCCTGGGCAACAGAGTCTCTGTTGAGACCCTGTCTCAAAAAAAAAATAAATATTTATAGTAAGAGAGGGTCTCGAATCCAGAAACACCAATTTCTCCTTGATCAGAGAGGCACCGTTTGTGTGCAGGTTCCAAGAAGGAGACAGAAGACTCTGTTCAGGCACAGAGTGAGGCTACTAAATTGGGGCTCTTGTCTGCCTTGTTTATCGGCACCCAGACACTGGTCTGGAGCAACCAGGAAAGCTCCTGCCCCGTGGGCAGGGCTGGCGTCCACACTGGTCTTATCCCAGGCTTCTGGGAGCCCAGCTGGACTCACGAAGGTGCAGATGGGAGGATGTTCAGGCCAGAAGCAAAGCCATTGAAAGAACTTGGGACAACCAGAGGCTGGCCTCAGTGTCTGATGCCTGCTCTCTGCTCACAGCTGGGCTGGAGCATGGGAGGAGCCGGGAAGGGAGCCTAGATCTCCCCACTTCAGCCTCTCTGAGCTTTAGGGATATGGTGGTGGCGGATGGGTAGCTGGAGATGCAGATTCTCTGCGAGGAGGAGACTGTCCAAGTACAAGGGAAGGGCAGCCTTGCCCGGTTACCCCACATCCCCTTTCTCCTTCTCTCCTGCCCGCCAGTTCTGCAGGCTGGGCCCAGGCGCTGCAGCCAAAGACACATCTAGCTGTCTTGGAGGGGGGTCCTGACATCAGTGGATCAGCCCCACCCACCCCCAGAGCCTGGGGTAAGACCCAAACAGCACTGCCTCGCTAGCCATAGCTCACTGTCCCCTGCTCTCCGGCCAGCCCCAGCTGGAAGGAATAAACCTCCCTAATAGGGTTGTTGGGGACAACCCTGGGTCCCCTGACTCATCCAACACCCCTCCTCCTCCAGACCCCAGGGCCCAGAGAGGCAGCTGTCCAAAACCTCAGCAGCTCTGCCAATCTGGTGGGTGTGAAACAGAATCTCGTTGTGGTTTATTTTTTTTATTGTTTTTATTTTTATTTTTATTTTTTTGAGACAGGGTCTCACTCTGTCACCCAGGCTGGAGTGCAGTGGCGTGATCTTGGCCCACTGCAGCCTCTGCCTCCTGGGTTCAAGCAATTCTCCTGCCTCAACTTCCCGAGTAGCTGGGACTACAGGCACCCGCCACCACGCCCGGCTAATTTTTTTGTGTTTTTAGTAGGGACAGGGTTTCACCATATTGGCCAGGCTGGTCTTGAACTCCTGACCTCAAATGATCCACCCACCCCGGCCTCCCAAAGTGCTGGGATTACAGGAGTGAGCCACCGTGCCGAGCCTTGTTGTGGTTTAAATTTGCATTTTCTACATTGTTAATGAGACTGGACATCTTTTCACAGGTTTTTGAGCCATTTCTGTTTCCCCACTCTGGGAAATACCCATTCATGCCCTTGACCCGTTTTCCTATTAGGTTGTTCTGTCTTTTTCATTTTGATGCATAGGAGTTCTTTCTGCCGTATTTCCAATACCAGCCCGTCGTCAATTTCATGCTTTGCGAATATCTCCTCCCAATCTGTAGCATGTGTTTGTGCTGTGGTAACACTGCCTTTTGTCATAAAAATGTTTCCAATTTGCCTTTTATTCCTTTAACTCCACATATTGCACAGGTTAGGATCTGAAAGGCAATGCTGGGTAGAAGTTGTGACAACTACCTCCAAATCCCATTCATGACCTTAAAGGGAGGCTACTGGCCAGGCATGGTGGCTCACACCTGTAATCCCAGCACTTTGTGAGGCTGAGACAGGTGGATCACTTGAGGCCAAGAGCTTGAGACCAGCCTGGCCAACACGGCAAAACCCCATCTCTACTAAAAAAATACAAAAATACAAAAATACAAAAATTAGCTGGGCACGGTGACACATGCCTGTAGTCTCAGCTACTCAGGAGGCTGAGGCATGAGAATCACTTGAACACAGGAGGCAGAGGTTGCAGTGAGCCAAGATCACGCTGCTGCACTCAGTGGCGTGGGCGACTCTGTCTCAGAATAAATAAATAAATAAAAATAAAAATAAATAAAATAAATAGAGGCTGGGCGTGGTGGCTTATGCCTGTAATCCCAGCACTTTGGGGGGCCAAGGAGGGTGGATCACTTGAGGTCAGGAGTTCGAGACCAGCCTGGCCAACATGGTGAAACCCTGTCTCTACAAAAATACAAAAAAATTAGCCGGGTGTGGTGGCGCATGCCTGTAATCCCAGCTACTCTAGAGGCTGAGACAGGAGAATTGCTTGAACCCAGGAGGCGGAGGTTGCAGTGAGCCAAAATCATGCCATTGCACTCTAGTCTGGGCGACAGAGCGAGACTTCATCTCAAAATAATAATAATAATAATAATAATAAAATTGTAAAAAGGGAGGCTTTTAATGTCTCACACTAGTGCAATGCTTTCTGGGGAGTGCAGCAGCCAGGATCTATGTGCCAAGAAGCTTCTTTCTTTTCCTAGTTTAGCAAGAGTTTTCATCATGCATAGGTGTTGAAGTTCATCAAACTCTATTATCTTCTAATCTGTGAATGAGGTGGATTACATAAACAGATTTTCTGAAGAACTACATGGTAAGGACCTATTACTTTTTTGGTGCACTGCTGGATTTGAATAGCTATCTTATTTGGGGGTTTGTGCCTAAATCATTTATAGCTCCAACTGAATATTTGGTGGTCACAGAGGTAGGGCCAATTTGTGGGAAGTAGAGGCCAAGGTTTTGTTTCTGTTTTTTTGAGACAGGGTCTTGCTCTATTGCCCAGGCTGGAGTGCAGTGGCACGATCATAGCTCACTGCAGCCTCAACCTCCTGGACTCAGGCGACCCTCCTGCCTCAGCCTCCCTAGTAGCTTGGACTACAGGCAGGCACATGCCGCACACTGGCTAATTTTTTATTTTTTTGTAGAGACAGGGCTCTCAGTATGTTGCCCAAGCTCATCTCGAACCCCTGGTCTCAAGTGATCCTCCCACCTTGGCCTCCCAAAGTGCTGGGATTACAGGCGTGAGCCACCACACCTGGCTAGGTTTTGATTTTTTCCAGCCAAATTTTCCCCATCCAGAGTACACAGAAGATGGACAAGTTTTCTTGTTGCCTCCATGAGCCAGTGGGCTTTCCTGAGTTGCCTCTTGCACTAAGTCATAGCCCTAACTCAGCAACAGAGGAGCCCAACCTCCTCCCCTGTGCTGACTCAGGGGTAAACCAAGACCAATATTCTCACTCCACCCCGACCTCCACGGTGACCACAGCACCAGCAGCGAAACCCTCTGCTTCCTTAGCTTCTGGTAACTGGGGCACCTAGAGCACATTCCTGCCTTATGAATTCGGTTGTGTCTTTCATTTTATTTATTATTATTACTTTTAGAGACAGGGTCTCACTCTGTTGCCCAGGCTGGAGTGCAGTGGTGTGATCATAGCTCACTGCAGCTTCAAACTCCTAAGTAGGCTCAAGCAATTCTCCCGCCTCAGCCTCCTGAGTAGCTGGGACTACAGGTGTGCACCACCATGCCCAGCTAATTTTGGGGGGTTTTGTAGAGATGGAGTCTTACTATGTTGCCCAGGCTGGTCTCAAACTCCCGTGCTTATGCAATCCTCCCACCTACAGTCCTGGCAGAATTGGACTTCAGCAGAACCGGGGTCCTCCCTTTTGTTGGCCTGTGGGGAAACACTTCTGATGGGCCCCTTTTTGTAAGGTTGCAAGTAGTCACATGAATACTATCAGCCACACTGGCCAGATCAGGGGACAATCCTATGTCCTGGGACTTGAAACGTTCTTGTCCACGTGTGGCGCTTGGTGACTACCATGGCCAGGGACCAGCAGGTCCTGTCTGCCTTCAGCCTAGAGCAGGGCTCTGAGCCGCCTTTTCTTAGGATAGCTTAACGGAACCCACAAGGGCTCAGCCCCTGGACCAGCCAGGCCACTTTTGCCCTTGAGAATCAGGATTTGTTCTGGGAGTTCAGTTAGTAGCATTCACATTGAGCATCCAGGAGACCCAGCCCTGAAACCGAGTCCAGCGGGTTATGCTTTCCCAAGTCAAAGCCTTCTAAAGGGTTTGGTGTGGCCAGGCCAAGGGAGGCAGGGAGAGGGCCTCTGCCCGTGCGCCACCACCTGATGTCGACTTGAACTCAGATGGGAATACTTTTGAAAAAAGTGAGATGGGCCGGGTGCGGTGGCTCACGCCTGTAATCCCAGCACTTTGGGAGGCCGAGGCGGGTGGATCATGAGGCTAGGAGATCGAGACCATCCTGGCTAACATGGTGAAACCCCTGTCTCTACTAAAAATACAAAAAACTTAGCCAGGCATGGTGGTGGGCGCCTGTAGTCCCAGCTACTCGGGAGGCTGAGGCAGGAGAATCGCGTGAACCTGGGAGGTGGAGCTTGCAGTGAGCCGACATCGTGCCACTGCACTCCAGCCTGGGCGACAGAGCGAGACTCCGTCTCAAAAAAAAAAAAAAAAAAAAGAAAGAAAGAAAAAGAAAAAAGTGAGATGCACAAGTGCTCTGAATCACCTTGTGTGGCTCGCTCAGAGAAGCCCCCATTAGCCAGACACAGTGGCTCACGCCTGTAATCCCAATGTTCTGGGAGGCCAAAGCAGGAGGCTCTCTTGAAGCCAAGAGTTTGAGGCCAGCCTGGACAACATCGTGAGACCCCCTCCCAGCCTCATTCTCTACAAAAAATTAAAAAATTAGCTGGGCATGGTGGTGCTCACCTGTAGTCCCAGCTACATGGGAAGCTGAGGTAGGAGGATCACTGGAGCCCAGGAATTTGAGGCTGCAGTGAGCCTGACTCAGCCCCAAGCCCCAGGCTCGCCCTGTCTCTGCAGCTGTGTCAGAAGGCAGGAATAGCAGGTGCAAAGGCCCTGAGGCAGGGAAAAGGCTGGCAGGTAGTGAGCAAAGGTGTGTGTGACATGGGATGAGGTGCAGCCTTACCTGCAGGGCCCAGGAGGGGACTTTTATCACAGTGAACGGAATTACTGAGTTTCAGGGAGGGCGATTTCATGATCTCATTTACATCTTTAAAAGGCTCCTCTGAGAGGCCGGGTGCAGTGGCTCACGCCTGTAATCCCAGCATTTTGGAAAGCCAAGATGGGAGGATTGCTTGAGCCCAGGAGTTTGAGACCACCCTGGCAACATAGTGAGATCCCTACATCTCTACAAAAAAATTTCAAAAATTATCTGGGCTTGGTGATGATTGCCTGTAGTCCCAGCTACTCAGGAGGCTGAAGTGGGAGGATCACTTGAGTCCAGGAATTGGAGGCTGCAGTAAGCCATGATTGCACCACTGCACTCCAGCCTGGGTGACAGAGTGAGACCCTCTTAAAAAAAAAAAAAAGACTGGGCGCGATGGCTTATGCCTATAATCCCAGTACTTTGGGAGGCTGAGATTGGCAGATCACCTGAGGTCAGGAGTTCGAGACCAGCCTGGCCAACATGGTGAAACCCCGTTTCTACTAAAAATACAAAAATTAGCCGTGCGTGGTGGTGCACACCTGTAGTCCCAGCTACTCAGGAGACTGAGGCAGAAGAAGCACTTGAACCTGGGAGGCAGGAGTTGCAGTGATCCAAGCTCGCACCACTGCACTCCAGCCTAGGTGACAGAGTGAGGCCCCGTCAAAAAAAAAATAAAAGAGCCCCCAGTGCTGAAAGAGGCCAGGAAGCCAAACCCTGAGCTGCTGGGGGCCTCAACTCACCCGTGTTGGCCGGGCCTAGACCATTCTGGGGGTGGGAATGAACCCTGCCCTGTACCTCTGCAGCCCCACTCTTCATCTGGCAGCAAGAACCAGTGATCCCTGGCCAGACTGGCATCCCATTAGTGAGTTTACCAGCCTTAGTGAGATGCCATTGCTCTAGGTGCAAGGAGGAGGGAGGGAATCAGAGGCTGTTTTCTGTTCTTCTTTTCTTTTTTCTTTTTTTTGAGACAGGGTCTCAGTCTGTAGCCTGAGCTGGAGTACAGTGGCACGATCTCAGCTTACTGCAACCCCCGCCTCCCAGGTTCAAGCTATTCTCCTGCCTCAGCCTCCTGAGCAGCTGGGATTACAGGCGCCTGCTACCACGTCTGGTTAACTTTTGTATTTTTAGTAGAGAAGTGGGTTTCATCATGTTGGCCGGGCTGGTCTCAAACTCCTGACCTCAAATCATCCGCCCACCTCGGCCTCCCAAAGTGCTGGGATTACAGACACGAACCACCATGCCCAGCCTCCTGGTTGTCTTAAAGAGCTGGCACCTCTTCCTCCCCCATCTCTGGCTCCCTCTTTTGCTATGCGACGCATCAGCTCCCCCTTCACCTTCTGCCACTAGTAAACGCTTCCTGAGGCCTCACCAGAAGCTGAGCAAATGCTGGTGCCAGGCTTGCAGAACTGTGAGCCAAGTAAACCTCACTCAGACTAGAGTGCAGTGGTACGATCATAGCTCACTGCAGCTTCGACCTCCTGGGCTCAAAGGATCCTCCCGCCTCAGCCTCCTGGCTGAGTAGCTGGAACAAACCTCTTTTCTGTATACATTACCCAGCCTCAAGTATTCCTTTATAGCAACACAAAACGAACTAATACAGGTGGGAAGGTAAAGACCTGAATTTGAAAAGTGACCACTTCCACATGTGAAATGACACCCAGCAAAGATTAGGGGTCTCTCCTCCTTCATCTGAGCTGAAAGACCTTACGGTCAGGTTTCGTGAGTGATGGGAGAATCCTCTGAGGGTTCCTGTAAATAAGATTCTCTGTGCCCGGGCATGCTTTAGGAGAGAGGGGCCAATGTTTCATCTGTTTATCAAGGAGGGGTGGGAAGGGAGGGTTGTTGGTTCATGCCACCCTAAATGTTAAGACCATCATCTTTTTTTTTTTTTTGACAGGGTTTTATCTCTGTTGTTCAGTCTGGAGTACAGTGGTGTGATCATGACTCACTGCAGCCTCAAACTCCTGGGCTCAAGCGATCCTCCCACCTCAGCCTCCTGAGGAGCTGGGACTACAGGTGTGCACCACGCCTGGATGATTTTTCTATTTTTTGTAGAGATGGGGTCTCGCTGTGTTGCCCAAGCTGGTCTTGAACTCCTGGCCTCAAGCAATCCTCCCTCCTAGGCTTCCAAAACTGTTCGGATTATAGGCATGGGCCACCGCGCCTGGCCAGGTTAAGGAATTTTGTAACAGTTACATGACGGAGCTGGGATTCTGTCTCCAAAGTCCACATTCTCCACCTCCATGCTCCAGTGTGTTTGGAGAGCCTCAAACAGCTTGTGATCAGTGGAAGAGAAGATGTGAGCAGGCACAAGGAGTGGAAGACATGAGGCTGGAGGGCCATCAGGCTCTTGAAAGCCAGGAGGCTGTGGGATTCAGGATGCTGTGTTTGCACAACCCTAGAGGGCGCCATCATATCATGGTCCTCATAATTTTATATATATTACGGCAGTTTTCCAGCAGATGGCAGTCACGTGCCTTGAGGAAGGGGCGCTTTTTCCTTAATCTGCACAAAGAAACCACAGGGACCAGCGGCGGTGCTATTTGGCTGATATCCAGGTGGGGTGGAAAGTCCAGAAGGGTCTCAAACAGGGAAGGGGAATGTTTAGATTTCTGCTTGCTCTTGGTGGGGAGAGACCGGAGGTTGCTGAGACAGTTCTGATAGGTGGGTGAGATCTAAGGTAAGAAAATGGGCCACTTTGTGGTGGCTCACGCCAGTAATCCCAACCTTTGGGAAGTGGAGGAGGGAGGATCACTTAATCCCGGGAGTTGGAGACCAGCCTGAGCAACACGGAGAAACCCCATCTCTATTACAAACACTAAAAATTAGGCATGGTGGCGTGTGCCTGTGGTCCCAGCTACTCAGGATGGGGAAGTGGGAGGATCACCTGAGGCGGGGAGGTGGAGGTTGCAGTGAACTGTGATCACACCACTGCACTCCAGCCAGGGCAACAGGGTAAGATTCTGTCTCCTGCTCCCCCCACCCAACAAAAAACAAAGCCAGGAGGGGCAGAAAAGAGGAGATGGATTAGAGAGGGCTGTAGAGACAGAAGAATCCACGGGATGTTGGGGATCCCTTGCAACAGGGTCACAAGGAGAGAGTTGAGGCTTTGAGGTTTCTGATTTCAACGGCAGATTGGCTAGACGGAGTAGTGTTTTTCACTGAGCAAGGAGAATTAGAAGTGGTTCTAGGCAAAGCCGGGCGCGGTGGCTCACATCTGTAATCCCAGTACTTTGGGAGGCCGAGGCAGGCGGATCACTTGAGGCCAGGCGTTTGAGACCAGCCTGGCCAACGTGGTGAAACTCTGTCTCTGCTAAAAATACGAAAATTAGCCAGGCGTGGTGGTACACACCTGTAGTCCCAGCTACTCGGGAGGCTGAGGCCAGAGAATCGCTTGAACCCGGGAGGCGGAGGTTGCGGTGAGCCGAGATCACATCACCACACTCCAGCCTGGGCAATAGAGTGAGGGGGAAAAAAAAAAGGAGTGGTTCTAGGGAGTGGGGAGGAGTTGCTTTTGGATGTGTGCAGGGAGGAGAAGGCTGCAGACAGCACACCTAAGAGGGAAGTTGGAGAGGGATTGGACAGAAAGGTATGAATCTCAGCTTGTGACCAATCCATGCAAAATAACAGCACTCTGGCTGGAAATCCCCGGATGGTCCAAACCATCTTGCAGAGCTGTTATGAGAAATGCACTCTCCTTAGGGACCGTGGTGCCCACTGACTAATCAGAAGGAGCAAATACAGTCAGGGAATCTCTTCTGCAGTTAGGAACACGGAGGCTAGGTAAAAGGAGAAAAGGGATCCAGTGTCCCAGAGCTCAGGGCTGGTACCCGGGATCTCCAGTTTCTAGACCAGCCCTGCAGCTCACCCCTGGTCTCGGGGCCCCTCTCAGCTCCCTGGAGCCAGAGCCACTGTCCCAGGGGGTGGGCTGGGTAGGTCTAATCTGGACCCGTTTGGTTTCTGCTAAGAGGCCCCCACCAGCTCTTTCATTGGCAGCCAAAACATGCTCCTTTCCAAGGCAAAAACAAAATAAAATAAAGCATGTTACAAAGTGACTCTCTCTTCTCCGATTCATTTTAATGTGCTTTTCAGCGTTGGTTTATTGTGAGCAGCTCTGTGTGCAGAAAACATGTGCTTGCAATATGCCAGTGACAGTAGGGATTCCAGGGGGCCTCCTGGCCGCCCCAAACAACCGGGACAGTCAGGAAGTTAAAGGCATGTCTTTGATGATCAGGTAATTGGTGACTCTCAAATATTTGTCCCAAAGGCTCTGAATGGGTGTGATTTCACCCAGAGTCCATTCCCTCCACTGACCCCATTCGGGCAGAGGGAAAGGACAGAAGGAGAATTCAAGGGCTGTGGTGTGAGGATGGGTTCTAGCTTAGAGTGTGGCTTCTCCTGTCCTAGGGTCCTCGAAGGTGTAACGAGCTGGGAGGGACCAGGAGACTCAGGGTCTAGTCTGTAATACCACTGTGTCATCTTAGGCAAGTGTCTGTCCATCTCTGGGCTGTTGGGCCTCAGTTTCCCCGTCTTATAAGAGAAGGCAGCTGTGATGGTTAATACTGAGTGTCAACTTGATTGGATTGAAGGATGCAAAGTATTGATCCTGGGTGTGTCTGTGAGGGTGTTGCCAAAGGAGATTAACATTTGAGTCAGTGGACTGGGAAAGGCAGACCCCACCCCCCTCAATCTGGGTGGGCACCATCTAATCAGCTGCCGGTGTGGCCAAAACACAAAGCACGCAGAAGAATGTGAAAAGACTAGACTGGCCTAGGCTTCCAGCCTATATCCTTCTCCCATGCTGGATGCTTCCTGCCCTCGAACATCGGACTACCAGTTCTTCAGCTTTGGAACTCGGACTGGCTTCCTTGCTCCTCAGCTTGCAGACGGCCTATTGTGGGACCTCGTGATCCTGTGAGTTAATACTCCTTAACAAACTCCTCTTTCCATCCAAAAAAAAAAGTATACACACATACTCATGTACACACAAAAACAAAGTAAATTCACAGTCATGCACACACATGGAGTGGTCATACTCATGCACACACCTAGGCACACACATGCACCCATGCACACACAGAGTGCCCACACACCCATCACACTCATGCATACACACAACACACTCATACACATTCATGCACACTCACAGTCATGCACACACACAACACACATACACACTTCTGCACAATCACAGAGAGTGCTCACATACACGGGCACACCCACCCAACATGGATCTACACACGTGCACACCCAGACCCACGTGCATTCATCCACACACATAACTTTTTTTTTTCACCCAGGCTGAGTGCAATAGCGCCATCTCTGCTCACTGGTTCAAGCCATCCTCCTCCCTCAGCCTCTGGAATAGCTGGGATTACAGGCGTTCGCCACCATACCCGGCTAATTTTTTGTATTTTTAGTAGAGATGGGGTCTCACCATATTGGTCAGGCTGGTCTGGAACTCCTGACCTCAAGGGATCTGCCCGCCTCAGCCTCCCAAAGTTGGGATTACAGGCGTGAGCCACCGTGCCCAGCCCACACACATAAATGGACACAGACACACACAGGCATACACACACACATACACACACACACACACACAGTCTGGGCAACAACCAAGAGTCCAGGCTCTGGCCTTTCATGGCCGGTGACGGTGGAAAATTCACTGAATCGCTCTGAACTCAGCAGCATCGTGTGGACGACAAGGAAGTAAAAAATTCACATAAATCCTCATAACAATGCCAGCCTCTGGGTGCCCTGGAGAAGGACCAATGAGATGGCGGAGGCAGAGGTGAGATGTTTTCTAAATCACAGGACCCGGGACACATGTCAGTTGTCAACAGCAACTTTGGGGTCACAGCTCAGACAGAAGCCCTGGTGCCTCTGGAGTGGAGAGGAGCGAGGCGGAAGTCCCCGAATCAGGCGAGCATAGACAGGGGAGGAGGTTGGCCCTGGTCCCTAATCCCAACATGAGAGGGGTCAGCATGGGGCAAAGAGGTGGTGCCAGTGGGCCGGGCACCGTGGCTCATGCCTGTAATCCCAGCAGTTTGGGAGGCCGAGGCGAGCAGATCATTTGAGGTCAGGAGTTTGAGAGCAGCCTGGCCAAAATGGTGAAACCCCGTCTCTACTAAAAATACAAAAATTAGTGGGGTGTGGTGGCACGCGCCTGTAATTCCAGCTGCTCAGGAGGCTGAGACAGGAGAGTCGCTTGAACCCAGGAGACAGAGGTTGCAGTGAGCCGAGATTGCACCACTGCACTCCAGCCTGGGTGATGGAGTAAGACTGTGTCCCCAAAGAAAAAAAAAGAGGTGTTGGGGCTCAGCTGGGGTAGTGAGCTCAGGGACACTGGGGAGCTGGGGGACACCTGCAGATGGAGGGCCCTGCTGGGCTCAGGGTCGCCTGCCCACATCCTGAGCTCGCAGCAGAGAGAAAGGGTCAGCTCAGGCGTGACACATGGTCCCCTTCCTGGAAGTTACTGTAAATACTGAACTACTGTGAAACAGGAAGTGGCAGGCCTAGGTTCTAACAAGGGACTCTCCAAGGAGGAGAATGGCCATTGCTCCCTACTCATGTCCCTTGGAGGTGTCACCTCCCTGCTCACAAACCTGACCAGTGCCTGTGACTTCAGGACTGAAACAAAAGTTCCAGCACCTTCCCTTGAGGCAATCTTGTGTGGTTCAGACCCCCTGTCCGCAAGTGCTGGGGCTTTGTGAGCCATGCAGACCCTTAGCTGGGCACAGTGGCTCACGCCTGTAATCCCAGCACTTTGGGAGGCTGAGGCGGGATGATCACCAGAGGCCGGGAGGTCAAGACTAGCCTGGACAACATAGCAAGACCCTGCTTCTAAAAAAATACGAACATTAGCCAGGTGTGGTGATGTACACCTGTAGTCTCAGCTACCTGGGAGGCTGAGGCTGGAGGATCCCTTGAGCCCAGGAATTTGAGGCTGCAATTGAGTGATGATCGCACCACTGAACTCCAGCCTGGGTGACAAGGCAGGGCAGGGTAGGGCGACACTCAGGCCCTGTCCCAGACCTATCAATCCTAATCTGCATTTAAATAGGACCCCCCAGGGTGACTCCTGCACGTGGGACAGTTTGAGAAGTGCTGTTTATATTTCATTTTCCAACCATCATTTCTGAGACATACAAACCAGGAGGTGGTGACCGTCCTGTTGTCACCAGCACCATGCATTGTTAGAGAACAGAGGCGAGAGGGGACCCCACAGACCTTGCCCCAACACCCAGTTCTGGGGCCTGGGAGGAAGGTGCATCACTGATGAGAGAAGAAATCACAACAAAGGCATGTAACAGGAGTAACTGCGTATATGAGGCCCAGGCTCTATTCTTCACAATGGTAGATGAGCTGGAGAAGGTTCTGGGGGCAGCAGGCAGGCTGGGCCCTGGGGAGCCACAGAGGGACTGGGCAGCTCACCCTGAGAAGGAGGAGGCAGCAGATGGGCCCCACCTTGGGACCCAAAGTCACTGGGCGGACACCATGTAGAGCAGCTCCCGCCCCTTAGAGAATGAGCTTTCAGCACAGAGCCAGGCAGCCCCGGGAAGGAGGGAGTGCCCGTTCCTGTAAGTGCCCAAGAAGAGATTGGACAGCCGCTTGGGGAGCATGGCAACAAGAGGGGGGCATGCGTCCCTAGACCCTGTGAGCTGAGACTCCCATGGGCTGAGCCACCCACCCACACTGGGTCAGATGAGGGGGCTCCCAATCCAGCCACCCTCCCAGGCTGCAGTGGAACAGCCCCTTTCCTGGGTCCCCCCTGACAGTGGGGCTCCAGCCCAGCTCCAGCCCAACTCCGGCCCCGGTCCTGTGTTCTCCACAGCACCTGCCAGTCCCTGAGGGGCCTTAGCCTCCAGCTTGGCAGGAGTTTCTGAGTCTGGGACCTGTTAGTATAGAAAGCCCAATCCCTTCTTGGAACCTCAGTTTCCCCATTAGAACAAGAGGGGATTGGGCCAAATGACCTCAAAGGCTTTGGAAGGGGCAATATATTCCGTGTGTATTTTTCTTGAGCATAGCTGGTTTTTGTTGTTGTTGTTGTTTGTTGTTGTTGTTGTTTGAGACTGAGTCTTGCTCTGTCGCCCAGGCTGGAGTGCAGTGGTGCGATCTCGGCTCACTGCAACTTTCGCCTCCCAGATTCAAGTGATTCCCCCGCCTCAGCCTCCTGAGTAGCTGGGATTACAGGCATGTGGCACCATGCTCAGATAATTTTTGTAATTTTAGTAGAGACAAGGTTTCGTCCTGTTGGCCAGGCTGGTCTTCAACTCAGGTGATCTGCCTGCCCCAGCCTCCCAAAGTGCTGGGATTATAGGCGTCAGCCACCGCACCCGGCCTTCAAGCATAGTTTTGAACTAGATTTTTCTAGGGAGCCTGGCTTCCATCTCTGGAAAGACCAGGGAACGCTTCCTGGAGGAGGTGTCTGGTGAATCCGGAAGAAAGGGCGGAAGATTTTGGAGCTGCACACGCAGCCCATGTACATGTACTCACTATGCACACACACAGCCCATGTATACACAGGGCCCATGCATGCACACACACGCACACAAACTCAGCTGTTTGTATACACAACCTGTGTTTGCACACATAGTCCACGCTTGTACACAGCTCATGTACACACACAGCCCATGGCGCACACTCACACACACATACTTTCTATGAGCATGCACCTCCAAGAGTCTGAGCACCCCTTTGGACAAAGCCCTGTGCTGGGCACCATGGGGATGAACCCAGTGGCCATCTTGCTCAAATGGAGTGTGACACAGCGCAAAGGATACAGGCCTGGGGCAGAAACAACAGGCAGAGAGTGACAAGGGCTGAAAAGAGGGGCAGCTCCTGGAGGAACCTGGCTTCCATCTGGACAGACCAGGGAAGGCTTCCTGGAGGCGGTGTCTGGTGAATATGGAAGAAGCAGGGGAAGATATTGGAGCTGAAGAAACTGGCTATCTTCAAGGAGTCTCACCTCTGAGCTCCTCCTGGCCTTGCCCCACCACTGCTGTGGGGGCATTTAGGTACCCCAGGCCCAACACAGTGGCCATGGGAGCTGGAAGAGGCCTGGGGCCGACATGGGGATGTGTGCGTGTCTCCTAGCTAATGACTCTCGTGGCCCCCAACCCACTTACTCCCTGATTCCACAGGATTATTCCAACTGGCAGGTTCCTAAGCATTTCTTTTTTTTTTTTTTTTCTTTTCTTTTCTTTTCTTTTTTTTTTTTTTTTGAGACGGAGTCTCGCCCTGTAGCCCAGGCTGAAGTGCAATGGCTCGATCTTGGCTCACTGCAACCTCCGCCTTCCCAGTACAAGCGATTCTCCTGCCTCAGCCTCCCTAGTAGCTGGGATTACAGGCGCCTACCACCATGCCCGGCTAAACTTTTTTTGTATTTTTAGTAGAGACAGGGTTTCACCGTGTTGGCCAGGCTGGTCTTGAACTCCTGACCTCGTGATCCGCCCGCCTTGGCCTCTCAAAGTGCTGGGATTACAGGCGTGAGCCACCGCCCGGTGGTTCCTAAGCATTTCTAACAACCTCATTTAGACAATCACGGCACTTTTCTTTTTTTATCTATTTATTTATTTTTTTATTTATTGAGACAGCGTCTCGCTCTGTTGCCGAGGCTGGGGTGCAATGGCGCGATCTCGGCTCACTGCAGCTTCAGCCTCTGGAGTTCAAGTGATTCTCCCGCCTCAGCCTCCCAAGTAGCTGGGACTACAGGTGCCCACCACCACGCCCAGCTAATTTTTGTGGGGTTTTTTTTAGGTATGGGGTTTCACCATGCTAGCCAGGCTGGTCTCGAACTCCTGACCTCAGGTGATCTGCCCGCCTCGGCCTGCCAGTGTGCTGGGTTTACAGACATGAGGCACCGCGCCCGGTCCGGTATTTTAGATCAGATGCAGGCCATGCAGACAGCAAGCTGGCCAGGGCATCACCTCCTGTCCAGTGTAATGAACAGACATCAGCAGAGGAGAAGTTGGGAGGTGGTCTCCAAACTCCTGGATGTTGAAAAAACCATAAGCAACGGCCAGAAGGAAGTGCACTTGCCAAGTGTTTGGGATCGAGATGGGGGTAGGGGTGTCCCTCCAAAGAGAAAGGCAGCTATGAGCCTTGTAGCCCAGAGAGGAGGAGAGACCACAGCAAGTACAGATGTCCTGCTCAACTTGCCCCCCCTCCCGGCAATCCCCGCTTCAACCCTGGAAAGGCTAGGAAGGGTGGCGAGAGAGGCGGGGACGTTGCAATAGCAGAGAAGGCACGCATGCCCCAGCCTACTCCAAACAGCCACAATAGCAGGCCCCAAATGCAGAAGGGGCAGGTTCAATCCTGAACCAAGTTTGGAGTTTTGCTTATTCCATAGAACAAGACAGCTAATTGATGCATCATAGCTTATGACTTCAACTGACTGTCAAATGGTTATGGGAATGTCCAGTTTCCACTCAAGGGTAAGGGTAGAACACTGCCCCTACCCACTGTGCCTGAATACATTTTAAAGGGAGCACAGGAAACCATAACAAAGGTGTTTTTTTTTTTTTTTTTAAGGCAGGGACTCCCTCTATCACCCAGGTTGGAGTGCAGTGATGTGAACAACATGGCTCACTGCAGCCTCCACCTTCTGAGCTCAAGTGATCCTCCTGCCTCAGCCTCCAGATTAGCTAGGACCACAGGTATGTGCAACCATGCCTGGCTAATTTTTTTATTTTTATTTTTTAATATTATTTTTATTATTATTTTTGAGACAGAGTTTCCCTCTGTCACTCAGGCTGGAGTGTAGTGGTGCAATCTCAGCTCACTGTAACCTCCACCTCCCAGGTTCAAGTGATTCTCCTGCCTCAGCCTCCAGAATAGCTGGTATTACAGGCATGCGCCACCATGCCCAGCCAATTTTTGTATTTTTAGTAGAGACGGGGTTTCACCAGGTTGGCCAGGCTGGTCTCGAACTCCTGACCTTCAGGTGATCCACCCACCTCGGCCTCCCAAAGTGCTGGGATTACAGGTGTGAGCCACCGCACCCGGCCATGGCTAATTTTTATATATTTTGTAGAGACAGGATCTCATCATGTTGCCCAGGCTGGTCTCAAACTCCCAAGCTCAAGTAATCCTCCCACCTTGGCCTCCCAAAGTGCTGGGAGTATAGATGTGGGCCAATGTGCCCAGCCCTGTGCTCAGCTTTAAATCAAGAGTCCTAACGCCCACCTTGTGATGGCTGGGAGGATGCAGAAGGTCGAGGCTGTGGACACACAGTCCCCAGGTCAGCCAGTGCCAGGGATCCCCGCGAACTCCAGCCAAGGCACCTCTTGCGGCCTCCCCCTCCCCAGCCGACCTTCCCGGGATGGGCTATGCCTCGCGCCCCCAATCTGGAAAGCATTGAGGCCGAATGGCTCCATTTCAAGTACAATTATTACAAACCCTTCAGGGAACGTGAGCTCCAAAATGAAATCTCTTTGTCAAAACTTTCATTAATGCACAGTTTTGTGCGGGGATCGGCTTACATGCCGTGCCTGAGAGCGCTCGATGAAGACCAGATTCTCAGGGGTGCCGCGCGCGGTGGGGAGCCAGCACCAAGCCTCCCTCGCCTTTGCAAACCCTGGGGAAATCCTCTCCAGCCTGCGTCTCCCAACAACAATAGCCTTTGACTTGGGAAAACATCCTGTTGAATTTCACCAAAGCCTGCAACATACATGTCTAGAAGAACATCTCACTGCTTGCTTGTTTCAAAGACCTTCTCCAAATGAAAAGCAACATCACGAAATAAATCCAGAGTGTGCAGAGTGGAGACTCCACTACATGCATCCACAGCCTTGGTGTCGCCGGCAGGGTCACTGTTTCTCATGCAAAGAAAGGCAAACAAACGCTTAGAGGCATCGGACACTTACTCAAGGCTCACCAAGGTGCTCAGAGCCAGTGTGAGAAACCGGGGCTCCCAATTCTTGCGCAGTGCTCATGCCACACTCTGCGGGCTGTGCACACCTGGGTCTCCTCTCTCTATCATTCTGGTGTAACTCTGAGGTCCCCAAAGGCAGGATGTTGGGTGTCCAGGGGGAGCCCCGAGGAACTGAGCACTAGGGGCAGCCTTGGCTTTACTTTTTCTGTGTTACATGAAACTGATAAGAAAGAGGTCATTGGTTTGGACTGAACTCCTGCCCTAGGCTCCAACAGACCAAACCAAAATGGAGTCACTCATGCTAAGATTCACATCACCAAAAAGAAACTAAGATCCTTATCCGACCTGCTGAGAAATCCGGGGAGAGAGACAATAGCCAAACTGGCCAGTTTTAGCCTGCATGATGAAGAAGCCATCCTCTGCTTCAACCTTTACAAGAAAAGTAACTTTGAAATGACCAATTGGCTTTTTGTTCTCTGTGTTAGCTTTTCTCAGTCCTTTTCTGCCTTCAAAAGCCAACCTCCACTACTTGGCTCATTGCAACACTCATGAATATAGGGTCTCGCTCTGTTGCCCAGGCTAGAGCGCGGTGGTGCAATCAAAGCTCCCTGAAGCTTCAAACATCTGGGCTCAAGTGCTCCTCCTGCCTCAGCCTCCCAAGTAGCTGGGATTACAGGTGCATGACACCACACCTAGCAAATTTTTAAAAAATGTTTTTGTAAGATGGGGCCTAGCTATGTTGCCCAAGCTGGTCTTGAACTTCTTGGCTCAAGTGATCCTTCCACCTTGGGCTGCCAAAGTGCTGGGATTACAGATGTGAGCCACTGCGCCTGGCCTTTTATTTATTTATTTTTTTTCTGAGGCAGGGTCTTGCTCTGTTGCCGAGGCTGGGGTGTAATCGTGCAATGACAGCTCACTGCAGCCTCAGCCTCCTGAGCTCAAGTAATCTTCCCACCTCAGCCTCCTGAGTAGCTGGGACTACAGGCATGCACCACCACACCTGGCCAATTTTTTGTATTTTTTGTAGAGACGGGATTTTGCTATGTTGCCGAGGCTGGTCTCGAACTCCTGGGCTCAAGGAATCTACCCTTCTTGACCTTCCAAAGTGCTGGGATTGCAGGCATGAGCCACTGCATGTGGCCAGGGTTAAATACCTTTAAGAGGCTCAGCCCAGCGCCTGGGTTTCAAGGTGCTCAGTACATGTTAGTCAAAATAGGGTGAACTTGACACAGGAGGAGCCTCCCGCTCCCTGGGTCACATGTCATGTTTCCAGAACTATTTCTGTTTGTGTTTTTTGAGATGGAGTTTTGCTCTTGTCCACCAGGATGGAGTGTAATGGCCTGATCTTGGCTCACTGCAACCTCTGCCTCCCGGGTTCAGGTGATTCTCCTGCCTCAGCCTCCCAAGTAGCTGGGACTACAGGCACACACCACTGCACCCAGCTAATTTTTGTATTTTTAGTAGAGACGGAGTTTCACCATGTTGGCCAGGCTGGTCTCGAACTCCTGACCTCAAGTGATCTGCCCGCCTCGGCCTCCCAAAATGCTGGGATTACAGGCGTGAGCCATTGGGCCTGGACTTTATTCTTCTACTTTCTTAATAAACTTACTTTCGCTTTACAGACTCACCCTGAATTCTTTTTTTTTTTTTTCTTTGAGACAGGGTCTCACTGTGTTGCCCAGGTTGAATGGCACTATCTCGGCTCACTGCAACCTCCACCTCCCAGGTTCAAGTGATCCTCCTGCCTCAGCCTCCTGAGTAGCTGGGATTACAGGCACGCGCCATCACGCCTGGGAATTTTTTGTATTTTTGGTAGAGATGGGTTTTTGCCATGTTGGCCAGCCTGGTGTCAAACTCCAGGGCTCAAGTGATCCATCCGCCTTGGCCTCCCAATTACAGGGGTGAGCCACCGCCCCTGTCCAAGAACCCTCTCTTGGGGTCTAGATCTGCACCCCTTTCCTGTGGAGTTTGAAGACCCCACAGAGGAAGAGGATGAGCGTAGAACACAGCTTCTTCCCCTCTCAGTCCCAGGACCTCGCCCTGCACTCTTCCACCCATCAACCATCTCCACACTTCAGCCCACTCCAAAACCCCCAAACCCCAGCCCCAAACTCCTCAGGGAGATAGATTTGAGGTTTCCTCCCATCTCCTCATTTAGTGACGCTATGATTAAACCTTTTTCTCTGCTGCAATCCGGTGTCTTGGTAAATTGACCTGCTGTGTGCATTGGGCAATGAACCTATTCAGTTACCCGGGCATTAACCCCATGGCCCTGGCCACAGCCGACTGGTCCAGGAATCAGCTGCCTTTAGACTCTGACCAGTAGGAGTTCTCCACTCTGGATGGAAGCAGATGGTCTTGGGAAATGCAACATCCGGTTTGCCAGGAGACGTGGGCTGCTGGGAACTGGGCCATGCCTAGTCATGCTAAGCCGCCTTTTTTATTTTTTTCCCTGAGACAGGGTCTCGCTTTGCTGCCTAGGCTGGAGTGCAGTGTTGTAATCATGGTTCACTGCAGCCTCAATCTCCTGGGCTCAAGTGATCCTCTTGCCTCAGCCTCCCAAGTGGCTGGTACCGCAGGCCTGGCTAATTTTTTTTATTTTTTGTAGAGACAGGGTCTTACTATGTTGCCCAAGCTGGTCTCAAATTCCTGGGTTCGTGTGATCATCCCGCCTCGGCCTCCCAAAGTGCTGGGCTTACAGGTGTGAGCCACTGCGCCCGGCCTTGAGCCACGTTTCTGGTTATGTGTGAGGACTTTGAAGGCCCTAGGCACAGAGTGACCAGATGCCAGATGTGGTGGCAAAAATACCCTACGCTGGCCGGGCGCGGTGGCTCATGCCTGTAATCCCAGCACTTTGGGAGGCCGAGGTGGGCGGATCACAAGGTCAGGAGATTGAGACCATTCTGGCTAACATGGTGAAACCCCGTCTCAACTAAAAATAAAAAAATAAAAAATAAAAATAGCCTGGCATGGTGGTGGGTGCCTGTAGTCCTAGCTACTCGGGAGGCCGAGGCAGGAGAATGGCGTGAACCTGGGAGGCGGAGCTTGCAGTAAGCCGAGATCATGCCACTGCACTCCAGCCTGGGCGACAGAGCGAGACTCCATCTTAAAAAAAAAAAAAAATTCCCCAGGCTGCCCATACGTAGCCCCTGCCTGTGCCCATGCACCAAATCCCCCCGCCAGAGGTGCCCTGGAAGCTTGAATTGCTCGACAGCTTCTCTTGGAAAGAGAGGGAAATCAAGTCAACATGTTTTGGAAAGCTCTGACTACCAGGGTCTCCAGCACCTGTTCTGCCGGACATCCTGGCTGCCTCAGGCAGATAAAGCTCTAGCCCTGTGTGTTGGGTTCCAGCTGGGACTGATGGCTCCTCTACCTGAGGTGGGAGGGGGGCACCGATCCCCCTGATCTCCTGACATTCTCAGCAGATAACGTAATGCCTCTTTAAGACAACACTCAGGATCTTTTTCTCCAGGCCAGAATAATATCAGGTCAATTACTTTCTTAAACCGCAGCAGCTCCTTCAGGCTGCCTTTCGCCAGGGGGAGGGTTTGGAAGCCACGGGGAAGGAAGCCCAGGGCTGAGATGAAGGCAGCCCCTCTCCCCATAGAGGAGATGAATCACGACCAACTCTAGGCAGCACACATTCAGACACTGATTCAGAGAGAGGGTCTCGCTTCCAACCTGCAGTGTACGCTCTGGGCAGCCTGTGCTCCCAGCCATGGCGCCGGGACCAAGCCAAGTCACGTTCATACCATTAAACAAGTGCAGCTGGAAGAGCTGGGACTGGAGGAGGAGCGGGCTGGGCCCCCTGCTGTGGCTTCCTTGACTTAATTCACTCTCTCACCCATTCACCAAACCTGCATGATTGGCTGTAGTCAGCTTGTCTGCAATGTGCAAACCTGGCTGGAAATGCAGACGAAACTCAATCCTGCCCCTCAAGGGGCTCTGAGTCTGTAACCTAGGCTCTTAGCCAGGGTCCAAGGATAGAAATCAGGGATGGGTGAACTTTGATAGGAAATAGAACTACGCCTTTACTTTCACCAAACTGCGATTTAGCATCTCTTCCTATTATGAATGTAGTAACAACAACATCAACAATGCAATAGACAGCCAGGCGCAGTGGCTCACATCTGTAATCCCTGCATTCTGGGAGACTATGGCCAGCAGATCACTTGAGGTCAGGAGTTCGAGACCAGCCTGGTCAACATGGTGAAACCCTATCCCTACTAAAAATACAAAAATTAGCCGGGCATGGTGGCAAGTGCCTGGAATCCCAGCTACTCGGGAGGCTGAGGAAGGAGAATTGCTTGAAGCCAGACAGCGGAGTTTGCAGTGAGCTAACACCACTGCACTCCAGCCTGGGCAACAGAGAGACTCTGTCTCAAACAAAACAAAACAAAACAAAACGACAATGCAATAGAAGTAGAAGTACCTGTGTCTTCGTTCCCAATCGAATTCACACAATTATTGCCACTGTCTTGAAATACCTTTCCCGCTCATTTCTACTCCAACATTCTGAAAGTTGTCAGCCTTACTGTGGGATCTTGCTGTTTGCGTTAGGAAAGAAACACACTCATCATTCTGTATTTTTTTTTTTTTTTTGAGACAGAGTCTCGCTCTGTTGCCCAGGCTGGAGTGCAGAGGCACGATCTCAGCTCACTACAAGCTCCACCTCCCGGGTTCCCGCCATTCTCCTGCCTCAGCCTCCCAAGTAGCTGGGACTACAGACGCCCGCCACCACGCCCGGCTAATTTTTTTTTTTTTTTTTTTTTTTTTTAGTAGAGATGGGGTTTCACTGTGTTAGCCAGGATGGTCTCAATCTCCTGACCTCGTGATCCTCCACCTTGGCCTCCCAAAGTGCCAGGATTACAGGCGTGAGCTACCGCGCCCGGCCATAATTTGATTTTTTAAAACAAAATTCCGATGCACTGTATTTCATGGTCATTGATAATCCTCATAGCTCATTTTATGCACTTAAAAATACCGTTCTGAGTAAGAGTCTACAGGATTCAGCAGACGGCCAAAGAGGTCCACAAGCGAAGAGCCCTGGCCAAGGTGACAGCTGTTCTCACCTAGTGTGGTGAGGACTTGAACTAATGGCAAAAGCCAGCTCTGCAGGAACCCAGTAGTCAGGAGGGCTTCATGGAGGCGGGGACTTCTGAGCTGAGCCTTTGCAGATGGACTAGAGCCTGCCAGGCAAACACTGAAGGGGTAAGGGTGGAGTACTGGGGCCTAAGCATGGAGGAAGGAGGGAAGAGTGGCCAGTCTGATAGAGTGGGCGGGGTGGGGAGGGAGGCAAGGGCAGGGGGAAGGGGGTGGGCAGCCTGGTCCGTCCTAGCTTCTTGCAGTGAGATGGGGAAAGACACACTTTGGCTTGAGACAGATCCTGGCTCTGACATTTCCCGGCTGAATGTCCCTGAATAAAGTAACCTCTCTTCCCCATTCTTATTCTCCTCTGTGAAAGGGGAATGATGATTTCCATCTTGTTTGAGGACTAAATCTGACAATGGGCCAGGTGTGGTGGCTCACACTTCTAATCCCAGCACTCCAGGAGGCCAAAGTGAAGGATCACTTGAGCCCAGGAGTTTGAGACCAGCCTGGGCAACACAGCAAGACCCCTATCAAAAATTAGCTGGGCGTGGTGGTGCACGCCTGTAGCTCTAGCTACTTTGGAGGCTGAGATGGGAGGACCACTTGAGCCCAGGAGCTGGAAGCTGCAGTGAGCTGTAATCACACCACTGCACTCCAGCCTGGGCAACAGAACAAGACCCCATCTCTATTTTTATTATTTATTTATTTATTTATTTATTTATTTATTTATTTATTTATTTATTTTTTGAGACAGAGTCTTGCTCTGTTGCCCGGGCTGGAGTGCAGTGGCATGATCTCAGCTCACTGCAACCTCCACCTCCGGGATTCAAGCAATTCTTCTGCCTCAGCCTCCTGAGTAGCTGAGATTACAGGCGCCCACCACCACACCCAGCTAATTTTTGTATTTTTAGTAGAGATGGGGTTTCTCCGTGTTGGCCAGGCTGATCTTGAACTCCTGACCTCAGGTGATCCTCCTGCCTCAGTCTCCCAAAGTGCTGAGATTACAGGCATGAGCCACCGCGCCCGGCCTGCAACTCTATTTTAAAAAATAATAAATAATTGTTTTAAAGTAAAATAATAATTTTGACAGTAGTTGATGGCCATGGTTTGCCCACCACACCTCATACCTAGAGGCTCCCCAAGAAACAGTGGCAAATCCTCATCATGTTCCGTGTGATTTTTGCTATTATTTTTATCTATTGCTTTTTCTTAAGGGAAAATAACAGTAGTTTTCCGTCAAGATTCTACTGTCTGGACAAGAGGAAAGAGCAGGAAATGTCACTTCCAAGAGGATTCAGTTCTCACCCTCTTAAATTCAACATCCAGGCTTACCAGCGGCTTCCTCTGGCCCCCACTGTCTTGGCCTCCAGGTGAGCACCCTGCCCTCATCATTCCATCCCAGCAGGATTTTCCCCAGAGGACCCCAGCCTGTCCACCCATCCTGTTGTACCAAAGTTCCCACACCTCAGAGGGGACATGCATCCCAAATGCCAGGTCCTCCAACTATCAGAAGAATGTGAACCAGAGCAAGTCCATCTTAAATAGGAGCTAGGCAAAATGAGGCTGAGATCTACTGCGTGCATTCCCAGATGGTTAAAGCATTCTAAGTCACAGGATGAGATAGGAGGTCAGCACAAGATACAGGTCATAAAAACCTTGCTGATAAAACAGTTTGCAGTAAAGAAACCGGCCAAAACCCACCAAAACCAAGATGGCGATGAGAGTGACCTCTGGTCGTCCTCACCGCTACACTCCCACCAGCACCATGACAGTTTACAAATGCCATGGCAACACCAGGAAGTTACCCTATATGGTCTAAAAAGGGGAGGCATGAATAATCCACCCCTTGTTTAGCATATCATCAAGAAATAACCATAAAAATGGGCAACCAGCACCCCTCAGGGCTGCTCTGTCTATGGAGTAGCCCTTCTTTTATTCCTGTACTTTCTTCATAAACTTGCTTTTGCTTTGCACTGTGGACTTGCCCTCAATTCTTTCTTGTGTGAGATCCAAGAACCCTCTCTTGGGGTCTCTATTGGGACCCCTTTCTTGTAACACAACCACACATTTGGGATGGCCACCAATGGTGTGCTGGTAAGTGTTTAACAACCAGCTCTCTGTAGTGTCTGTCAATTTCCATGGTGTAAATACTCCCAGCATGGCCAATTTCAAGCCACCAATACGACACCCCTGCACGGGAGTTGGGAGGCAATACACAAAACCAGCTCTCGTGATCTAGTTGAAGGTGGCTTCAAACACAGCTGACCATGCCGTGCAGGGGGGAGCATGCACAATCATCCCCATTTTTCAGGTGAGAAAATTGAGGCTCACAGGGCTTAAGGTAATAGTGCTTTTTTTTTTTGCCTCACACATTCAAGCAATGTTTGTGCCTCAGCCTCCTGAGTAGCTGGGAATACAGGCATGTGCCACTATGCCCAGCTAATTTTTTTTTTTTTTTTTGAGACAGAGCCATTCTCTGTCCCTAGGCTGGAGTGCAGTGGCGTGATCTCAGCTCACTGCAACCTCACGTAATTCTCCTGTCTCAGCCTCCTGAGTAGCTGGGATTACAGGTGCCCACCACCATGCCTGGCTAATTTTTGTATTTTTAGTAGAGACAGCGTTTCACCATGTTGTCCAGGCTGGTCTCGAACTCCTGACCTCAGGTGGTCCGCCCACCTTGGCCTCCCAAAGTGCTGGCATTACAGGCATGAGCCATGGTCCATAGTGCCCGACCTTTTTTTTTGAGATAGAGTCTCACTGTGTTACCCAGGCTGGAGTGCAATGGTGCAATCTCCGCTCACTGTTATCTCCACCTCCTGGGTTCGAGTGATTCTTGTGCCTCAGCCTCTCGAGTAGGTGGGATTACAGGCTTGTGCCACCATACCCAGCTAATTTTTGTAGTTTTAGTAGAGATGAGTTTCACCATGTTGGTCAGGCTGGTCTCGAACTCCCGACTTCAGGTGATCCTCCCACCTTGGCCTCCCAAAGTGCTGGGATTACAGGTGTGAGCCACTGTGCCTGGCCTGCCTCTCTGCTTTATCATGGGCCGCCCATAAAAATGGACTGTTGGCCGGGCACAATGCTCATTCCTGTAATCCCAGCACTTTGGGAGGCCCTGGTGGTAGGATCGCTTGAGCTCAGGAGTTTGAGGCCAACTTGGGCAACATAGCCAGACTGAGACTTTGTCTCTACTTAAAAATTTTAAAAAGGCCCGGCACGGTGGCTCACACCTGTAATTCCAGCACTTTGGGAGTCCGAGGCGGGCAGATCACGAGGTCAGGAGTTCGAGACCAGCCTGGCCAATATGGTGAAACCCCATCTCTACTGAAAAATACAAAAATTACCCATGTGTGGTGGCAGGTGCCTGTAGTCCCAGCTACTTGAGAGGCTGAGACAGTAGAATCACTGGAACCTGGGAGGCGGAGGTTGCAGTGAGCCGAGATCGGGCCATTGCACTCCAGCCTGGGCAATAGTGCAAGTCTCCATCAGAAAGAAAGAAAGAAAGAAAGAGAGAGAGAGAGACAAGAAAGAAAGAAAGAAAGAAAGAAAGAAAGAAAGAAAGAAAGAAAGAAAGAAAGAAAGAAAGAAAGAAAGAAAGAAAGAAAGAAAGAAAGAAAGAAAGAAAGAAAGAAAGAAAGAAAGAAAGAAAGAAAGAAAGAAAGAAAGAAAGAAAGAAAGAAAGAAAGAGAGACAAGAAAGAAAGAGAGAAAGAGAGAGAGAAAGAAAGAATGAAAGAAAGAAAGACAGAAAGAAAGAAAGAAAGGAAGGAAGGAAGGAAGGAAGAAAGAAAGAAAGAAAGAAAGAAAGAAAGAAAGAAAGAAAGAAAGAAAGAAAGAAAGAAAAAGAAAGAAAATAGCCGAGTGTGGTGGTGCATACCTCCAGCTACTTAGGAGGCTGAGGAAGGAGGATCTCTTGAGCCCAGGAGTTCAAAGCTGAGGTGAGCTATGAATTGTTTCTTGTGTGAAATCCAAGAATCCTCTCTTGGCGTCTGGATCAGGACCCTGTTCCTGTAACATGAGCCAGTTGGAGAGAGGCTCTCAGGTCTCTTGCAGCTCTGGTCAGGCTGAGCACAGAATCACTGTCATTTGCTCTTAGGGTGACAGAGGATGGAATATATCTGGCACCTCTTTCCCTAGCTGGACTCCACATATTCTAACTTCATGTGGGACAGTGCCTTTGGCTGAGGAATCTCAGGGGTTAAACCACAGCTCCTCCAATCCCACAGACTAAAGTCCTGTTGTTAAAGGACTGATTCCCACAAGAGGAAAAAAAAAATCACGGCTCTCATACAAGTAGAAAATGAACATGTGTCAAAGATTTTATTTAACACATTAATCAAAGAGGGAACAAAGCAGACAGATGCCATGGGCGGTTCAAAGGCAAATTCGTAGAAGCACGGAATCTTGCAGGCAAACACGGAATGCTGCTGTGAATTTACAAATAGACGCAAAACAGGTTTGTCCCCAGGGCAATATCCAATTGCATTCCACCGGACACAATTAACTTACAGGAACGTGGACAAAAATCCATTCTCATGATTACTGCACAACTTTACAGAGCTGTAAACTGGCTCAAAGACAATAAAAGGTACAACTAACCTGGAAGAGTGCGCTAGACAGGACACACACAATAAACTTTTTTTCCTCCTTTAAAAGTCTGCAATTTAATTGGGACAATGAAAAAGTTCTGAAGATGGACAGTGGAGATGGCTGGACGACAGTGTGACGGTACCTAACACGGCTGAATTGAACGCTTAAAACTGGTTAAAGTTCGGGCGCGGTGGCTTACGCCTGTAATCCTAGCGCTTTGGGAGGCCGAGGAGGGAGGATCACCTGAGGTCAGGGGTTCGAGACCAGCCTGGCTAACATGGTGAAACCCTGTCTCTACTGAAAATACAAAAAATAGCCGGGCGTGGTGGCGGGCACCTATAATCCCAGCTACTCAGGAGGCTGAGGCAGGAGAATCACTTGAACCCAGGAAGCAGAGACTGCAGTGAGCTGAGATTGCGCCACTGCACTCCAGCCTGGGTGACAGAGTTAGACTCTGGAAAAAAAAAATGTGTGTGTATATATATATATATATATATATATATATTAAATAAAATTAAAAACGGATTAAAATGTTAAAATGTATTTTATGTATATTTAATTACTTTTTTTTTTTGAGACAGAGTCTCACTCTGTCACCAAGGCTGGAGTGTAGTGGCGCGATCTTAGCTCACTGCAACCTCTGCCTCCAGGGTTCAAGCGATTCTTGTGCCTCAGCCTCCCAGTAGCTAGGATTACAGGCACCCGCCACCACATCTGCCTAATTTTTGTTTTGTTTTTTTTTCAGTAGAGATGGGGGTTTCACCATGTTGGCCAGGGTGGTCTTGAACTACTGACCTCACGTGATCTGCCTGCCTTGACCTTCCAAAGTCCTGGGATTATAGGCGTGAGCCACTGCGCCCAGCCTAATCACAATTTTTTTAAAGCCTTCAATGTAAAAGACACTGTAGTAGTTTGAGACCAGCCTGGGCAATATAGTGAGACCCCATCTCTATAACAAAATAAAAAACGATACTGTGATAGCCGGTGGGTGCAGGGTGGGTTCACTTTGTGGTCTGGAAAATCAGTGTTGTGGTGGGGGCCAAACCTGCCCCTGAAGGTGATCTTTTCTGCTCAGAGCCCCTCCAGCCCCAGTGACAGGGCGTGGGCTTATCTTACGGGCAGGGTGGCCAACCACAGGGCTGGCTGGAGGACTGGAGGCCCTGGGGACACAGTGGTGGCCAGAGTGGCCGAGGGTCTCAGGTTTGCACAGGAGCGCGGCATCTCAGAGGTGGGAGGAGAGTCCTGGACCCTGCCCTCCACAGCCCCAGCTTCATGGATGGTTTGAGTCCTTCTCTTGAGAGAGATGGGGCCCCTCGAGTGTGCCCTAGAAGGAGCCAAGATGGCAGGGAGGGCACCGAGAGCCATGTCGTGAGAGAGGGGGTTGAAAGAACCCGAGGAAACTGGTTGAAGGCCTGGTAGCAGGCAGAGGAGGCATGCTGGCTGGGGAGCCCTTGGTGCTGACACGGGGTGATGGGGTGCAGGCTATGGAATCCAAGCCTCAGCAAGAGACAGTGACTCTCCAGGGCCATGCCATGAGCAAAGGGTAAAGCTGGGTATCTTAGTCCCGGCCTGGTTAGCCCCAAGGGCAGTCTCTGGCTCACAACACCCTGCCCTCCTCCCCAGGCCTGCTGGGATACTCAGGGTCAAGGTCCTTTTCTCCAGGACCTCGCAAACTGGTGTCCAGTGTCTGTGACCAGCCCCAGAAACACTGGTGCTGCCGGTTCCTGGGTTTCTAGAATATCTGTGCCCCCTCCTCCCCGCCCTGCATCTTCCCAGCTTCCCTGTCTGTCTCCACCAGCACCCCTGGCCTCTCCTCCCACGCCTGCCTGGAATTCCCTTAATTGGGAGCTGTCGGCCCAGGCTCCCTTCCTCCCCCTCCAGCCCTGGGACTGTGCCCGGGTTCCCGGTGCCTGTCTGATGACCATGGGGGCAAACACAGGGCCACGGCCTCCCTGGAGATTTGCCCGAAGGCTTTAGAATTCATCGTACAGGGTCTGATTCCAAAGGAACATAAATTCCATCCTGGAATCCATTACGTTTCTGATCCGCTGGGCAGGAGGAAACGTGGTCCATAGCAAAATAAAAGACATCCTGGAACCCATTACGGACTCTGATAGAAGACAAAGGCAGGGAGAAAGGACATTATGGGATCGACGTGCCTAATAAAAGGCGTGTTGGCATCTCCGTTCCACCGGGATGTGGATTAACAACAGATGTACTACACTAATGTCGATTTGTATGCTAATTTAAAACAACTGCATGGCCTTTGCAGGCAGGAATTCTATAAATGCGCCCGGTCCTCTTCCCTGCAGCTGCTGACGGCAGGGCCAGGGCGGGCGGGTGAGGGCTGTCTCCAGCCCTTCCCGCCACCGCAAAGCTGCCTGTGCAGGGACCTGCCTGTGCAAGTCTGACCTGGAGCCCCCACTGTCCTCAATGTCTCTGCTGAGGCTGGCCTGTGAACCCCAAGACCGGGCTTCAGAGCTCCCTATGGGGTATGACACGGACAGCCTCAGGCTGTGGGGTTGGGGGGGACGTGGAATGAACAGTTGAGCTTAGTCCCCTTGTGAAACTGAAGATCGCTGTCTGTTCCCTTCCCAAGGGTCAACTATGCCCAGAGGGTGAAGACGGATCCGAAAATCCCAGAAAATCCCAGAGAATCTGAGACTACTTTTTTTTTTTTTTTAGAGACAGTCTCACTCTGTCACCCAGGCTGGAGTGCAGTGCTGCAATCTTGGCTCACTGCAACCTCTGCCTCTCAGGTTCAAGTGATTCTCGTGCCTCAGCCTCCTGAGTAGCTGGGACTACAGGTGCCCGTCACCGTGCCCAGCTAATTTTTCTATTTTCAATAGAGACGCGGTTTCACCATGTTGTCCAGGCTGGTCTCAAACTTCTGACCTCAAGTGATCCACCTGCCTCGGCCTCCCAAAGTGCTGAGAATACAGATGTGAGCCATCGTGCCCGGGCTCCGCTGAGATCACTTTACACCCCACACCACTATCAGAGGTTGAGAGACAGGATGGGACAATCCCAAGGTCACATGGCTGCCGCGGCTGGGCCTCGGCTCATCTCAGCCCTCTGCCTCCCACTGCTCCCACCCCCAACACCTGTAGCCCCAGCACATACAGGTTTTTGCCAGAACTGTCCATCTGTCTCACCAAAGAGCCTTTCCTGAGGGCTCTTCAGGGCCAGACCCTGTCCAGGGCACTGGGGATGCAGAGATCAGATGACGGCAGGTAAACAAAGGCAGCCATAGGCAGGGGAGTTGGAGTTGGGTGGCAAGACCTGTAACAGAGGCCAGAACAAGCTACTGGGGGCACAGAGAAGGAAGCGACTATGAGGATCACACCCTTTCTGGTCCATTAGCTCACAAGCGTGTGTCCCAGGGGAGTCTTGGTTGCCCCTGCAGCATCATAGCCTATGACGAAAAAGACCCAAACTCATACTTGTCACTCAGCGTTCATGCCTGACGTCAAAATGTGTCTCCAAAGATGCATGTGTCTGGCCTGATGTGAAAGTCCTCTGGGAGCACCTCACGCAGGTGAGCTGGAACCTGACTGCTCCCAGGGCTCAGGCAGGTGAGGCAGCATCACCTCTCAGCACCGGCGTGTGCAGAGCTGACCTCTGGCCTTCTCTCTCCTTCCTCCATGTATGCTTCTCTTTTTTTCTGACTCTTTCTCTCCCCCGGTAGAAATATATGATGTGAGGCCGGGCATGGTGGCTTACGCCTGTAATCCCAACACTTTGGGAAGCTGAGGCAGGTGGATCACTTGAGGCCAGGAGTTCGAGACCAGCCTGGCCAATATAGTGAAACCCCGTCTCTACTAATAACACAAAAATTTGCCAGGCTTGGTGGCGCATGCCTGTAATCCCAGCTACTTCAGAGACTGAGGCAGAATCATCTGAACCCAGGAGGCAGAGGTTGCAGTGAGCCGAGATTGTGCCACTGCACTCCAGCCTGGGTAACAAGAGCAAAACTCTGTCTCAAAAAAATTAATTAATTAATTAATTAATTAAAAATACAAAAATTAGCCAGGCATGGTGGCACATACCTGTAATCCTAGCTACTCGGGAGGCTGAGGCAGGAGAATCACTTGAGCCCAGGTGACGGTTGTAGTGAGCCGAGACTGTGCCACTGTACTCTAGCCTGGGTGACAGAGCAAGACTCCATCTAAAAATAATAATAAAGGGCCCAGCATGGTGGCTCACACCTGTAATTCCAGCACTTTGGGAGGCTGAGGTGGGCAGATCACGAGGTCAGGAGTTCGAGACCAGCCTGACCAACATGGTGAAACCCTGTCTCCACTAAAAATACAAAAATTAGCCGGGTGTGGTGGTGGGCACCTGTAATCCCAGCAACTCAGGAGGCTGAGGCAGGAGAATCGCTGGAACCTGGGAGGCAGAGGTTGCAGTGAGCCAAGATCACGCCACTGCATTCCAGCCTGGGCGACACAGGGAGACTCTGCCTCAAAAATAATAATAATAATAAAATAAGAAGTATAGGATGTGGAGTGAAATTTTGGCACAGCTACTAATTCATTTCTTCAGCATGGCATCTTGCATAAGTTCCTTAATGTCTCTGAGACACAGTTTGTTTCTCCATCAGCAAAGCTACCTCACAGCATTGCTGAGAGTCTAAAGAGAATGTAAGACCTGAACCAGGCACAGTGTGAATGCTTAGAAAGTGTAAATAAAAGCTAATTTCTAGTGCCAGGTGCAGTAGCTCACATTTGTAACCTCAGCACCTCGGGAGGTTGAGGTGGGAGGCTCACTCAAGGCCAGGAGTTCAAGGCCAGCCTGGGCAACACAGCGAGACCTTGTCTACACACACACACACACACACACACACACACACACACACACACACTTTAAAAAGTTAGCTGGGGCCAGGTGCAGTGGCTCATGCCTGTAATCCCAGCACTTTGGGAGGCCGAAGTGGGCAGATCCCAAGGTCAGGAGTTTGAGCCCAGCCTGGCCAACATAGTGAAACCTCTTCTCTACTAAACATACAAAAATTTAGCCAGGAGTGGTGGTGTGTGCCTGTAATCCCAGCTACTCGGGAGGCTGAGGCAGGAGAACCACTTGAACCCGGGAGGTGGAGGTTGCAGTGAGCTGAGATCGCGCCATTGCACTCCAGCAGCCTGGGCGACAATGAGAGACACTGTCTCAAAAAAAAAACAAAGTTAGCTGGACATGGTGGCATGCATCTGTAGTCCCACCTACTTAGGAGGCTGAGGCAGGAGGATGGCTTGAACCCAGGAGTTCAAGGCTGCAATGAGCTATGATCACGCCACTCCACTATAGGCTTGGCCACAGAGCAAGACCCTGTCTCTTTAAAAAAATAATAAAATTAAATTAAAAAGGCTGGGCACAGTGGCTCATGCCTGTAATCCCAGCACTTTGGGAGGCTGAGGTGGGTGGATCACGAGGTCAGGAGTTTGAGACCAGTCTGGCCAAGATGGTGAAACCCCGTCTCTACTAAAAATACAAAAATTAGCCGAGTACGGTGGCATGTGCCTGTAATCCCAGCTACTTGGGCGACTGAGGCAGGAGAATCGCTTGAACCCAGGAGGCGGAGGTTGCAGTGAGCCAAGATCATGCCACTGCACTCTAGCCTGGGTGACAGAGCGAGACTCTGTCTCCAGAAAAAAAAAAAAAGCTAATTTCTTTCTTTCTATTTTGAGGGTGACAGAGACAAATGTAGTGACTAAATGCCCCATTTTCTTCCCTACATTTCCCTGCTCCCTTAAAGCAGACCATGGTCATATGATTTGTTTGCACCAGTTAAGTTGTAAGAGGTTGAGGCCGTAAAAGATCCACACGCAACTTCCCAGGCATCCCACAGCTGCCAGATGGTAAAACTTCTGTGCCTAAGGAACTCTGTTTTGTTTTTCATTTTTTTGAGACAGAGTCTCACTTGTCGTCCAGGCTGGAGTACAGTGGCACCATCTTGTCTCACTGCAACCTCCGCCTTCCAGGTTCAAGCGATTCTCCTGCCTTGGCCTCCTGAGTAGCTGGGATTACAAGCGTGTGCCAACACGCCTGGCTAATTTTTGTATTTTTAGTAGAGATAGGTTTTCACCATGTTGGCCAGGCTGGTCTTGAACTCCTGGTCTCAAGTAATCCACCCGCCTCGGCCTCCCAAAGTGCTGGGATTACAGGCGTGAGTCACCCTAAGGAGCCCTGAGATGCTCAGCCACTGACCAGCACTGCACATGAAGCAGGAGTAAGACAGGAACTTGTGCTGGGCTAACCTGCTAAAACCTTGGTACTGTTTGTTTCCAAAGTGCAACCTAGTCCATCCTGACTATTACAATATCCTGCATCATGGGATTATGATAGGGGTGATATGAGATAATGTATGTTAATGTAACTCACACAATATAAGAGCACTCACTTCTCATTTTATTGCCTTTCTGCCACTTCCTTCTTGGGAGGAATTTGGTGCAATTAAAGATTGCAACTTACAGTGAGAGAAAATGGGCTATTTTATTTTCAAAGGCCTCATGCTGAGCTACATAAAAACATCAATAAAAAGGAAAAAGAAGGCCAGGCGCGGTGGTGGCTAACGCCTTTAATCCCAGCACTTTGGGAGGACAAGGCAGGTGGATCCCTTGAGGTCAGTAGTTAGAGACCAGCCTGGCCAGCATGGCAAAACCCCGTCTCTACTAAAAAATACAAAAATTAGCTAGGTATAGTGGCAGGCACCTGTAATCTCAGCTACTCGGGAGGAGAACTGCTTAAACCCGGGAGGCAGAGGTTGCAGTGAGCCGAGATCATGCCACTGCACTCCAGCCTGGGTGACAGAGTGAGACTTGGTCTAGGAAAAAAAAAAAAAGGAAAAAGAGTACATATGATATTAGTGTAATAATAATCATTATTGTTAGCATTTATGGTGCACTTACCACATGGTTAGATTGTTTACTTAAATCCTTACCTAGTCCCGATAATTCTTTGTAGAAAGGACAATATTCCCACTGTCTAAATAAAGAAATTGAAACTTAAGAAGGTTAAAAAGATACCTCTTTAACAGGATGGTGTGTAAGATAACCAGAAAAACCTCTGCTACAAACACTTTGGAATGCTGGACAAAATATACCAAAAATTGGCCGGGTGGGGTGGCTCATGCATGTAATCCCAGCACTTTGGGAGACTGAGGCAGGAGGATTGCTTGAGGCCAGGAGGTCAAGTCAAGCCTGCGCAACATAGCGTGACCCCGTTTCTACAAAATATTTAAAAATCAGCTGGGTGTGGTGGTATGCTCCTGTAGTCCCAGCTACTTAGGAGGCTGAGCAGGGAGGATCGCTTGAGCACAGGAGTTTGAGATGGCAGTGAGCTATGACCGTGCCATGCACTCCAGCCGGGGTGACAGTGAGTCCCTGTTTCAATTATATATATATATATATATATTTTGGGAGATTCTATATAATTATATATATATATATAATTGTGATAAATGCATAGCTGAGTTCCCAAGAAAGAAAGGAGGTGCTTACAAGAATAAAGAGAAAAACTGAAGACACAGAAGCTGCTATATGAAATCATAAAGATGCTATAACTGACCTTGGGTGGGGTGGCTATCATAGTAACTTAGCTGTTTCAGTGTGGGGTTTTACACCCATGCATTCTGATAACCCATGAAATAAGGAATGACAACCTTCCATGAAAGATTTGCTAGAAAACTGTCTGCTGATCAGCAGAGTGAGGGAACAACGTGGCATCTCCTCTTTGCCTGAATTTAAAAAGAAAATCTCCCCTGATAACATCCAAACCTCAGGCCTGTGCCTTGTTTGGATCTGAGGTTTGAATTAATATCAGAAATTCACTAGCATTTATCCAGAAACCCACAAATCAAGAAACTAACATGAAAATCAACTCCTGCCCAGGATATTCTGGAGTGCCTTACAAAGCTTTGTGGAAGAATGGTTCCACAATCCGGACTGCTTGTTTTCTCATTGAAAAACAAGCTGTGACAAAGATGAGTTAACCATAAAAAATTACAAAACAAACAAGGAAACAAGCAACAATGAGAGAGGAAATAAAAGCACCAGGGAAGGCCAGGTACAGTGGCTCACACCTGTAATCCCAGCACTTTGGGAGGCCAAGGCGGGAGGATCGCTTGAGCCCAAGAGTTCGAGACCAGCCTGGGCTACATGGTAAAACTCTGTCTTTACAAAAAATACCCCCCAAAAAGCTGGGCATGGTGACGCACGCCTATAGTCCCAGCTACTTGGGAGGCTGAGGTGGGAGGATCACTCGAGTACAGAAGGTCAAGGTTATGGTAAGCCAGGATTGCACTATGACACTCCAGGCTAGGCAATAGAGTGACACCCTGTCTCAAAACAAACAAACAAACAAAAATAAATTAAAACAATCAGAAAGATTAAAGCCCCAGCAACATGAGAAAATAAAAACTCTAATATGAAATAAAATATGACATGTGTAAAATAAGAATGTTTAAAAATATCAAAGAGCTAAAAGAAGGAGTTGAAAATAGGGTAGAAGTGAAAAGGAACTAAGTATAACTTGGAAAAATTAGAATAATAATAATTAAATTGGCAGATAAAAAGTCTTATTGGACACACTGAAGAGAAGACAAATAAAATGAAAGCTAGATCTGAGAATATTGCCCAAAATGCAAAAGAAATAGAAATTATGAGCAGTTTAGAGACTCAGAGGATAGAATGAGAGAATGAGGATATTATCTGAAAGAACTTCCACTGGGTAAAAACATACAGCTAGATAGAAGGAATAAGTTCTAAATCCCAGCTGCTTAGAAGGCTGAGGTGGAAGGACTGCTTGAGCCCAGGAGTTCAAGAACAGTCTGGAAAAACTAGTGAGACCCTGACTCTTAAAAAAAATTGTTTTAGTATTCAATAGTACAGTAGAGAAATTATAGTTAACAATAATTTATTATAGATTTCAAAATAGCTAAAAGAGAAGAATTGTAATGTTTCCAACACAGGAAAAATATAAATATTTGAGGTGATGGATATTTGATCATTATGTATTATATACACATATCAAAATATCACATGTACTCCCAAAATATGTACAATGATGATATGCCAATAAAAATGCAAACAAACAAATAATAAAAGGAGTTCCAGAAACAAAGAATAGAGGAAATTTTATAAAGAGGCAAAATCTGAAGAGATAATAGCTTGAGGTTTTCTGGAATTGATTTAAAAATATGTGGATCCTCATGTATCAAGGATTCAAGATTTACAAAGAGTCTTAAATGGGTAAGTAAACTGATACATATCTAGACACCAAATCATAGTGGCTCTGCAGAATTCCAAATATAATGACAAAATACTATAATCAACCAAAGAAAAGGAATGAATTACCTCCAAAGACACCTTCAGTAAATCTTTCAACAGCAACAATAGAGGCTAGAAGATAATGGTGTAATATCTCCAAAATGCAGAGGAAATATAACTGTCAACCCAGAATTTTATACCCAGCTAAACCATCATTCAAGAGCGATGTCTAAAGACTAATTTTTGAACAAACAAAACTGAAAGAGGCTTAAATTTGGATGTATTAGGGAGATGCAAATTTTAAAATGATATACAGTTTCTCATCCATTTGTGTCCAAAATGTAATAATTCTAGTAACACCAAAAATTGGCTAGACTGTGGAATAATGGAAAACTTTTATACACTGCTGGTGAAGTGGAAATTGGAACACTGAGTTTGGAGAGCAATTGACAATATGTAGAAGAATTAACTGTAAGTATTTTCTGTCTGGGCAAGCCTTTGCTCGCATGCACAAGGATTCAAAGGTAGTCCCTGCAGCACTGTTTGTAATTGTGAAAAAGCAGAAGCAATATATCTGTTAGTAGGGGAATGATAAATAAATGGCAGTATATCCCCACAGTGAAATACTATAAAGCAGTTAAAATCAATGAGAGGCAAAAGAGTCAATATGTATAGATCTTACTACTATTTTGTCAAGTGAAAAAGCAAGCTACAAAATGATGAATTCAGCAGAACATCATTATGCAAATTTTAAAACACACAATAGTATGTTTTGTTTATAGCTATAAATATATATGTAGTAAAAGTAGAGAAATTTGTCTAGGAATGACACCCACCAACTTGATTAGTGTCACATTTTGAAAAAGAGAAAACGCATACAGGATACCTGACTTTAGCCATACCCATAACATTTTATTCCTTTAAAATACACTGTTCTGGATTATTTCAAAATAAAAAGTTAAAAAGGAAACACTGAAGCAAATATGACATAATGCTAACAACTGTTAAATCTTAGTGGTAAGTATATATGTATTTTATGGGGCGTTTTGTGTACTTTCGGTTAATTTGAAATATTTCTTATGTAAATTTTGGAGATTCAGAGTTTTAACTTTACCATTAGAATGGTGAGAGGGACACTAAGGGTGACTGAGTCTGGCTGTCCTGTGTCATGACCTAATTTTACAAAAGGACACTTTATTTTCCTCTGCTCATCTGTTTTGGGCACAGATAGCAGACACACATTTACCACCACGCTCTCCCGAAACCGCACCTCAAGTCACAGAAAGGTTTGTGTTTTCTTAAAAGATATCAATGAGCTGGGCGTGGCGGCTCATGCCTGTAATCCCAGCACGCTGGGAGGCTGAGGTGGGTGGATCACTTGAGGTCAGGAGTTCAAGACCAGCCTAGCTAACATGATGAAACCCATTTCTACAAAAACACAAAAATTAGGTGGGCGTAGTGGTGAGCACCTGTAATCCCAGGTACTCAGGAGGCTGAGGTGGGAGAATCGCTTCAACCTGGGAGGCAGAAGTTGCAGTGAGGCGAGATCTTGCCATTGCCCTCCAGCCTGGGCAACAGAGCGAGACTCCGTCTCAAAAAATAAATAAATAAAAAAGAAATATCAATGGACAAGAACAAAGAAATTGACAAGGGTAAAAGAGTCAACAGCAACAGAAATGTGGAAACCGCAAAACAAATGGACAAATGGTAGCTGATTTTACTGACCCACGAAAGGTCAGGGAAAGCTGAGAAAATCTCATCTACACCGCAGAACACCCCTCCCACAATGGCAACATACCAAGTACTTGGACAAATGAAGGTATACAGAGGTGCTGAAAACAAGATAGGTTCAAAGTCTCAAAGAAAGAGGATGTCTCTGTGTCCTCCCCTTCACTCAGGCAGAAATCTGGAGGCTTATTCTTAGGAGAGAAAAAATGGGGGAATCTCATGACTGAAGAATACCAGGTATGATTGAGGGTCTGAGAACTATACTGAAAACTGGGAATTAAGTGCAAGTTTAGACACTGAATATCAAGATACTCCCTATACACCCTTCCTCCCCCTCAGCTCCTAGCTGGCAGATGGCCAGATGTACACCCTCCAGATACAAGAGTAGACAAATTTTCTCAGGCAGATCCAACCAGCCCAAGAGAGGGTCACTGAGGGCTTATAATACACATACTATGCACTCACTGCACATCTGTGCAAACTGCACACACACAAACCTCACACTCCGCATGCTAATGCACACACACAAACACGCACAAACATGACCATGTATCATTCACACTAACTACACACACAGCACGCATATCCCACGCAGACACACAATACCTTACAATTCACACACTAACAGACCAGTTTTCCCTGAAAAGAGGAGATTCCAGTCTACCTGAGTCAGTATAATACAGACATCCCCCTTGCCTTAACCCTTACAAAAAAGTAACCAGAGGCCGGGCTCGGTGGCTCATGGCTGTAATCCCAGAACTTTGGGAGGCTGAGGCGGGCAGATCACCTGAGGTCAGGAGTTCAAGACCAGCCTGGCCAACATGGTGAAATCTGGTCTCTACTAAAAATACAAAACTTAGCCGGGCGTGGTGGTGCATGCCTGTAATCCCAGCTACTCGGGAGGCTGAGGCAGGAGAATCACTTGAACCCAGGCAGAGGAGGTTGTAGTGAGCCGAGATCGTGCCAGTGCACTTCAGCCTGGGCAACAGAGCAAGATTCCATCTCAAAAAAAAAAAAAATGGCTGGGCATGGTGGCTCACACCTGTAATCCCAGCACTTTGGGAGGCCGAGGTGGGTGGATCACGAGGTCAGGAGATCGAGACCATCCTGGCTAACACGGTAAAACCCCGTCTCTACTAAAAATACAAAAAATTAGCCGGGTGTGGTGGCGGGCGCCTGTAGTCCCAGGTACTCGGGAGGCTGAGGCAGGAGAATGACATGAACTCTGGAGGCAGAGCTTGCAGTGAGCCGAGATCATGCCACTGCACTCCAGCCTGGGCAACAGAGCGAGACTCCGTCTCAAAAAAAAAAAAAAAGTAACCAAGTAACCAGAAGTAACCCGATGTTAACCAACCCGGTTTTTTCCTATCATTCTATTTCCTTGTTTCCATCTTACAAAACCCAGTGTTTTGCTATTGCAGTGGAAGCTCTTATTCTATTTTATAGAATGAAGACTGCCCGAATTGATAAACCTTGAATAAAAACCAATTAGATCTATAACTACATTTGTTATGATTTTGTCTTTTGACAACACTAACACATGGGCATATATGTAATCACCACAGAATTGGCCAGGCACTGTGGCTCACACCTATAATCCCAGCACTTTAGGAGGTCGAGGTGGGCAGATCACCTGAGGTCAGGAGTTCAAGACCAGCCTGGCCAAGATAGTGAAACCCATCTCTACTCACACACACACACACACACACACACACACACACACAATTAGCTGGGAGTGGTGGCATGCACCTGTAATCCCAGCTACTCAAGAGGCTGAGGCACAAGAATCACTTGAACCTGGGAGGCAGAGGTTGCAGTGAGCTGAGACTGCACCACTGCACTCCAGCCTGGGTGACAACATGAGATACTGAAAAGAAGAAAGAAAGAAAGAGAGACAAAGAGAGAGGGAGAAAAAAAGAAAGAAGAAAGAAAGAGAGAGAGAAAGAAAGAGAGAGAGAGAGAAAGAGAGAGAAAGAAAGAGAGAGAAAGAGAAAGAAAGAGAGAGAAAAAGAGAGAGAGAAAGAAAGAGAGAGAGAGAAAGAGAGAGAAAGAAAGAAAGAAGGAAGGAAGGAAGGAAGGAAAGAAAGAAAGAAAGAAAGAGAAAGAAAGAAAAAGGAAGGAAGGAAGGAAAGGAAGGAATCACCACAGAATCATGCATCATCGCCACGCACATCCAATACACAGTAGGCACACATGCACATCACAACAACACGGAAACACACCAGGCCCACAATATACGCACACACACATCGAACACACACACTCGCGTCCAGCCCGTAACTTAGTGGCCCTGAAATCCACCCTCACCCTTTGTGTGTGAATAAGGCCTCTGAAAACCTTCTGTAGTGGAAATAACAGCCCCTGCTTCTCTCCATCAGTGGGGCTCAGGACACTGTACCCCTAAATATGGTATGTTGGTGTTTGAGAAAACAGCAGAAGCAGGAAGTTCTTTCTGACTTTCCCCCACACTTTTCCCCTGACACGGGTCATAAAAGAATTCTCTGACTTTCCTCTAAAGTAGATCATAAGACTTTTACCCCAGAGGTGCCCTCCCTACCTAAAGGAAAGGAACATCCTTGTCTCTGAGGACACAGGGACACAGAGAAGAATCTGAACATGCCTTGCTAAGTTTCACCCAGTTTGTTATGATGAGGTCATACCTTTTTTATTTGAGACAGAGTCTTGCTCTGTTGCCCAGGCTGGAGTGCAGTGGCGCGATCTCGGCTCACCTCCGCCTCTGCCTCCCAGGTTCAAGCCATTCTCCTGCCTCAGCCTCCCGAGTAGCTGGGAATACAGGCACCCACCACACCACACCCAGCTAATTTTTTGCATTTTTAGTAGAGATGGATTTTTGCAATGTTGACTAGGCTGGTCTCGAACTCCTAACCTCAAGGGATCCACCCGCCTTGGCCTCCCAGAGTGCTGGGATTACAGGCGTGAGCCACTGCGCCTGGCCTGAGATCATACTCTTTTTGTGCAATCACACTTCTCCACAGCTGTCCGCTTTTTTATCAAATTTAGCATAAAAATACACAGGTCTCCCTGTTTCTTTGGGTCTTCATGTCTGAAGTTTCCTATGTCACATAAAACTTAAACAAATGTGCATGTTTTTCTCTTGTTAATCTATCTTGTGTCACAGGGGTATTAACTATGGACTTAGCAATGGATGAGAATAGAAATCTTTTCTTCCCTCTACCATCATGCAGAGGCCTTTCACCATAGCCCCAGACACAGTGCAACCCTGTATTTTATTTTATTTTATTCATTTATTTTTTGAGACAGGGTCTGGCTCTGTCACCCAGGCTGGAGTGCAGTGGCGGGATCATAGCTCAATGCAGCTTCAAACTTCTGGGCTCAAGCGATCCTCCCACCTCAGCCCCCTGAGTAGCTGAGTCTACAGGTGTGTGACACCATACCTGGCTAATTTTTTTTTTTAGAGATGGGGTCTTGCTATATTGCCCAGGCTGGTCTCGACTTCCTGGGCTCAAGTGATCCTCCTACCTCGACCTCCCAAAGTGCTGGGATTACAGGCATAAGCTATCACACCCAGCCCAACCCTGTATTGTAATTGTTGATTCATTCATTTCCTCCTCAGAGAGGATGGTGCCAGGAAAAGCAAGCCCGGTTTCTGGTGTAGGATCAATCATTCACTTACTATCTATGTGGCCTTCATCCAATCACTTAACCACCTGACCCCATCTTTCTCATCTGTAAAATGGGAACACAGTGTTGCCTGCCTGCTGCCCAGGGTTACTGGGAAAGTAAAAGGAAGTGATGTTGAGGGCTCAGGGCTTTGCCAGCCGTACATGCTTTTCACAGGCTGGCATTGGACCTGTTTCATGGGTGCCCACCATGCACCAGACACATTCAAGCAGCCTCTCTACTTTCCAACACTCTGGAGGATATTTCCAACACTCTGGAGGATATGCATCATTTTTTCCCATTTCATTGATGGGCAAAGTGAGGCTCTGAAAAAGTAGATAGCTTGCTTGAAATATCTTTTTTTTTTTCTTTGAGACAGGGTTTCACTCTGTCACACAGCTGCGGTTTGGTGGAATAATCATAGTTCACTGCAGCCTCAACCTCCCAGCCTCAAAGCAATCCTCCCACCACAATCTCCCAAGTAGCTGGGACTACAGGCATGAGCTACCACACCTGGCTAATTTTTTTTGTTTTGTTTTGTTTTTGTTTTTGTTTTTTGTTGTGTGTGTTTGTGTGTGTGTGTGTGTGTGTGTGTGTGTGTGTGTGTGTGTGTGTGGAGACAAGGTGTTGCTCTGTTGCCTGGGCTGGTCTTGAACTCCTGGCCTCAAGCAATTCTCCTGCCTCAGCCTCCCAAAGTGCTGAGGTTGCCTGTATGAGCCCTTGTCCAAAACTTCACAACTAGAGGTGGTGGGACCAGGTTTGACTGCAGGTGGTGCCAAGCCCCAGTGTTTGTTCTCCTCTGGGTGGGGTCCTAGCAGACCAAAAAGCGGCAGCAAAACATGCAACCCAGGCCGGGCGCAGTGGCTCACGCCTGTAATCCCAGCATTTTGGGAGGCTGAGGTGGGCGGATCACAAGGTCAGGAGATCAAGACCATGCGGTGAATGGTGAAACCCTGTCTCTACTAAAAATACAAAAAATTAGCCAGGCGTGGTGGCGGGCGCCTGTAGTCCCAGCTACTCGGGAGGCTGAGGCGGAAGAATGGCGTGAACCCAGGAGGTGGAGCTTGCAGTGAGCAGAGATTGTGCCACTGCACTCCAGCCTGGGCGACAGAGTGAGACTCCGTGTCAAAAAAAAAGAAAAAAAAAAAGATGCAACCCATAGTCAGCTCATAAACCAGTTGGGAAGATAAACATATAGGCAATTGAGAAAAAAAGAAGAAAACTCCAAGCCTGTAAGAGAAGCACTGAATGAGAGGCCCAGGCAATAAATAACTACAAAGGCACAGCAAGGCTCAGGGATTCTGGAACATTCCAACGCCATGTCGGGGAAACGCAGGCAATGCTTTAGGTGGTTCTTGTGGGAACAGGAGACCCAGAGACAAGTGCACCCCCTCTGCAGATCCGGAGGTCCCCTGGGGCCCCACAACACTTCGACTGGAAGGAGTGAGGGTTAGAGCCACAGATTGCGGTGTTTATGGGCTCCTAAGAGCATGTGGGCACTTCGTAAATGCGATTTGATGGTGGAACAGTTGGCTGAGGGAAGGGCTGTCCTCATCCCAGCTGCTCCATGCTCTCCTGGGAGGCATTTTCCCGAGGCGCAATGTGCATGACCTGAGCTACATGGTCCTCACCTACCAGGATGGCCTCAGTCCATACATGCTTAGCACAACCCCTCCATGGCGGAATGGATCCACCTGTTGGAGGAGTCTCAACCAGAGTGACTCCATCTTGAATAATGGCCAAATAAAGCCAAACCTGGTAGGTTACATTCCCAGGAAGTTAGGCACTCTTGGTTACAGGGTGTTTATGGTGGAAGGGATGAGTTAACTAACTAAATAAGACCTCGAACTTAAAGAGATGTCCTGATGCCCTGATATCTTAAGAAGAAAAAACATCCTTAGTTTAAAAATAAGTTTCAAGGCTGAGCACAGCGGCTCACACCTGTAATCCCAGCACTTTGGGAGGCCAAGGTCGGCAGATTGCTTGAGCTCAGGAGTTCCAGACCAGCCTGGCAACGTGGTGAAACCATCATCTCTATAAACAAATTTGGAAACTGGCCAGGCGTGATGGCGCATGCCTATAGTCTTAGCTACTTGGCGGTCTGAGGCAGGAGGATAGCTTGACCCTGGGCGGTTGAGGCTGCAGTGAGCCATGTTTATACCACTGCACTCCAGCCTGGGTGACAAAGTAAGATCCTGTCTCAAAAAAAAAGTTTTGCTTTAAAGATAATAGCATACCTATTAATTCTTGCTGAAATCAACAGTTACACAAGAGAATAGCAATACTAATTGCCTGTCACAACCTGATCACAAACCTTTGGAATAAAGCATGTAAGACCTTATTCTGGCCGGGCGCAGCGGCTCATGCCTGTAATCTCAGCACTTTGGGAGGCCAAGGTGGGCAGATCACTTGAGGTCAGGAGTTGGAGACCAGCCCAGCCAACATGGTGAAACCCCATCTCTACTAAAAATACAAAAATGAGCCAGGCACGATGGTGCGTGCCTATCGTCCCAGCTACTCTGAAGGCTGAGGCAGGAGAATCGCTTGAACTCGGTAGGTGGAGGTTGCAGTGAGCTGAGACTGTGCCACTGAACTCCAGCCTGGGCAACAGAGTGAGACTCTGTCTCAAAAAAAAAAAAAAAAAAAAAAAAAACAAACAACAACAACAACAACAAAACATTATTCTTAGCTCTGTTATTCTATTTAAGCAAGCATTGTATTTGACGTGAGTGTATTCCTTCTGCTTTCTGAGGATAGCCTATTCTGTAATTGAGTAGTCTCTAATACATTATCTTAGCTTCACTATACTCGGCAACTCACCCTGAATTCTTTCCTGTGTAAGATCCAAGAACCCACTATTGGGAGTCTAGATGACACTCCTTTCCGGTAACACACTCACACAGGGTGTATCGTGATGTGGCTCCACATCAGCCACCCTATTCAAATCTCTGCCATTGCTCAGCCATGTGCACAAGGCAAGTATAAAGCCCTTATGCTTAATTGCATGGGAACAGATATTATGGCACGTGGGGGCTGGCACTGTGAAATGTCATTGCTGGAAATCAGGGCCTCCTGTACCTTGACCTTAAGGCCCGAGTGAGTGTCTTCAGTACACAGAGTAGCATCCAGCCTCAGCTCCAAAGGCCTCTGTGTCTGTGGTATAATAAAATATATGTATTTGGTCTTTGTTGAAATTGCTAGCGTGGAGCCCCTAAGACCCTTGGAATTTCCTGAGTGATAGGAGTGTGTTTTGTTATTCATAACAAGCCTCTTTCCCCCAAATCTGAGTTTATGCTAAGTGAGGTGATCCCTGCTGGGCCCCTAGACAGCTTCAGGGTGAGAGGGTGGGGGCCAGAGAAGCCAGCCACGTGACTAGAGGGTGGGAACTTTCAGCTCCAACCTTGACCCCCAGGAAGAGAAGAAAGATGAGATTGTGTTAATCAACAATGGCCAATGATGTAATCAATCGAGCCTATGTAACGAGACCCCATATAAAAACCCTAACAGTGGAGATTATGGAGCTTCCAGGTTGGTAAGCACCTGAATGTTCTGGGACAGCGGATACTCAGAAAAGATAGAGAAGCTCTACATCCCGTCCCCACCCTCCATACTGGCCTATGTGATACAGGAGATAGAAAGAGATTATTTAGGCAGAGAGCAACGGCGATACAGTCCTTGGCAAGGTTTCCCTTTTAACAAAAAGCAGCCCCCAAATCATTTCTTTTCTAACAAAGAGCAGCCTGAAAAATCAAGCAGCAGACATAGAGAAGAAAGACAGAAGCTTGCAGGGGTGAATGCCGGCAGCTATGCCAATAGAAAAGGGCTACCCGGGGCTGGGCGTGGTGGCTCATGCCTGTAATCCCAGCACTTTGGGAGGCCGAGGTGGACGGATCACCTGAGGTCAGGAGTTCAAGACCAGCCTGGCCAACATGGTGAAACCCCCTCCCTACACAAAAAATTAGCTGGACATGGCGGTGCGCGCCTGTAATCCCAACTATTCAGGAGGCTGAGGCAGTAGAATCGCTTGAACCTGGGAGGCAGAGGTTGCAGTGAGATCGAACCACTGCACTCCATCCTGGATGACAGAGCCAGACTCTGTCTCGAAAAAAAAAAAAAAACAAAAAAAAAGGCAATCCATTTCTCCGGGACCCCTCTCTCTGCAGCAGAGAGAGCTCTTCTCTTGCTTTCGCTGATTCAACTTCTGCACTGACCATCATTCTTTGTGTGTCTGTGTCCTAGTTGCCCATGGTCGTGAGACAACGAATCTTGAGTATTTACCCCAGACAGCGACGCCACTTCACGTGCATCTCTCCCAGTTGGCTGCTACTCAAGTGTTTCCTTTACAATAAGATGGTAACCATCAGCAAAGTGCTTTCCTGAGTTCTGTGAGTGGTTCTAGCGAATTACCAAACATGAGGCAGAAATCGTGGACACCAGCTGGGCGCGGTGGTTCACGCCTGTAATCCCATCACTTTGGGAGGCTGAGGTGGGCGGATCACTTGAGGCCAGGAGTTCGAGACCAACCTGGCCAATATGGTGAAACCCCATCTCTACTAAAAATACAAAAATTAGCTGAGTATGGTGGCACACGCCTGTAATCCCAGCTACTCAGGAGGCTGATGCAGGAGAATTGCTTGAATCCAGGAAGCGGAGATTGCAGTGAGCTAAGATCGTGCCACTGCACACCAGGGCGAAAAGAGCAAAACTCTGTCTCAAAAAAAAAAAAAAAGAGAGAAATCGTGTAAACCCTTGAATTTGCATAAGTGCAGGTAAACTGGGCACCCCGTTTATGGCCGGCATCTGACGTGGGAGCAGTCTTATGGTCTTGAGCCCTTAAACTCTGGGGTCTGCTCTAACTCCCAGTAGTGTCTGAATGGAATGGTGGTGGTGTCAGAGAATTGGAGCAATGTATTTGGAGTCAGAAAAAAAACCACAGCAGTCTCCATTTCCTTTTCCACAAAGATATCTCCTAAATAGCTACCAGCATAGCTTTCACCCCTTTTCAGAGAGAGACCCCCAGAATTTCCAGGAGGGCTGTGTGTCTGCACAGCACTTTACAGTCCATAAAGCTATTCCTCTGCCCTACAGTGTCCCCAGGGCCCCACGAGGCAGGTCTGAAACTCAGAGAGGCATTCCTTCTGCTCAACATGCGTGTCTGCTGATGCGCTCTGCCAGATCATAGAAGATCAGGAGATGGAAACATTTGTGCTGGGAGAGTCTCTCTCCCAACCCCATTTCACAGATGAGAAAACCGAGGCCCTGCGAGGCTGTGACTTGGCCAAGGTCCACCCGGTGCAGCAGGGCAGAGCTCCATCTAGCTGCTTAATGGGAGCCAGGCCTGGGAACTGCCAGGTCTGGTGGAGGCCACTCACTGACACCAAATCTCAGCTGAGCGCCAAGGGCTTGGCCTCCAGGGCGGTGCCTGCACCCCTACAGATGGCCAGAGAAGAAGTGGAAAGGAAGTGAATGCGTCTCCCCCTCCCTCCTCCCACAGTTTCCCCAGCACATGTTCAAGACACAGAAATCTCTCATTAAAGTTTTACGGTTTAACCACCGAACATGCTACATCATCTCCATAACTTATACCTGACCTTGTGTCTAGACATGGCATCATGGGAAGGTAAGCCCCCTTCTGCAGGAAGTTTACGATAACCAGGGCTCAGTGGGTCGTTACGGAGGCCTTGCTTGGCGGCACGGAGCCCTGCCTCGGGGAGCAGAGACCTCCAAGGTGCCCCTTCCCCAGCAGGGCTACTCCTATGACCCTATTTCCAGAAGAGAAACGGATGGGCAGGTCACTTACAAAGTGATAAAAGAGCTAGAAAGAAATTCTTTAGGCAGATAGTGGGGGTAAGAGAGTCCTTGGTAAGGGTTTCCTTTTAATAAAAAGCAGCTGCAAAATAATTTCTTTTATTTTTTTTTTTTTGAGACTGAGTCTTGCTCTGTTGCCCAGGCTGGAGTGCAGTGGTGTGATCTTGGCTGGCTGCACCTCCACCTCCCGGGTTCAAGCGATTCTCTTGCCTCAACCTCCTGAGTAGCTGGGATTACAGGCGTGCACCACCATGCCCGGCTAATTTTTGTATTTTTAGTAGAGACGGGGTTTCACCATGTTGGTCAGGCTGGTCTTGAACTCCTGACCTCAAGCCATCTACCAGACTTGGCCTCCCAAAGTGCTGGGATTACAAGTGTGAATCATTTCTTTTCTAACAAAAAGCAGCCTGAAAATCTACAAGCACAGGTAAGCAAGCTAAAAGCTTGCATATGTAAATGCCGGCAGCCGTGCCAATAGAAAAGGGTTACCTGGGGGCCAGGTAGGTTCAACATGGCGGCTCCTTCTTCCCTTTTCTTTTTCTTTTCTTTTGAGACGGAGTCTCGCTCTGTCACCCAGGCTGGAGTGCAGTGGCGCGATCTCGGCTCACTGCAAGCCCTGCTTCCCGGGTTCATGCCATTCTGCTGCCTCAGCCTCCCAAGTAGCTGGGACTACAGGCGCCCGCCACCATACCTGGCTAATTTTTTGTATTTTTAGTAGAGACAGGGTTTCACCGTGTTAGCCAGGATGGTCTTGATCTCCTGACCTCGTGATCTGCCCGCCTCAGCCTCCCAAAGTGCTGGGATTACAGGCGTGAGCCACCGCGCCCGGCCCCATCTTCCCTTTTCTTTGTCAACCATGTGTACAGGAAGGAACAGACAAGATGGCAGCAGCCAGGTAGAGAACCCGTCTGCACAATAAAAGATTGGGGTGGGATGGCCAGCTTCTTCGCACACTATGCAAACGTCACACCTGGTCTGACCAATCTCTCGGGCGCTGTGTAAATCAGACTCTGCCTCTTCAGGCTCATCTATAAACCACCCCCCATCCTCCCCCCGCCCTGTGCATTTCGCCATGAAACCAGAAGACCCACTCGGCAGCCCCTCTCTATCTGCAGGAGGGAGGGCTGTTCTCTTTTCTCTCTTTATCACCTATTAAACCTCTGCTCTTAAACTCACTTCTTGTGGGTCCATGTCTTTGATTTCCCTGGCGTGAGATGATGAACCTCAGGTATTTACCCCTGACAATAATGCTGCTTCAAAAGGTCCTGACTTCCGGCCTCTGTCTACACAACCCACCACCTCCCAGGGACGTTCACAGCATCCCTGTTGCTGATGGGCTGCCCTCCAAGGGGAATTTGGTTGGACTCCAAACCCCAACCAATCTCCACTCCCTAAAGGAAAACAGCAGCTTTGCAGGGGGTCACTAACTCTGGACCTCAGCCCAGGGCTCCCAGCGCTGGCAGCAAGACCGGGGATTCCTGGCACCCTCTACCTGACAGGGTGCTTTCTGGTACTCAGGGGATCCATACTGAGACCCTTCACGTTGCATGAAAAGGCAGAGACTGAATCTCTCTCTCTCACACACACACACACACACACACACACACACACACACACACACCAGAACATGCCGGGGTCTTAGCATTCTCATCTCAGTCCTAAGCATCTATATCCTGAAGGGGAAAATACAAAAATCAGTCAGTCTGTATTTATTTATATATTTTTTGGAGACAGGGTCTCGCTGTGTCACCCAGGCTGGAGTGCAGTGGCACAATCACAGCTCACTGCAGCCTCAACCTCCGAGGCTCAAGCGATTCTCCCACTTTTGCCTCCTGAGTAGCAGGTGCACACCACCATGCCTAGCTAATTTTTAAAGTTTTCTGTAGAGACGGGGTCTATGTTGGCCAGGCTAGTCTCTAACTCCTGGCCTCAAGCAATCCTCCTGCCTTGGCCTCCTAAAGTGCTGGGATGACAGGTATGAGTCACTGTGCCCGGCTAATCAATGTGGGTTTCTAACACTATTGTGCCTAGTGCTGGGCAGGTCGGGGAATGACAGTAACAAGGGCCATTTATTCAGGCCTACTCTGTACCACCAATTGTGCCACATCAGGTACTTGTCACCTCATTTCATATACAATATATTGACAATTCTGCAAGACAGGTATCGCTGTGCTCACTTTATAGATGAGCAAATGGAGGTTCAGACAGGAAGCGACCAGCCCACAGAACTAGTGTGTGGAGCCAGGATTTAAATGCTGGGTCTGAGGCTATTGACGCCTGTGGCCTTTCCACTCTCCAAGCAGGTGAGGGATATAGAATTGCTTGGCAGGGACAGGCTGGGAGTGATCAATGATACAGCAGCCAAGCCTGCATTTGCTGCTGGGGAGTTCTAGCTGGGAAACTGAGTCATCTCAGTCAGGGCCGTTAGCAAGTTGTTAGCAAGTCCTGGATAGGTGGAAAGCTGCTGGCCCCTGCAGTGCCACGGCACCCTTGCCCAAGCCAGCTGCACACACTCATTCCCACAATCTTGGGGAACACGTGTGGACCCCCAGAAGATGAGATTCTCTGTTCTCCATTCTGCTCCTCCTGTTTGTAAAACCACCAGGCTCTGTTCATGGGTTTCCGGTTACATGGGAAGGGGCCTGATGTCTTATATCACTGCCACGCCAGGCCGAGAGCACTTCCTTTGTTTCTTTTTCTTTTCTTTTTTTTTTTTTTTTTTTTTGAGACAGTTTCACTTTGTCGTCCAGGCTGGAGTGCAATGGCATGATCTCGGCTCACTTCAACCTCTGCCCCCTGGGTTCAAGCAATTCTCCTGCCTTGGCCTCCCCAGTAGCTGGGACTACAGGCATGCACCACCACGCCCGACTGATTTTTTTGTATTTTTAGTAGAGACAGAGTTTCACCATGTTGGCCAGGCTGGTCTTGAACTCCTGACCAGGCGCAGTGGCTCACACCTGTAATCTGAAAGCACTTGCTGATGTTGTCCTGCACTGGAGTGTGAGAGGGAAACAGGGCTGGCCCCGCCACAGCCCAGGGCTCAGAGGCTATGACTCTTTGTTAAAATGATGCAGAGAGCCTGGGCGTGGTGGCTCACATCTGCAATGCCAGCACTTTGAGAAGCTGAGGCAGGAGGATCGTTTGAGCCCAGGAGTTGGAGAGCAGCCTCAGCAACATAGCGAGAACCTACCTCTGTGAAAAATTTAAAACTTAGCAGAGCTACAGGTGGTGTGCACCTGTAGTCTCAGCTACTTGGGAGGCTAAGGTGGGAAGATTGCTTGAGCCCAGGAGTTCAAGGCTGCAGTGAGCTATCGTCGCACTACCACATTCCAGCCTGGGCAACAGAATGAGACTCTGTCCCAACAAAAAAAAAAAAAAAAAAGAAAGAAAGAATTAGAAGCTTAAAGCCAAGGGTGGTGACTTACACCTATAATACCAGTGCTTTGGGAGGCTGAGGTGGGAGGATCACTTGGAGCCAGAAGTTTGAGACCAGCCTGGGCAACATAGCGAGACCCCGCCACTACAAACAATTTTAAAATTAGCCGGGCATGGTGGTGTGTACCTGTAGTCCCGCCTACTCAGGAAGCTGAGGTGGGAGGATTACTTGAGCTCAGGAGTTAGAGGCTGCAGTGAGCTATGATCATCTGGGCAACCGAGCAAGACACTGTCTCCAAAATAAATGAATAAAATAAAAATAAGAATTAGAGGCCGGGCACGGTAGCTCAAGCCTGTAATTCCAGCACTTTGGGAGGCCAAGGTGGGTGGATCACCTGAGGTCAGGAGTTCAAGACCAGCCTGACCAACATGGAGAAACCTCATCTCTAATGAAAATACAAAATTAGCCAGGCGTGGTGGCAGGAGCCTGTAATCCCAGCTACTCAGGAGGCTGAGGCAGGAGAATCGTTTGAACCCGGGAGGCAGAGTTGTGGTGAGCTGAGATCGCGCCATTGCACCTCAGCCTGGGCAACAAGAGCAAAACTCCATCTCAAAAAAAATAATAATAAAATAAGAATTAGATGCTGGGCTTGGTGGCTCACACCTGTAATCTCAGCACTTTGGGAGGCCGAGGTGGGTGGATCATCTGAGGTCAGGAGTTCGAGACCAGCCTGACCAACATGGTGAAACACTATCTCTACTAAATATAAAAAATTAGCTGGGAGTGGTGGCATGAGCCTGTAATCCCAGCAGTTTGGAAAGCTGATATGGGAGGATCACTTGAGGCCAGGAGTTCCATACCAGCCTGGGCAACATGGCAAGATCCCATTTTTATAAAAAATTTGAAAATTTGCCAAGCATGGTGGTACATGCCTGTAGACCCAGCTACTTGGGAGACTACGGTAGGAGGATTGCTTGAGCCCAGGACGTCGAGGCTGCAGTGAGCTATCATTGTGCCACTGCAATTTAGCCTGGGTGACAGAGCAAGACCCTGTCACAAAAAAAGGAAAAGAAAAACAATGAAAGAGAGAGAGAAAGATTAAGAAAGAATAAAAGAAGAAAGAAAGAGAGAAAGAAAAAGAAAGAAAGAAAGAAAGAAAGAAAGAAAGAAAAGAAAAAAGAGAAAAAAGAGGGAGGGAGGGAAGGAAGGAGGAAGGAAGGGAGGGAGGGAAGAAAGAGAGAGAGAAAGAAAGGAAGAAAGAAAGAAAGAAGGAAGGAAAAGGGGAAGGGAGGAAGGAAGGGAGGGGGGAGAGAGGGAGGGGAAAAAAGAAAGAAAGAGAGAGAAAAAGAAAGAAAGGGGACGGGAGGGAGGAAGGAAGGATGGAAGGATGGAAGGATGGAAGGAAGGAAGGAAGAGGGGGAGGGAGGGAGGGAAGAAGAAAGGGAGGGAGGGAAGGGAAGGGAAGGACAAGTGAAAGAAAGAAAAAGAAAAGGGGAGGGAAGGGGGAAGAGGGGGAAGAGGGGGGAAGGGAAGGGAAGGGAAAGGAGGGGAGGGAAGGGATATTTGCAACCTATGGTTATGGCAGCATTATTCACAATAGCCAAGAAGTAAAAGCAACCCAAATCAATGTCCCATGGCAGATGAATGGATAGTAATATCCCTACAGTGGAATATCATTCAGCCTTTAAAGGAAGGAAATTCTGACCCTTGCTACATGGATGAATCTTGAAGACATAATGCTAAGCGAAATAAGGCAGTCACAAAAAAACTAACACTGTGATTTCACTTATATGAGGCATCCAAAATTCATAGAATTTGCAAGATGAAAAAGGGGTGGAGATTTATTACAATGTGTGTGCAATTAATTTGCAGACCTTTTTAATCTTGCAAAACCAAAGCCCTGTTCTCTTTCTAGATTGACACATTTAGAGAAGGTAAGCTTAGGTCAGGACAGCACAACTATTGGCAGAGAAAGCCCAGTTCTCATGAGCCCACTTCTGGCTTGTCAATCATGGCCTGTCCTTGCCCTCTAGGAAACTTGGACCTCTCTTCTGGGACCCCTCTTCTTGGGCCCCTTTCCTTTTTATTGTTAATTATGTGCTTTGATGCACGAAGTGTCCCGGCCCCATCACTCTGCAAGGTCACTGCATCTGAACAGATCCAGGTGGAAAACCTTGCCTGCAAGTCCCTCCTTGCAGCTCAGGCATGGGGCTCCTGGTCTGCGTGGGGCCCCATTCTCTGCTTCTCGGTGTTCCCCAGTTCTGGGACTCTCATGATGGGTCCTGCCCTGCCAGCTACTGAGCTCCCACGTGTCACCGGGGGCCGGAAGCATGGGGGTCCCAGTAAACAGTACGGGGAACTGTTGATGACACCACAGCCCTGGAGGCCCCAGGAAGAGAAAAAGAAATAAATACATGAAGTTAAGGCCGGGCACGGTGGCTCACGCCTGTAATCCCAGCACTTTGGGAGGCTGAGGCAGGCAGATCACCTGAAGTCAGGAGTTCGAGACCAGCCTGACTAACATGGTGAAACCCCCTTTCTACTAAAAATACAAAAATTAGCCAGGTGTGGTGGTACACACCTATAATCCCAGCTACTCAGGAGGCTGAGGCAGGAGAATTGCTTGAACCCAGGAGGCAGAGGTTGCAGTGAGCCGAGATGGCACCACTGCACTCCAGCCTGGATGACAGAGTGAGGCCCTATCTCAAAAAAGAAAAGGAGATAAGTTTAAAATGCTCCCTGAGGCTGGGTGCGGTGGCTCAAGCCTGTAATCCCAGCACTCTGGGAGGCCAAGGCGGGTGGATCACAAGGTCAGGGGTGTGAGACCAGCCAGGCCAACATGGTGAAACCCCATCTCTACTGAAAATACAAAAATTAGCCGGGCGTGGAGGCGGGCACCTGTAGTCTCAGCTACTTGGGAGGCCAAGGCAGGAGAATCACTTGAAACTGGGAAGCAGAGGTTGCAGTGAGCCAAGATCGCACCACTGCACTCCAGCCTGGGTAACAGAGCAAGACTTCGTCTCAAAAAAAAAAAAAAAAAAAAAGTGCTCCGTGGATAGACAGCCCATCCATCTCTACTCACCATCACCATAACAGGCTAAGCAGAGGCAAAACCCAATCAACCCACCCCATGGCCCCAACGGTGAGGGCTGGAGTGGACCGGCAACCCCTGCCAGCCACTGGCTCTGCCCAGTCTGGGCCAGCACACTGTGGACGAGACCTTGAACTTATATGCCTCAGGCCCAACTGGAGCTGATGATTGATAACATTGACCAAAGCCCTTCCCTTCTCCCAGCCACAGTGTGGATGTGATGGGACCCCAGCCCCAACCAGGAGGTTCTAGAAATGCTTCCTCTGCTGTAGTGAGAAAGGTAAGGTGTGTGACCTTGAGTGGCAATGTGTGAAATTAGCCCCAGGGAAGATCATAATTAGAAGAAGGAGGTGGCTGGGCACCGTGGCTCACACCTGCAATCCCAGCACTCTGGGAGGTCGAGGCAGGTGGATCACCTGAGGTGAGGAGTTTGAGACTAGCCTGACCAACATGGCGAATCCCCATCTCTACTAAAAATACAAAATTACCCGGGTGTAGTGGCGGGCATCTGTAATCCCAGCTACCTGGGAAGCTGAGGCAGGAGAATCGCTTGAACCCGGGAGGCGGAGGTTGCAGGGAGCTGAGATCGTGTCATTACACACCAGCCTGCACAACAACAGCGAAACTCCGTCAAAAAAAAAGAAGGAGGAGGAGGAGGAGGGCAGGTGCAGTGGCTCACACCTGTGATCCCAGCACTTTGGAAGGCCAAAGCAAGAGAATTGCTTGAGACCAGGAATTCGAGACCAGCCTTGGCAACATAGAGAGACCCTATCTCTACAAAATGTAAAACAAAACAAAACAAAAAAAATTGCTGGGCGTGGTGTGGTGCACCTGTGGTCCCAGCTACTTGGGAGGCTGAGGAAGGAGGATCACTTGAGCCCAGGAGATTGAAGTGAGCTATGATAGCTCCACTGCACTCCAGCCTGGGTGACAGAGCAAGACCCTGTTTCAAAAAATAAAATAAAGTAACATCCCGCAGGTGCAAATGAGACAGTAAGCAGGGCAGAGACCTGGCCGCAGAGGTTGGAGAAGACCCTATAAACAAGGAAACTGAGTCAGGCAGAGCAACCAGTGCTTCCAAGAAAGCTGGCTGAGAAAAGCCAACAGCAAAAGAATGATGTAGACGCAATGAGGCTGTTTTCTTTTCTTTCTTTTTTTTTTTTCTTCCTGAGATGGAGTCTCTCTCTATCACCCAGGCTGGAGTGCAGTGACATGATCTCGGCTTATTGGAACCTCCGCCTCCCGGGTTCAAGCGATTCTTCTGCCTCAGCCTCCTGTGTAGCTGGGATTACAGATGCGTGCCACCATGCCCAGCTAATTTTTGTATTTTTAGTAGAGACAATTTTTCACCATGTTGGCCAGGATGGTCTCAAACTCTTGACCTCGTGATCCGCCCACCTCCACCTCCCTAAGTGCTGGGATTACAGGTGTGAGCCACCGCGCCTGGCCTGAGGCTGTTTTCTTAAAGGAGAGAGATGCTGGAGTATCCTTAGGTGCTGATGGGAAAGAGCCAGTGGGGAAGAAAGATGCAATCTACAGAAGAGAGAGGATGCATGGTGAAGTGGGATTCTGAGAAACTTAGACCCAGGGAGCCAGGCCTTGAACCAGAGGAGGATCACCCAGATCTCTACCTCCTGTGAATCTCACAACACCTCAATCGTACCTTTAGCGAAGTCCTTATCTCACAGTATTGGATGATTTGTTCATTCCTCTGGCCCCTGCACACTCTCCACCACACACACACAGCACACCTGGGAGCCCCTGAAGTCCCTTATTCATCAATGTGATCCAAGCATCCGGCGCCCGGAACGTGCTATGCACTCGGCTCATTTTGATAAATGGTCCTAGTTTGAATGACAGCTATGGAAGGCAAGTCTCAGAAACATCATCAGATTCATGGGGAGTCACTTTCCTAAAGCGATGAGCTCTGCAGATAGACCAGGAGGCTGCAGCCTCTTCTCAGGAGAACTAACTCCTTCTGGCTTTGAACCCTCAGCCATTCAAAACACAGACATGCCCGTACACAGAGCTAGAGTCGGGGCAGAATGGTTAGCATCGCCTTGGACTCAAATCAATCAGCTCCACGCTTGGATGGACTAGCTAAGCCCCTCTGTCCCAGGCCTGCCCTTGCCCATATAGGAGTCTAGGGGATTCATTTCCTGTCCTGGTTGGATTCATTTCCAGCTGGAATACAGAAAAAAAGAGTAAAAATCCCCTACTCAGAATAAAGTTATCATCTCCTGATGGTTGAGGAGATGATCAACTTTGTGGTAAATCTCTTCTACAACACCAAGCCAATGTGAGATGGGGCCTTAAAACTCCACGGTCGTAGGCCAGGTGTAGGCCAGGTGTGGTGGCTTATGCCTGTAATCCCAATGCTTTGGGAGGCCAAGGTGGGAGGATCATGAGGTCAGGAGATCGAGACCATCCTGGCTAACACGATGAAATCCCATCTCTACTAAAAATACAAAAAAAAAAAAAAATTAGCCGGGTGTGGTGGTGGGCACCTGTAATTCCAGCTACTCAGGAGGCTGAGGCAGGAGAATCGCTTCAGCCCAGGAGGCAGAGGTTGTAGTGAGCACGAGATCGTGCCACTGCACTCCAGCCTGGTGACAGAGCGAGACTCCGTCTCAAAAAACAAACAACAAACAAACAAACAAACAAAAGAACTCTAGGGACAAGGCCACCTTAGGAATTGCAGGAAGGAGCCAGCCCAGAGACTAGCGGCCCTGTCCCTTGTACTGGGACAACTTCGGGTGGGATTTCCCAAGACTGCAAAGGTCCCAGGTAGCTTAGAGTAAAGGGCACCTAATTAGGAACAAAAAGATCCCTGTTCAGCCAGGCACAGTGATTCATGCCTGTAATCCCAGCACTTCGGAAGGCCAAGGTGGGAGGATCGCTTGAGGCCAAGAGTTCAAGACCAATCTAGGCAACATAGTGAAACCTCACTTTACAAAACAAAAATGAAATAAATTAAAAAATTAGCCAGGCATGGTGGCACGCATCTGTAGTCCCAGCTACTCAAGAGGCTGAGGTGGGAGGATTGCTCGAGCCCAGGAGTTCAAGGCTGCAGTGAGCTATGATCATGCCACTGCACTCCAGGCCGAGCAACAAAGTCAGACCATGTCTCCAAAAAAAAAAAAAAGACCCAGGTTTCAGTTCTACACTGGCCACTCCTTAGCTAGATGACTTGGACAAATCTCTTATTTCCTCTGCGCCTGTTTCTGCATCTACAAAATGGAAACACAACAAACTGAAAACACTTTCTAAACTATAGAGTACCATTTCTTTTTTTTTTGGAGACAGAGTTTTCACTCACATTGCCCAGGCTGGAGTGCCGTGGTGTGATCTTGGCTCACTTGGCTCACTTAGATCACTCTAACCTCCACCTTCCAGTGATTCTCCTGCCTCAGCCTCCCAAGTAGCTGGGATTACAGGCATGCACCACCACGCCCGGCTAGTTTTTTTGGATTTTTAGTAGAGACGAGGTTTCACCATGTTGGCCAGGCTGGTCTCAAACTCCTGACCTCAGGTGATCCTCCTGCCTCAACCTCTCAAAGTGCTGGAATTACAGGCGTGAGCCACTGTGCCCGGCCTAAAGTACCATTTCACAGGTGAGGAATACAGACACATTGACATGATATTGGTAAAGGTGATGAAGTCCACTATGCTGCTAGCCAGATTGAACTAACTGGTAGGACATCTACTGGTGAAATGTGACTTAAGGAATTATCCTTAAAGTATAAATCTAATGAGGCCAAGTGCCATGGCTAACCCTGTAATCCCAGCACTTCAGAAGGCCGAGCCAGGCAGATTGCTTGAGCTCAGGAGTTTAAGACCAGCCTGGCCAACATGGTGAAAGCCCATCTCTACTAAAAATACAAAATTTGCCAGGTGTGCTGGTGGGTGCCTGTAGTCCCAGCTACTTGGGAGGCTGAGGCAGGAGAATCGCTTGAACCCAGGAGGCGGAGGTTGCAATGAGCCGAGATCGTGCCATTGCTCTCCTGCTTGGGCAACAGGGTGAGACTCCATTTCAAAAAAAAAAAAAAAAAAAAGTTAAGCTATACCACAACCTAGCAAAATGATGGTTATTCATGCAATGGAATAATATCCAGCAACAAATACAAGTAAACTACACATGTATATGTAAAACATGGAAGAATCTCAAAAATGCAAGTGAAACAAACCATACACAAAAGATTATATGCTGTATGGTTCCATTTATATAAAGTTCAAGAATAGTCAAAATTGATCTATGATGATAGAAGTCAGAACAGTGCTTTCTAGTGAAACTGCCTTTGCAAAGATTATGACAGTGAGTGAAATCTGAAATAGCTGACTCCATCTTGCTTCTAACCTCACACGCTGGGGGTCTTTGCTCACTCCTGGGTAGAGGCCAAGCTGAACATGGAAGGAATTTAGCTTATAGTTTAACTTTGAAGCAAGGATGATAACACTCTCTCCCTAAAACGGATTCCTTCCTTGTTTAGGGGAGGAAACTGCCTTTGAAAGACAATGAAAGGACATGAGATTAGAATTATAGGTGCCTGAATTCTGCTAAAATGTAGACATGGTTTCTATAATCCTTTATGACACAGGAGACATGCGGCCAGAGGTCATAACATTGATGACTTCCCCAGTTGCTCCTATAGATAACTATGGTAGAACCTAAGATTGGTCTTTTGAGATATTTTTCAGACTTTTGCATGCTGGCAACTGACTGACCCCACCCGGACTCATGACTCATCACTCAACCAGTCCTGTAGCCTTGCACCCAGTGTTGGACTCAGTGCCCAAGGACCGTTTTCCACACCCCTATGATGGCATCCCCAAACAGTAAGCAGCACCCATTCCCTAGTCCCCTGCCCATTAAACTATCCTTGAAAAACCCTAACCTTCAAGCCTTCAAGGAAACTGATTTGAGTGATAACTCCAGTTCTCCCACGTGGCCGGCATCATGTTAATTAAAATACTTCTTTACTGTAATACCACGGTCTCAGCGAACTGGTTTTGTCTGGGCGGCAGGCAGGAAGAACCCACTGAGCAATTACACTGGGGTAGAGACTTTCTGGGAGCTGATGGAAATGAGTATGCATTTATCAAAACTCATCAAATTGTACATTTAACATCTGTGGGCCTGGCACAGTGGCTTACACCTAAAATCCCAGCACTTCGGGAGGCCGAGGCAGGAGGATAGATTGAAACCAGGAGTTTGAGACCAGCCTGGTCAACATAATAAGACTTGTTTTGTAAACAAGTCTTTACAAAATATATATATAATTTTTTGAGATGGAGTTTTGCTCTTGTTGCCGAGGTGGAGTGCAATGGCGTGATCTCGGCTCACCATAACCTCTGCCTCCCAAGTTCAAGCGATTCCCCTGCCTCAGCCTCCCGAGTAGCTGGGATTAGAGGCATGTGCCACCACGACCGGCTAATTTTGTATTTTTAGTAGAGACGAGGTTTCTCCATGTTGGTCAGGCTGGTCTCGAACTCCCGACCTCAGGTGATCCACCTCCCAAAGTGCTGGGATTACAGGCGTGAGACACCGCGCCCAGACAGAATTTTTTTTTTTAATTAGCTCAGCATGTTGCACACCTGTAGTCCCAGCTCCTTGGGAGGCTGAGGTAGGAGGATTGCTTGAGCCTGGGAGGTCAAGGTTGCAGTGAGCCATGATCACACCACTGCACCCCAGCCTGGGCAACAGAATGAAACCCTATCTCAAAAAAAGAGAAAATCTGTGCATTTAAGTATGTGTAAATTTTATCTCCATTAAAAAAAAAATATATATATATATATACTTACAGTAATGTTATTTAAAAATTAGAAACAATTTAAATATCTTACATTATTTAATAAAGTGTGTGTATACTCAAGTTCTACAACCACTCACAATGATATTATAGAAGGCTATCTATTGCCAAAGACAGATGTTCATGATAATTTATGTGAGAAGGAAACTTACCAGGCCAGGTGCAGTGGCTCGCGCCTGTAATCCCAGAATTTTGGGAGGCCGAGGCAGGCGGATCACCTGAGGTCAGGAGTTCGAGACCAGCCTGGCCAACATGGTAAAACCTCGTCTCTACTAAAAATACAAAACATATTAGCCAGGCCTGGTGGCGTGCACCTGCAGTCCCAGCTACTTGGGAGGCTGAGGCAGGAGAATGGTTTGAACCCAGGAGGCGGAGGTTGCAGTGAGCTGAGATCACGCCACTGCACTACAGCTTGGGTGACAGAGCTAGGCTCCATCTCAAAAAAAATTAAAAATAATAAAAATAATAAATTAGCTGGGGGTGGTGGTGCACACCTGTAATCCCAGCTACCTGGGAGGCTGAGGCAAGAGAATCGCTTGAGCCTGGGAGGCGGAGGTTGCAGTGAGCTGAGATTGCACCATTGCACTCCAGCCTGGGCTACAAGGTGAAACTCAGTCTCAAAAAAAAAAAAAAAAAGAAAAGAAAAGAAACTTACCAAACAGCATGTACAGTGCAATTAACATGCAAGCACAGAAAAAGATCTGGAGGCTTCTCACCCAAGTGAGAGGTGTAATACTACGTGTTTCTATGTTTTCTGCACTAAACATGTAGTTACTTTTGTAATAAGAAAAAACTAGGCTGCCCATGGTGGCTCATGCCTGTAATCCCAGCACTTTGGGAGGTCTAGGCAGGTGGATTGCTTGAGCCCAGGAGTTGGAGACCAGCCTGGGCAACATGGTGAAACCCCGTCTCTACAAAGATACACAAAAATTAGCCAGGTGTGGTGGTTCATGCCCGTAGTCCCAGCTACTTGGGAGGCTGAGGTGGGAGGATCACTTGGGCCTGGGAGGCGGAGGTTGCAGTGAGTGGAGATGGCACCACTGCACTCCAGCCTGGGTGACAGAGCAGAACTCTATCTCAAAAAAAAAAAAAAAAAAAGATAAAGAAAAAATTTTGTTTTAGATATTTAGTTAGACATAGATCCATATATACAATTGATGCTGGCTCACAGAATTTATGCTCTATGAAATCACCATTTACACTACCTTAGTGAATACTGAACCATTGCTTATACGGGAAATACAGGGTTAGGTCCTTTGAGCCTCTGATTTCAGGATCATCAACCCATTAATACATAACCTTGTCTTACCTGTGTTTCTGTTTAAAGGCACCTTTTAACATATTTACTGTAGATTCATTAACATTGAACTCACAGCCAACAGCACTGTAACTCATGCCTGAACGAGGCTTATCTAACACACATATTTTCTCCGCAAGGAACATCACAGCTTCTTTGCGCTTAGGGATACCAGAGAGCACTTCAGCGCTATGCCTGGGGGACATTCTAAACAACAAACCACCCCCAAAAAGGCAGAAAGATGCAAAAACTATGGTACTAAACAGACCTTGAAAAGGACACTTGGCCGGGTGCGGTGGCTCACCCCTGTAATCCCAGCACTTTGGGAGGCCGAGGTGGGTGGATCATCTGAGGTCAGGAGTTCGAGACCAACCTGACCAACATAGTGAAACCCTGTCTCTACTAAAAATACAAAAATTAGCTGGGTGTGGTGGCGGGCACCTGTAATCCCAGCTACTTGGAAGGCTGAGGCAGGAGAATCACTTGAACCTGGGAGGTTGCAGTGAGCCGAGATCATGCCATTGCACTCCAGTCTGAGCAGTAGAGCGAGACTCCATAACAAAAAAAAAAAAAAGAAAGAAAAGAAAAGGAAAGGAAAAAAAGAAAAGAACAGGACACTTCTTTGCAGTTTGAGAGGGAAACAGGGAGCCAGGGTGTCACCTGGTTTGACCTCAGTAGGAAACATGCATGTCTGGTGACTCAAAGTTTTTGCTACTGTGCCCCATATCCATGAATGACCGCTGCAAGTTATTGATTTAGGGGTTACCCATCAATTTTATCAAGGAGGTGAATTCACAAACACGAAATGTGCAATTCATTAAGATGGATCATGTATAGACATATGTAGAAAGGAAAGTATTTCCAAACCTTAGACCTGCACTCCTGGGGTGTCTAGGGAGGGAAACCCCACTGAACCACAGCAAAACCCACTGAACTGCATCTCATGGACCTGCTTGTTTCCAGAGAGGCAGGAATGAGACGCAAAAGGGAATTAATGGTGCGGGACTCACCACAACCATCTTCGGAATGTGCCCAAGACATGGGCATGGCCTTGATTTAGCCTGCTGTCTTTATTGGTTTATATTCGGGAATGTAAAATCTTTACAAGGGTTTTCAGGAGCCGATCCCAAACTCAGCCCAGGCTCAGACTCCCAGGAATTCTTCAGCTGCCAACTCCCCACTCCTGAGATGTCCAGGACCCTCAGGCACACAGCTAGAAGAGTCACTTAACCCTAAAACTTTCAGAAGGGGACACGCATCCTGAGCAAGGTGCTTGAAGCCCAGAAGGCTTCTCCACCAGGGAGGGGCTGGCAGAGGTCTGAGGCTGAGAGCATCTTGAGAGGTGCTGGAACTCATCATAATCAGTCCAAGAACTCCAGATGTTTCTGGTGAGTACAGTCACATGCCACATAACGACATTTCAGTCAACGACAGACTGCATATACGAGTGGTCTCATAAAATTTCTTTTCCTTTTTGAGACAGGGTCTCGCTCTGTCAACCAGGCTGGAGTGCAGTGGCACTATCTTAGCTCACTGCAACCTCTTCCTCCCAGGTTCAAGTGATTCTCCTGCCTCAGCCTCCTGAGTAGCTGGGGCTACGGGCACGTGCCACCACGCCCGGCTAGTTTTTCTATTTTTAGTAGAGACGGGGTTTTGCCATGTTGGCCAAGCTGGTCTCGAACTCCTGACCTCAAGTGATCCACTGCCTTGGGCTCCCAAAGTGCTGGGATTACAAACGTGAGCCACCACGTCTGCTCCCCCACCCCCATTAAAATTATAATTCTGTATTTTAGACCGGGCACAGTGGCTCACGCCTGTAATCCCAACACTTTGGGAGGCGGGGGCGGGCAGATCACTTGAGGTCAGCTTGGCCAACATGGTGAGACTCCGTCTCTACTAAAAATACAATAATTAGCCAGGCATGGTGGCAGATGCCTGTAACCCCAGGTACTTGGGAGGCTAAGACAGGAGAATCCGTTGAACCCAGGAGGCGGAGGTTGCAGTGAGCAGAGATCACACCACTGCACTTCAGCCTGGCTGACAGACAGACTCCATCTCAAAAAAAAAAATTAATAAATAATAATAATAATATATTTGTACTGTACCTTTTCTATGTGTAGATATGTTGATATACACAAATACTTACCATTATATTCCTAATGCCTCCAGAATTCAGCATAGTCACATGCTATACAGGTTTGTAGCCCAGAGCAATAGGCTAGACCATCTAGCCTAGGTGTGTAATAGGCTAGATCATCTAGGTTTCTGTAAGTACATCCTTTGGTGTTCCCATAAAGACAAATCTTCCAATGATGCATTTCTCAGAACATAGCCACATCATTAAGCCACGCATGACTGTATATTGATCATATCAATGTGGTTTATCGGATAAGAAATTTCTTCTTGAAGGGAAGTGCCAAGCCCTTGAGGGTGGACACCTTTGGAACAATTCACCAGCTCACAGTCACCCCCCTTCACTTCTGCCTCCTCTATTGAGAAAGGTGGGTCCACAGCCCCACATGAACCTACTTGGTGGTGAGGACCTCCCAGTCAGCAGGGACTGTCCTCCCACGGTCCTGCCACCTGCTGCCATGGGCTACTGTGTTTCATCCACTCAGTCTGCAAGAAGAGCTCTGCAAAATGTGGAAATAGGGCAAAAAGCTGAGGGACTAACCTTCTAGAGTCAGGCTACAGCACTATCTCATGAGCCTGCCCACGTGCCGTATGACACCCCAGGAGAATGTCACTTTGAGTTACCGCTCACTATGCATTGCAGCTCAGATTCTGCCAAGTTGGATGTTAACTCATACAAAACTGGTAAAAAGCAAATGATTTTGGCTGTGCGCGGTGGCTCACGCCTGCAATTCCAGCACTTTGGGACGCCGATGGGTGCAGATCACCTGAGGCCGGGAGTTCGAGACCAGCCTGGCCAAAATGGTGAAACCCCATCTCTACTAAAAATACAAAAAACATAGCTGGGTGTGGTGGTGGATGCCCGTAATCCCTGCTACTCAGAAGGCTGAGGTGGGACAATCGCTTGAACCCAGGAGGCTGATGTTGCAGTGAGTGGAGACTGTGCCACTGCACTCCAGCCTGGGCAACAGAGCGAGACTCCGTCAAAAAAAAAAAAAAAAAGATGCAAATGATTTCTTTTCAGTAGAGACAATAACCACAAAGCTTTTGTCTTTACTACCCCATAGGCTCAACCTTAGTGGTCTTAATTTCAGGTTCGTTTTTATATACATATATAAATTATATACTTTACGTATAATATATAATTATGTTACCAGTTCAGCATCCCAAATCAGAAAATCAGAAATCCAAAATGTTCTACTTGGCATTTCCTTTGAGCATCATGTCAGGGCTCAGAAAGTTTCAGATTTTAGAACATTTTGGATTTTGGACTAGGGATACTTAAATTGTATATAATTTATATATAATATAAATTATAATTTAAATATAACATTATATATAATTTATATAATACATACATTGTTTAAATAGAAATATAATATAAATTATAATACATAATTCACATTATAATACATAATTTACATCATATATAAATATATCTTTCATATTGTATATATTATATACAATGTATAAATTGTCTACAGTAACATATTTTATATATATTATTGAGATTATATTAATTATTGAGATATATATTACATATATATCTCAATGACTATATTATATATTTCAATTATATATTATATATTTCAACAATATATAATACGTATCATATATTTCAATAATATATATTATATGTTACTGGAATATATATTAATTATTATTAATAATTATTCAATAATATATATCAACAATTATTCAATATTATATATTATTCAATATATGAATATTTATTTGATAATATTTATTATCAATAATTAATATCTATAATTATTGATAATATATATTACTGGAATATATAAATTATTAATAACGCATTCAATATCCATATAGAATTGTATATCATTCTACATTCCATATTCATATAGACTATGGAATTCATATTCATATAGACTATGGAATTCATATTCATATAGACTATGGAATTCATATTCATATAGACTATGGAATTCATATTCATATAGAATATGGAATATAAATAATTCAATAATTCTATATTATTGAATATAGAATATATATTATTAATATATCACAATTACTATATATTATATATTTCAATAATAATATGTAATACACATATTATATATATACACACACAAAGAATTAATCTTACCCTAAAGGAGGTCTGGCCTTTGCACTTGGCTCGTGGGAGGTATTTGGAAGCCCTTGGAATGTCCAGGTTGGTCACAGTATCTGCCTACCTGGGGACCTTCGACCATGCCACACAGTCTATGCTAACGCAGGCCACATTGGATAGTTTGTGCTAACAATGTCGTTGATGAGGACATCCTTGCACCACCTGGTACCAGCTCATCTTCCAGAGGGGCTAGAATCTGAGTCAGCCATGCAGGCTGGCCATGGTCCATGTACCTAAGCCACAGTAAAATCTCTGGCTCAGATGAGCTTCCCCGGGTGGCAATATTTTGTATATACTGACACATGTCATTGCTGGGAAAGTACAGCTGTCCACAACTCCACTGGGAGGCGACAACTAGAGGTTCCATACATGAAACTCTCCTGTGCCCGGCCTGCCCCATGTGTCTCTTCCCTAGCTCATTTTAATCTGTATCTTTTTTTTTTTTTTTTGAGACTGAGTCTCACTCTGTCATCCAGGCTGGAGTACAGAGGCACAATCTAGGCTCATTGCAATCTGTGCCTCCTGGGTTCAAGCGATTCTTCTGCCTCAGCCTCCCAAGTAGCTGGGATTACAGGCGCCCACCACTATGCCCGGCTAATTTTTGGGTTTTTAGTAGAGTTGGGGTTTGATCATGTTGGTCAGGCTGGTCTCGAACTCCTGACCTCAAGTGATCCTCCCTCCTCAGCCTCCCAAAGTGCTGGGATTACAGGCATGAGCCACCACGCCCATCCTAATCTGTATCTTTTTGCTGTAATAAACCATGACCATGAGCATAATAGTTTTTAATACATTCTCTGAGTTCTTCTAGCAAGGTGTCAAACCTAAGGGTGGTCTTGGGGACCCCCAATCTACAAATACATGTGTGTGTGTATACACACATACATCAGTGATCCTCCTACCTCAGCCTCCTGAGTACCTGGGACTACAGGCACATGCCACCTCACCTGGCTAATTTTTGTATATTTTAGTAGAGACAGGGTTTCACCATGTTGCCCAGGCTGGTCTCAAACTCCTGGGCTCAAGCGATCCTCCGGCTTCAGCCTCCTGAAATGCTGGGATTACAGTCATAAGCCACCATTCCCGGCTAACATTGCTGATTTTATTGATCACTGAAACAGGCTCAGGTACTTACTTAAGGGTAAACTAATCACTTCCCTAGCAACTCTCGCCTCCTCGGCCCCTGGCAGGATCTAGATGGCAGGCCTGCTCCATCCCGTTGGGGGGACCAGATGGCTGTGTCCACAGCCGTGGCGCTGACCAGAATGGCAGGTCCAAGTCCTGGCATTGAAGGGCTCAGGCCTCCATGAGGGACCTGTGAGCTGTGGTCGTTCAACACCATAGCATTATGCCAGGGCCAGCCCACTGCTCAGAAACCTGGCATCCCCTCACCCCTTCACCTTGGAGGTCCTTCCTGCTCCTCTCCAAAGAAGGGTCCAAGTCAGCCCTGGAACCTCCAACAAGGATAGCCCAGCCTCCCCTGCCAGCATCAGGCACCTCATCAACCAGGACCAGAGGCACCTGTCGGACTCCCTGGCATCCCAGCCTTTTTCCTTCAGCTCTGCTGTGGGCCAGAGGCCCCCTGAAGCAATTGTCAGAGTCTCTATTTCTGTCAATTGCGTTATTCTTTGTAACCCAAAGAGCTCTTTAGACAGTTTACACTCAAAGCATATAGATCCTGCTATCAAATCAGTAAGTAACAAGATGACAGAGAAGAGAAGAATTTTGTCAGAAAGCGAAGGTGGGAGACAGCTACTGTTTCCAAATACAAAACTGACCCCTCCAGCCGGGAGAGGTGGTTCACACCTGTAATCCCAGCACTTTGGGAGGCTAAGGTGGGAGGATCGCTTGATCCAAGGAGTTCGAGACAGCCTGAGCAACAATGCAAGACCCGTCTCTAAAAATCATACAAAAAAATAGCTAGGTATGGTGGTGCACACCTACAGTCCCAACTGCACAGGAGGGTGAAGTGGGAGGATCAATTGAGCCCAGGAGTTCGAGGCTGCAGTGAGCCATGATCATGTCACTCCACTCTAGCCTGGGCAACAGAGTGAGACCTTGTCTCAAAAAAAAAAAAGAAAAAGAAGAAAAATCTGACCGCTGAGCCTCAGCCTCCAGACCCATCCAGCCATGCTGGGGAACAAGGTGGGCTGCAAACTTGTTCATTAGGCAGGACTCAATTTCCCTGGCCAGCAGTGAAGGGGGATTTGCTCTGTCTGCCACTGCTGGCCCACCTAAGTGCTGTTATGTGACCCTCTCAGGCTCCAGAGCCAGGCTGAGCCCAGGCCCCCGGGCTAAACACCAACAGGGCAGAAAGGCAGAAAGCAGCTGGGTGAACGTCTATCTGCAGCTACCGGTCAGCTTCTCTGTCTCAGTCTACAAAATACGTGGCCTCAAGGCTGGTGGGACCTCATCCGCATTTGCTCAGAGCCCAGATATCCAACTCTGCCTGCCCCAGGGGTTCTGGGTGCATCGGAGCCAAAAGTGGAAGAAACCGGCTAGAAATCAAATCCCTTCCCCTGGCACCAGTGCTGTTTTTGGCTTCTGTATTCCACTACCCAACCAGTGCAAACTAGGACCTGCCTCGGTGCCCACGGGCAGGGCGGGCAGCTTCATCCTGGTTTGGCCAGGCCGATACAGAACATTTGCTTCAGAGGCGATTGGGAAAAGGAAAGGATTTCAAGCTACGGAGGAAAGGAAAGCTGCTTGCAGGAGGAGGCCAGAGAAGGGAGAAACTCCAGCCTGGCCCACGCCTGGCCCCCTGCAGCCCAAGTGCCTGCCAACTTACCCTCATCACAGTTGCTCCCGGTGAAGCCAGGGCAGCATCTCCACTCCAGCACCGTCACCGTGCGGTAGGACACTCTGTAGGTGGGTCTGATCAGAGTCCTGTAACTAACACACAGACAGCGTCAGGGGGGCATGAGCTCCCACCCACCCACCTCCAGACCCCACTGCTGCAAAGATGGGCCAGGCTGTTTTGCCCAGCCAGGGCTCCGGGAGGCCCCCATGGCGTGGAAACCACTGCCGGGGTCCGTGTTCACTGGCTGTGCAAATGCCTTTGCAAAAATCATAACGGAGGAAGTTATGACAACGAAAGAGATCAGACCTAACTGACTCCATCTTGCTTCTAACTTTAGGCTGTCCTCCTTCATTCCTGGGAGTAGGCCGAACTAATCTTGGGAAGAAATTTAGTTTATGGTTTGACTCTGAAACAAAATTGATAATATCTCTTTCCCAAAAAGACCCCCTTCTTACCTGGGTACCAGTCTGCCTTTGTAGGACTAATAAATTAGCTACAGGATTAGAAATTATGGTTTACGGGGTCATGCAGCCTATGGCTGCAAGAGTCTGAACCTCCCCAAATTGCTCCTGGAGATAACATCGCCATTATAAAACCTAAGATCAGTGCTTGAGATATTTCGCAGACCCTGTCCTCGATGGATCAGCTGATACCACCCAGACCTGTAATCTGGCTTGAGCAGTGCTATGATCCCATCCAGAAACAGAAGACAGCAAGAAAACCTCACTTCGACCCCCTACGATTCCATCTCCAACCTGACCAGTCACCACTCCCCAACTTCCGAGCCTCTACCCACCAAATTGTCTTTAAAAACTCCATCCTGAATGCTCAGGAGACTGATTTGAGTGATAAAAACCTCCAGTCTCCCATACAGCCGGCTCTGTGTAAATTACTCTTTCTCTCTCTCTCTCTTTTTTTTTTTTTTAGTTGAGACAGAGTCTCACTCTGTTGCCCAGGCTGTAGTGCAGTGGCGCGATCTGGGCTCACTGCAACCTCTGCCTCCCAGGTTCAAGCGATTCTCCTGCCTCAGCCTCCGGAGTAGCTGAGATTATAGGTGTGTGCCACCAGGCCCAGCTAATTTTTGTATTTTTGGTAGAGACAGGGTTTCACCATGTTTGTGAGGCTGCTCTCGAACTCCTGGCCTCAAGTGATCCACCCACCTCAGCCTTCCAAAGTGCTGCGATTACAGGAGCAAGCCATGGCACCCGGCCATCTTTCTCTATTGCAATTCCCCTGTCTTGATAAATCAGCTGTGTCTAAGCAGCAGGCAAGGTGAACCCCTTGGGCAGTGACAGCTGTGTGACCCTGCACAAGTCGCCATCCCTCTCTGTATCAGCTGTGATCTAAACGTGGATGGAACTGGAGGCTGTTATCTTACATGAACCACCCAGGCACAGAAAGACAAATACCATATGTTCTCTAAGAGGGAGGTAAACAATGTGTACACAATGGAGACATGGAAAGGGATGGGTAGGTAATGAATGCAATGTATGTGATAGGGTTTGGATATTTGTCCAAACTCCAGATCTCAGGTTGAAATGTAATTCCCAGCATTAGGTGAAGCCTGGTAGGAGGTGATTAGATCAGGGGACAGACCTCTCATGAATGGTCTAGCACCATCCCCTTGGTGATAAGTGGGTTCTGGCTCTCAGTTCACGTGACATCTGGTTATTTAAAATGGTGTGGCGCCTCCCCCATCACTGTCTTTTTTTTTTTTTTTTTTTTTTTTGAGACGGAGTCTTGCTCTGTCATCAGGCTGGAATTCAGTGGCGCGATCTCGGCTCACTGCAACCTCCGCCTCCCAGATTCAAGCGATTCTCCTGCCTCAGCCTCCCAAGTAGCTGGGATTACAGGCACATGCCACCACTCTCAGCTAATTTTTGTACTTTTAGTAGAGACAGGGTTTCACCTTGTTGGCCAGGATGCTCTTGATCTCCTGACCTCGTGATCCGCCCACCTCGGCCTCCCAAAGCGCTGCGATTACAGACATGGGCCACCGCGCCTGGTGCCCCCTCACTCTCTTTTTTTTTTTTTTTTTTTTTTTGAGACGGAGTCTCGCTCTGTCGCCCAGGCTGGAGTGCAGTGGCGGGATCTCGGCTCACTGCAAGCTCCGCCTCCCGGGTTCACGCCATTCTCCTGCCTCAGCCTCCCAAGCAGCTGGGACTACAGGCGCCCGCCACCACGCCCGGCCAATTTTTTTGTATTTTTAGCAGAGACGGGGTTTCACCGTTTTAGCCGGGATGGTCTCGATCTCCTGACCTCGTGATCCGCCCGCCTCGGCCTCCCAAAGTGCTGGGATTACAGGCGTGAGCCACCGCGCCCGGCCCCCTCACTCTCTTAATCCCAATTTGCCTTCAGCCGTGAATGAAAGTTTCCAGAGACCTCCCCAGAAGCCAAGGAGATGCCGGCACCATGCTTGTAAACCTGCAGAACTGTGAGCCAAATTAAACTTTTCTTTATAAATTACCCAGTCTCCGGTATTTCTTTATAGCAACACAAGAACAGTCTAATACAGTACATTATGTGGGTGATGGATTTCCTAAGAGCCCTGACTTCACCACTGTGCAATATATCGGTTGCACTTGTAACCCATAAATTTAAACAAACAAAAAATAATAGTAAACATAAAGTACCTGGCCAGGCATGGTGGCTCACGCCTGTAATCCCAGCACTTTGGGAGGCCGAGGTGGGTGAATCATCTGAGGTCAGGAGTTCGAGACCAGCCTGGCCAACATGGTGAAACCCTGTCTCTACTAAAAATACAAAAATTAGCCAGGCATGATGGCAGGCACCTGTAGTCCCAGCTACTCAGGAGGCTGAGGCAGAATAGCTTGAACCTGGGAGGTGGAGGTTGCAGTGAGCCGAGATCATGCCACTGCACTCCAGCCTGTGTGAAAGAGTGAGACTCCATCTCAAAAAAAATAAACAAACAAAATAAAATAAAATAAAAAATAAAGTCCCCTCTAGCTCTGCCATTGTACAACTCTCCAAGTGTGGCCACCTGTGAGGGGAAAGTGTCCTGAACACTGAACACTGACCAAGATGATAAAGAAAGAAAAGGGGCCAGGCACGGTGGCTCACGCGTGTAATTCCAGCACTTTGGGAGGCCGAGGTGGGCGGATCACCTGAGGTCGGGAGTTCAAGACCAGCCTGCCCAACATGGAGAAACCCCATCTCTACTAAAAATACAAAAATTAGCTGGGTGTGGTGGCGCATGCCTGCAATCCCAGCTACTCGGGAGGTTGACGCAGGAGAATCATTTGAACCCAGGAGGCGGAGTTGCGGTGAGTGGAGATCACGCCACTGCACTCCAGACTGGGCAACAAGAGTGAAACTCTGTCTCAAAAAAAAAAAAAAAGAAGAAAGGAAGGAAGGAAAGGAAGGAAGAAAGAAATTAGCAGGACCTGCAAAATTTTCAACTATCATCTACTCTGACCTTTTTCCCAATTATAATTTCTTTTGGTTGATTCACCAACAATAAACCCAAAGTGGGTTTATTGAACACCCACTTTGTGCTATATTGCGGTCATAGATTTATAAAACTGTGTCATCATCCTGAGAAGAGCGAGACACTTCAATGAAGAAAACTTGGCATACACGGCCAGGAGTAGGGGTTACACCTGTAGTCCTAGCACTTTGGGAGGCCGAGGCAGGAGGATTGCTTGAAGTCAGAAGTTCGAGACCAGCCTGGGCAATATACCAAGATGCTGTCTCTACAAAAAATAAAAATAAAAAAATTAGCCCGGCATAGTTGTGCACACCTGTAGTCCCAGCTACTTGGGAGGCTGAGGTGGGAGGGTCACTGGAGCCCAGGAGTTTTGAGGCTACAGTGAGCATGATCGAACCACTGCACTTAGCCTGGGCAACAGAGCAAGACCCTGTCTCTGAAAAAAAAAAAAAAAAGAAAAGAAAAAGGAAAAGAAAAAACTTGGAATACAGTAGTGGGACTCTTGCAGGAATTAAAAAAAAAAATTCTTGCAAAATGCTGTGAATCCCATCGTAAAGTTTCACACTCCCACAGTTTCGAAATTTTTCTTACACATAAGTTGGATGCTTTTTTGTCACACTCCAAGAATCGCGAATATAAAATGCATGACCAAATTTCATAAGGGAGACACATTCAGCTTTTATTATTCACTTTACGTGCATTGTCATAACTGCTGCTTGATCAAGTTTGCACAATGTCCCCCTGAAGACAAAACTACATAACTTCACAAAATTTAAATCTGCTGACATCGAGCAACTTAATCGGTGAATGAAACAATCATGAATTAATTGGTAGCAGCAGGCGCGACGTTTGGAGACGCACTGTTGACAGGAAAACACACGAGTGGAGAACTGGATTTCAGAAGTACAGCTCTGAATCTGAAAAATCCTGTTACGCTCATTTCTTTTTTAAAAAAGCAAAAACCTGCACTCGTGTTTCATAAACATTCCAGCAAACCAGTTTCCCCCTGGAGATCTGGGGGTAGCGTGGTTGTGTGCAGCTGGGACAGGAGGTAGGAGATGACCAGGAGAGGTGCCCACAGCTGTGAGCTGGAGAGCAAAGCCCCCAGCTTTTGGGAGCAACTGGGCAATCCAGTGCAGGATGGGGGGTTGGAAAGAGGTGGCAGAGCCTTAGTTCCAAGGTCACCCCTCCTTACAGCAAGTGACTCTGGTATGCGATGATGAGTACAAATACACGATTTTCACAATAAACACACACTCACATACATGCACACACATTCACATACCCATGTGAGGACACACGTGCCCTCACACACTCTCACACCTTCACACGCTTGCACAAACTTACTTGCAAGCTCTCACAAACTAACACATACGCACACCCTCACACAGTCACACACTCATTTGCTCTCTCACACTCGTGTGCACACTCGTGCTTGCACACTCGCACAAACACACTCGTGCACACTTCCACACACGCACTCACACAAACACGTGCTCAGCACCCTCAGACTCACTCATGCACACTCACAGTCACACACTTGTACGCAATTATGTACACACACATGCACCTATTCACACGCTTGGATAAACACACACTCAGCCTCACACTAACACACTAAACACGCTCACATACCTGAGGACTAACCTCTGACCGTTTTCTTCTCTTGCCCAGATTCCTATCTAAGGAGCCTGGGGAGTCACGCCTTTCAAACCACAAAGCCTCATCACACAGGTTCTATTTTAACCCTATATGATGTGGCTGGCTTTCCAACCAGGCTCTAGCATAACATCGCATGGCAGATAAGGAAGGAAATCAAAATATTTCAACCCCAAATATGTTTCTATGCCATATCTTTTGTTCTGTTTTTAGACAGAGTCTGCTGCAGCAGGGGAATTCCTTGAACCCGGGAGGCGGAGGTTGCAGTGAGCCGAGATCGTGCCACTGCACTCCAATCTGGGTGACAGAGCAAGACTCTGTCTCAAAAAAAAAAAAAAAGAAAGACCTAGAAAAACAGAAAGGGCTCACAACCCTCTTGCTGCCGCAGATCTGCCAGCCGAAAGCAGGCCCAGCTTGGACAGAGGAGAGCTTTTGTTTAGATTAAAAATGGCAGTTTTAAAATTAATTCCTGAAATGGTCTTCCGACTACGAGAGACCAGAAAAACTACAGAGTCCACCCAGGGCCCGGGGCAGGCGCAAGGGCCAAGCTGCTGTTGTTTGCACCCTGCTGAGCACAGCTGATGCCAAAAAATCAGGTCCCTCCCTTAACCTCTGCACGATGGGATCAATGGAGCCCTGGGCTCAGGAGTGCAAGCCTGGCATTTGGGCTCTGTCCCTAATTCACTATACAACATTGCACAGGTACCTAAACCTCTCTGAGCCTGTTTCCTGGTCTGTATGATGAGGATACCAGGGAGACCAGGATGCCTGGTGTAAGGCTGTGAGTGCAGGAGGGGTGCATGGATGCTGGGTTTGCAAAATACAGACCTGACCTCATTCCTCCCAACCCACACCCTTCGGCCGTCCCCACTGTCATCAGGAGAGAGTCCGGGCTGCTGAGCCAAATGTGCTGGCCCTCCTCCACCTCACACAGACACCTCTGGCCCTCACCCACCAGGCGGGAGCCCTCCAGATGCACCAGACACTCTCACTTCAATCCACACTTGGAATGATGAAGATGGTCATGAGAACAATAAAAGTAGGTATGATAGGCCGGGCACGGTGGCTCACGCCTGTAATCCCAACACTTTGGGAGGCTGAGGCAGGTGGATCATTTGAGGCCAGGAGTTCGAGACCAGCCTGGCCAACATGGTGAAACCCCATCTCTACTAAAAACACACACACAAAAAATAGCCGGGCATGGTGGTGGGCGCCTGTAATCCCAGCTACTCAGGAGGCTGAGGCACAAGAATCGCTTAAACCTGGGAGACACAGATAGAAGTGAGCTGAGATTGCACCACTGCACTCCAGTCTGGGTGACAGAGGGAGACTCTGTCTTAAAAAATATATAAATATAATAGTAGCTTCAATTGCAGACTCACAGTGTACTGAGTGGTTTACATAAGCTGACTGAGAACAACAGAGGCCATTATTCCCAGTTTACAGACAAGGAAACTGAGGCACAAAGAGGTTAAGCAACTTTGTCAAGGTGGTGGAACTGGGATCTGAACCCAGGCAGAATTGGTTCCAGAGCCCAGTAATACTAATTTGTGTTCGTTCAGTACAGGCAAAGGTTTTCCCTCTCATCTACACACAGGGACTGATCTCGGGCCCCTGATTCAGAAACTGAGCTCATCCCTCTGGAGATGCTCTTTTCTTTTTTCTTTTTCTTTCTTTCTTTTTTTTTTTTTTTGAGACGGAGTCTCTCTCTGTCGCCAGGCTGGAGTGCAGTGGCGCAATCGTGGCTCACTGCAACTTCTGTGTCCCGGGTTCAAGCAATTCTCCTGCCTCAGCCTCCCAAGTAGCTGCAATTACAGGAGTAATTTTGTATTTTTAACCTAATTTTAGCTAATTTTGGTATTTTTTGTAGAGACAGGGTTTCACCATGTCGGCCAGGCTGGCCTCGAACTCCTGACCTCAGGTGATCTGCCTGTCTTGGCCTCCCAAAGTGCTGGGATTACAGGCATGAGCCACCGCTCCTGGCCACAGTCTTTCTTGGCCCCTCATTCTGAATTCCATGGGCTTGGCCCATGCCACTCTGGAACCTGATGGCTGCCAAGTCCAGGCGTGGGGCACACCAGTAGGTGGCACTGTGTCACCATCCCAACCGGCCAAGACTCAGCTTGGTAGCCCCCCTGAGTCTCACCTGAATGCCCAAGACAGGTTCCACATTTGTGGCCCATTTCCCCAGTCTTGGAAAAAAACCCGAGGGAGGCTGGCCTCCTGTCCCCATGAAGAATTGCCAGCCCCTGCCGCTAGGGTCCAGTTGGGCAAACTTTCTTTTTTTGTTGTTTTTTTGTTTTGAGACAGAGTCTCGCTCTGTTGCCCCGGCTGGAGTGTAGTGACGCGATCTCAGCTCCCTGCAGCCTTCACCTCCCGGGTTCAAGCGATTCTCCTGCCTCAGCCTCCTGAGTAGCTGGGATTACAGGCGCACACCACCACACCTGGCTAATTTTTGTATTTTCAGTAGAAATGGGGTTTCACCATGTTGGCCAGGTTGGTCTTGAACTCCTGACCTCAGGTGATCTGCCCACTTTGACCTCCCAAAGTGCTGGGATTACAGGCGTGAGCCACTGCCCCTGGCCTAGGCAAACTTTCTAAAATGCAGATCCAGTTTAGGGACTGCCCTCCCTCAAAAACAGGGTGTACATATTTTATTTAACCTCTGTCAGCCTTAAGGCCGCACTCAGTTGAGGACACCAGGCTCCAAGAGGGAACTCATCTTCCTCAAGGCTCCCTGCAGAGTCCCCAGCCACATGGTAGTGTCAACTTTGCTGCTTGGTGGGAACATTAAGGGCCAATAACAAGGTCCCGGCCAGGTGCCACACAGCTCTGGAGCGGGGTGTTGTCCCTCCTACCCCTAAGACTTTAACAACTCTTAGATTTTGGAGGCAAAAACAAGATTGGCCTCTGATGCCTGGATTCTCCCCAAGGTGGAGCAGCCCCATCCATCCATGACTTCCAGTGGTCACCAAGTCCACTCTATGGCCCACGGGCTCTGCCTGCTTTGATCTGGTGTCCTCCCTGGCCTCGCAGGTGACTTTGTTTTCCAGCCACACTGGTCTTCTCACAAATCTCCAGCACACCAGTTTCCTTACCTCTTTTTTTTTTTTTTCAGACGGAGTCTCACCCTGTCGCCCAGGCTGGAGTGCAGTGGCACAATCTCGGCTCACTGCAACCTCCGCCTCCTGGGTTCAAGTGATTCTCCTGCCTGAGCCTCTCGAGTAGCTGGGATTACAGGTGCGCACCACCACTCCTGGCTAATTTTTGTATTTTTAGTAGAGACGGGGTTTCACCCTATTGCCCTCTGAGGGGCTGGTCTTTCTTGTCTCTCTCTCTTTCTGTCTCTCTCTAGGTCACCTCCTCCAGGAAGCCTTTCTAAGGTCTCCCACCACATCTGCCCAGCACCCAGGAGGTACATATCACTATCAATCGACTGACTAGGGATCTGGCTCTCCTGGGTCTGTTGGCACCCCTTCAGGATGCAGAGCTGAGGCTTTTCCTGGGTATTACATTCAGCCTGGTGTGGGTCCAAACAAACCCCAAGGTGGGGTGGTCCTCCTAGAGTCTGTCTGCCAAAACCACCAGACTCCAGGAATGAGCTGAAGGTGGGCGAGCCCCTCACTGGTCCCTGGAAAATGTTCTACATGCCCATTTTAAGGATGGCAAAATCAGCTCAGGAAAGAAAGGGGGCTGGGCGCTGTGGCTCACGCCTGTAATCCCAGCAATTTGGGAGGCCCAGACGGGTGGATCGTCTTGGAGTTCGAGACCAGCCTGACAAACATGGTGAAACCCCATCTCTACTAAAAATCTCTACTAAAAATACAAAAATTAGCCAGGCGTGGTTGTGCACGCCTGTGATCCCAGCTACTTGGGAGGCTGAGGCAGGAGAATTGCTTGAACCCGAGAGGCGGAAGTTACAGTGAGCTGAGATCACACCACTGCACTCCAGCCTGGACCGCAAGATTGAGACTGTCTAAAAAAAATACAAAAAGAAAAGAAAGGGGAACTTAAGGGGGCTGTAGCCACTGAATGCCTGCGTACTCGGCCCACTCACACCTGAGAGTATTACTGTCCCATTTTATGGATGAAAACACTGAGTCCACCAGAGACTGTGCGGCAGGTAGGTGCAGAGCTGGACTTGGTCCACACCAACAGAAAGTGGAGGAGCCAGCCCTGAACCTTCACCCCACCCTTGACTGCATATACCCCATCTTTCCACATATACCCCATCTGCCTCCCTCCCTCTCTGGTTCTCCCAAGTGATGCTTTTTTGTTGTTTGTTTTTACTGTTGTTTATTTTTTTTTGAGACGGAGTCTCGCTCTGTTGCCCAGGCTGGAGTGCAATGGCACAATCTCGGCTCACTGCAGCCTCCACCTTCCAGGTTTAAGTGATTCTCCTGCCTCAGTCTCCCGAGTAGCTAGGATTACAGGCATGCACCACCACGCCTGGCTAATTTTGTATTTTTAGTAGATATGCGGTTTCTCCATGTTGGTTAGCCTGGTCTCCAACTCCCGACCTCAGGTGATCCGCCCGCCTCGGCTTCCCAGACTGTTAGGATTACAGGCATGAGCCACCTCGCCCAGCTCCAAGTGACGTTTTTAAAGCAGAAATGTCCTTGAACCTCTCCTAGCTTTTCTTCAATCTCAGGACAAGGCCAGGCACAGTGGCTCATGCCTGTAATCCCAACACTTCGGGAGGCCAAGGCAGGAGGATCACCTGAAGCCAGGAGTTCAAGACCAACCTGAGCAACATAGCAAGACCCCCATTTCTACCAAAAATTTAAAAATTAGCCAGGCATAGTGGTGCATGCCTGTAGTCCCCACGTACTTGGGAGGCTGAGGTGGGAAGATTGCTTGAGTCCAGGAGTTTTAGACCAACCTGAGAAACATAGCCAGACCCCGTCTCTTAAAAAAAAAAAAAAAATTAGTGGGGTGTAGTGGCACGTGCCTGTAGTTTCAGCTATTTGGGAGGCTAAGGCAGGAGGATCACTTGAGTCCAGGAGTTTGAGCTTGCAGCGAGCTGTGAATGTACCACTGCACTCCAGCCTGGGCAACAGAGTGAGGCCCTGTCTCTTAAAAGAAAAAAAATCTTAGGACAATACCCAAATCCTAAGCCTAACCTTGTGGACTTCTGCCATCTGGCTACTGTATACCTTGGCCATCCCTCCTCCTCTCCTTGGCCACCAGCTCCTCCCCGCCCCCATTCAGAACTCCGCCCGATTCAGAATTCCACCAGCATTCAGAACTCCGCCCCCATTCGGAACTCCGCCCCCCATTCGGAACTCCGCCCCCATTCAGGACTCCACTGGCCCTGTGTGCATGTGCTCTGTCTCTGCCCAAGTCATGCAGCCTCCCAGAGCTCAGTGAAAGTGCTGCCTCCTCTTAGAAGCCCACCCTGACTAGCCCACACTCGGTCCCTTCCACCCTACAGCAAGCTGGGCCTCTTCAATCTACACCCTCAAAGTACCCAGACTTCTCTTCTAAGCACTTATGATTGTACACCCATGTATGTAATTATTTGTCTGACATCCTTCTCCACGGAGCCACTGGCTACACCGCCTGCCTAGCTTAGAGCGAGGCACATCGTCTGCACCCAGTGAAGACTGGTGGAAAGAACGAAGCATTCAACGAACAGGGTGCCTGGATGCAGTCTCAGTCTGGGAGTGGCTCAAGCCTGTAATCCCAGCACTTTGGGAGGTCAAGGCGGGCGGATCACCTGAGGTCAGGAATTCGAGACCAGCCTGGCCAACATGGTGAAACCGTCACAACTGAAAATACAAAAATTAGCCAGGCATGGTTGTGCACACCTGGAATCCCAGCTACTCAGGGGGCTGAGGCAGGAGAATTGCTTGAAATCAGGAGGTGGAGGTTGCAGTGAGCAGAGATTGTGCCACTGCACTCCAGCCTGGGGGACAGAGTGAGACTCTGTCTCAAAAAAAAAAAAAATGAAATGCTGGTGGGGAGGGCTCCCCGGAGAAATGAGGTCCCCATCACTGGAGGTGAGTAAGCAGAGGTCTTGGCTCTCTGGTCTCCAAAGTGGATGTGGCCCAAAGCGTCACGAAGTCCTGCCTCGGGTGCGGGGGGACATTGCACCATCCAGGGATCGCCTGCTCAGAATGACTCTGCCAGCCCAGAACCTTGCCTGGGGGAGCCAGATGCCCCTCCCTCACTGGGCACGTACCCCTTCTCAGCCTCCATGCCTGCCCGCCCCCGACTCCTCCCCTGGCCTCCACTTCCTCACTAGGAACCCCCACGAGGGGAGAAACAGACTGGGAGGTTCCGAGTCAGGCTGGAGACTCAACAGGAAACGAGAGTGGAGGTTTCAGAGCGGGAGGCAGGGGATTATTAATCTCTTGATTAATAGCTGCAGGCCAGCGGGGAGGGGAAAGGGGCTTCCCACTGCATTTCTGAGGCCTCCAGCCTCCCCAGAATCCAAGCTAGACGTTCCCGAGAGCCAGACGGAATGGACAGTGGGCCCAGTGGGCAGGGTCTTCTGCCAAACCTCACCTCACCCTCTGGCCCAGGGTCACAGTCCACCTGGGGGCGGTGCGGGGTGGTGCAGTGGATGCAGCCCAGACAGGCCCCCACTGCTTGGGGTGGGCAGCCATGGTGAGCTTCTCAACCCAAACAGTCCCGCTAAGGAGGAGAGGCAGGGAAGAAAGAGCATGTTTTAAGAAAGCACTTCAATCCAGGACTTTGTGTTGCCTTGCGGGCATCCATCCTGAACAGCAGGCGACCCAACCAGAGGGGGGAGGCTGGCGGGCAGGGGGCCGTCTGGCAGAGGGGAATGAAGGAGGCAGATGAAGCCCCGGAGAGTTCCGGCAAATCCCTCTGCTCAGCACATCTGGAAAAGGTTGGCTCTAATGCCATCAAAGGACTCCGAGGGGCCTGGGAGACAGCCAAGGGCAGGGGAAGCCCGGCCGAAGAAAACTTAACCCCCCGAGTCCCTGGGACTTGTCCTTCTAAGTCTATCAGGCCCCAGAGCCCCAGCCCGTCCCAGCCAGCAGCCAACCGAGGGGTTTAGGAGGGGACTAGGGTGGTGTCAGTGACACCCAATGTCCGTGACGCCCAACGTCCCCACTGCAATGAACAGAGCCCAGCCGGGGCTGTGATCCACTCCAGAGGAAGGTGGGGGGGTTCTATTTCCCAGGATGGGAAACTGAGGCACGGAGGAGGGAAGCATGGTTTGTCTGTCTGCCTTTGAGTCCCCGACCCTGGCAATAAAGTCACCCAGTCCAGTCCAGCCTCCCAGCCAGCAGGGAGGGGGTTGGCCCAGGGTGTCTGCCTCCAGCCAGGGGCTTCCTCCAGGGGCGACTACATGGCCTGAACAGCTGTCTTCTTTTTTTATTGAGATGGAGTCTCGCTGTGGCCCAGGCTGGAGTGCAGTGGCACAATCTCAGCTCACTGCAACCTCTGCCTCCCGGGTTTGAGCACGTCTTCTGTCTCAGCCTCCTGAGTAGCTAGGAGCAACCGCCATCACACCTGGCTAATTTTTGTATTTCTAGTAGAGACAGGGTTTCACTATGTTGGCCAGGCTGGTCTCGAACTCCTGATCTCAGGTGATCTGCCTGCCTCAGCCTCCCAAAGTGCTAGGATTACAGGCGTGAGCCACCACGCCCAACCCTGAACAGAGCTCTTTCCTCCTCACCAGCATCTCTTCCCCTAGTGAAATCTCCTAGTCCCCCAGGTCTCTGCTAAATGTCACTCCCAAGGGAAACCCACGGACCAGGTCTCCCTCCAATGCTGTGAATCTTTGAACATGTCCTCCCCGCATCAACCCTGTACACACGAGGAGAGGATCGTGTTCTCTCTACACACTAGTTCCTGGCCCTTCACTGCTCAGACAACATTGAATGAACAATTGAATAGATGAACACATGATCTGCAAAACCCCAGGTAAGGTCACTGTCCCCAGTACACCCAACCGGAGCAGGCAGGTGCCTGCATTCTTGTCCACATCATGCTGTTGACTGGGCACCCTGCCTCGCACCCTGTCCCCATGCTCACTAGTGAGCGTTAGTTTTGAGTGCCGCCTTCTCTCCTCACCAACACACTCACTCACACACAATACAACATTCTAATATTATTAAAAAAAAAAAAATCAGGCCAGGCGCAGTGGCTCACACCTATAATCTCAGCACTTTGAGAGATAGAGGCGGGAGGATCACTTGCGTTCAGGAGTTCAAGACCAGCCTGGGCAACACAGTGAGACCCTGTCTCTACAAAAAATAAGAACAAAAAGAAATTAACCAAGCGTGGTGGCGTGTGCCTGTAGTCCCAGCTACTCGGGAGGCTGAGATGGGAGGACCACTGGAGACCAGGAGTTGGAGGCTGCAGTGAGCCATGATTGTGCCATTGCACTCCAGCCTGGGCAACAGAGCAAGACCCTGTCTCTACAAAGACAAAGAGAAAGAGAGAGACAGGAGGGAGGGAGGAAGGGAAAAAGAGAGAGAGGTGGGGCGGGAGAGAGAGAGAGAGAGAAGGAAGGAAGGAAGGGGAGAGAAAGAACGAGAGAGAAAGAGAGACAGAGAAAGAAGAAAGAAAGAAAGAAAAAGAAAGAAAGCAGAAAGAAAGAGGGAGGGAGGGAGGGAGGGAGGGAGGGAGGGAGGGAGGGAGGGAGGGAAGGGAAGGGAGTAATCACCAGATGGGAAAATCCACAAAGAAAATGGTTGTATTACAGATACCTATTTTCCTTTCATCTCACAAGAAGATGAACGCATTCATTTAATGAACATTGTTGAGCACCTCAATGTGCTGGTCCATGTAGTAAAGTCCTGGGAATAATGAGATGAGGACAGAGCATCCTGCCTTCAAGGCACTCCTGGGTTGGTGGGAAGAGTCAGCCTGGAAATCACTTTCAGTGTTCTGTGGATCCCCCTGCGTGGGCACCCCTGCTGTGGCCTTCCCTCCTGTTGCTGCTCTGACAGGGCCCCCCTCTTTCTCCGAGCCACCCTGCTCGGCTTCTCCAGCATTGGTCCCTGCAGCTGTCCTTTCCCCGCCTGCCCCAGCCTTTCTCCCCTTTCTGAGGATCATTCTCAGTGGTTTATAAGCATCACTGCCCAAAAACTGCATTTGCCAGGGTCTCCAGTGACCCCAAACCCAATGATTACTCCTCTGCCCTCATCCTATGGGGTGTCTCAGAAGCATCTGGGACAGTGCATTCTCTGTTCCACCCTCCCTCTGGAAACACCTCCCAGGACACCAGGAGGACACCTGCCTCCCCTCCTAAGCCCCACCTGTAAGGCTGGGATGCACAGGACTCTTCTGAGGCCAGTATCCCTTCTCCATTTATTCATCTCCATGGTCACCTCCAGTCCCACAACTTTATTTATTTATTTTTTGATGCAGGGTCTGGCTCTGGTTGCTCAGGCTGGAGTGCAGTGGTATGATCTTGGTTCACTACAACTTCTACCTTATGTGCTCAAGCAATCCTCCCATCTCAGCCTCCCAAGTAACTTGGATTACAGGTGGCCACCACCATGCCCAACTAATTTTTTCTGTTTTTAGTGGAAACGGGGTTTCACTATGTTGCCCAGGCTGGTCTCAAACTTCTGGCCTCAAGCGATCCACCCATCTCAGCCTCCCGAAGTGTTGGGATTACAGGAGTGAGCCACCACGTCCGGTCCAGTGGCATTCTTAACCATAATAAAAGAATGCACTTCTTCACCAGATACAGTGGCTTACGCCTGTAATCCCAGCACTTTGGGAGGCCGAGGCGGGTGGGTCACCTGAGGTCAGGAGTTCGAGACCAGCCTGACCAATATGGCGAAACCCTGTCTCTACTAAAAATACAAAATTAGCCAGGTGTGGTGGCAAATACCTCTAATCCCAGCTACTAGGGAGGCTGAGGTAGGAGAATCGGTTGAACCCAGAAGGCAGAGGTTGCAGTAAGCTGAGATCATGCCATTGCACTCCAGCCTGGGCAACAAGAGTGAAACTCCATCTCAAAAAAACAAACAAAAAAAAAGAATGCACTTTTTACTACCAATGGCATCTTAGGATCTCTGAGATATAATCTGCCTCTCGCTCTGGCTTCTTCCTGGGACTCAGCCTCCTACTTGATACCCTTTCCCTATGGATGGCTTGCAGGCAACTCAACTCAGCCAAAGCACAGCTGCCGGCTCCCACCTCTCATGCCTGACATCCTCCCAGTGTCCCCATCTCAATAAATGGCATGCCCTGCCAGCCAACTGCTCAAGCCAGGAATTTAGGGTAGTCCCTGATTGCTCCCTGCCATTAAGGGACCAGACATTCCTGTCATCTCAGCTTCCAGAATACCTCCTGGATCCACCCACTCCTCTTCATGTCCTCAGATATCCCCCTAGCATGAGCCACCATCATCTCATGCCGGGTCAATGTCCATTCTTCCCACAGCAGCCAGGGATCTCTTCAAAACCTAAATCAGGATGGACATGGTGGCTCATGCCTGTAATCCCAGCACTTTGGGAAGCTGAAGCGGGTGGATCACCTGAGGTCAGGAGTTTGAGACCAGCCTAACCAACATGGAGAAACCCTGTCTCTACTAAAAATACAAAAAATTAGCTGGGCATGGTGGCGGGCATCTGTAATCCCCGCTACTCGGGAAGCTGAGGCAGGAGAATCTCTTGAACCCAGGAGGCAACTGTTACAGTGAGCCAAGATTGCACTCACAGCCTGGGCAACGAGAGCAAAACTTCGTCTCCAAAAAAAAAAAAAAAAATTATAAAATTAGCCAAGCATGGTGGTGTACGCCTGTAGTCTCAGCTACTCGGGAGGCTGAGGCAGGAGGATTGCTTGAGCTCAGGAGGTCAAGGCTGCAGTGAGAGATGATCACACCATTGCACCCCAGCCTGGGCAACAAAACGAGACCCCCATCTCTAAAACAAACACAAAATTATCACCAGGTAGAGTTTATTCCAGGATTGCAACATTGCTTCAACATTTGAGAGTTACTCAATGTAGTCATCATATTAACAGCCTAACGAAGAAAAATCACATGATCATATCAATCAATGCAAAGAAGGCATTTGACAAAATTCAACACCCATAATTAAAAAAAAAACTCTCAGAAAAATAGTAAGAGGAAAACTTCCTTAATTTGATAAAAAGCATCTTTGAAAACCTTACAGCCGGGCATGGTGGCTCACCTCTGTTAATCCCAACACTTTGGGAGGCCAAAGCAGGAAGCTCCCTAAGCTCAGGGGTTCAAGACCAGCCTACGCAACATGGTGAAACCCCATCCCTACTAAAAATACAAAACTTAGCTGGGCATGGTGGCACACGCCCAAAGTCCCAGCTATTGGGGAGGCTGAGATGGAAGAATTGCTTAAGCCCAGGAGGTCGAGGCTGCAGGCTGCAGTGAGCTATGACTGCACCAGTGCACTCCAGCCTGGGCAAAAGAAAGAGACCTTGTTTCAGAAAAAAAGAAAGAAAAGCAAAAAGAAAACCTTACATTTAATATCATCTTTAGTAGCAGAATGTTTTATTGTGAACAAACAATTCTCTCCACACTTACCACTCCTATTCAACATAGTGCTACAAGTCTAGCCAGTACACAGGCAAGAAAATAAAATAAAAGGCATACAGGCTGGGCGCAGTGACTCATGCCTATGATCCCAGCACTTTGGGAGGCTGAGGCAGGTGGATCACTTGAGGCCAGGAGTTCAAGACCATCCTGGCCAACATGGCGAAACCCCATCTCTATTAAAAATAAAAAATAAAAAAAATTAGCGGGCATGGTGGTGGGCCACCTGTAATCCCAGCTACTCGGGAGGCTGAGGCAGAAGAATTGCTTGAACCCGGGAGGTGAGGTTGCAGTGAGCTGAGATCGCACCACTGCACTCCAGCCTGGGTGACAGAGCGAGACTCCGTCTCAAATAAAATAAAATAAAAGGCATACAGATCAAAAGGAAAGGAATAAGACTGTCTCTGTTGACAAACAACATGATTGCCTCCATAGCAAATCTCAGGGAATCTACAAAAAACCTTTCAGAACTAGTGAATTCAGCTGCATTACAGGCTACGAGATCAATATATAAATATCAATTGTGTTTTTATAAACTAGCAAAGAACATATGGACATAGAAATTAAAAATACTGGCTGGACATGGTGACTCACACCTATAATCCCAGCACTTTGGGAAGCTGAGGCAGGCAGATCATGAGGTCAAGAGTTCAAGACCAGCCTGACCAACATGGTGAAACCCGTCTCTAAAAAAAAAAATACAAAAATTAGCTGGGTGCAGTGCTGCGTGCCTGTAATCCCAGCTACTCAGGGGGCTGAGGCAGGAGAATCGCTTGAACCCTGGAAGCAGAGATTGCAGTGAGCTGAGATCGCGCCACTACACTGCACTCCAGCCTGGGCAACAGAGTGAGACTCCGTCGAAAGAAAGAAAGAAAGAGAGAAAGAGAGAAAGAAATTAAAAATACAGCTTTACAAATTTTACCAAAAAATACCACTGACAATCACACAGAAAATGCAATAATTAGGTATGAATCTAACAAAATAAGTATAAGATTTGTATGCCCAAAACTACAAGATATCAAAGAAATCAATGAAGAAAGCTGGAAGAAATAAAAAGAGATCTAAGTAAATGGAGAGAGATACCATGTTCTTGGATTGGAAGACTCAACATGCTAAAAATACCAATTCTCCCCAAATAGATATACAGGTTAAATGCAATTCCTATTTTAAAAAATCCCATCAAGACTTTTGGTAGATATAGACAAGATTATTCTGAAATTTATATGAAAAGACAAAGGAACTGTAATAGCTAAAACAATTCTGGAGGCCAAGCATGGTGACTTACTCCTGTAATCCCAGCACTTTGAGAGACCAAGGCAGGAGGACTGCTTGAGGCCAGGAGTTTGAGACGAACCTGGGCAATGTAGCAAGATCCTATCTCTACAAAAAAAAATTCTTTTTAATTATCTGGGCATGGTGGCATGTGCCTGTAGTCTCAGCTACTCGGGAGGCTGAGGCAGGAGGATCACTTGAGCCCAAGAAGTCAAGGCTGCAGTGAGCTATGATTGAACCACTACACTCCAGCCTGGGCGACAGAGCAAAATCCTGTCTCAAAAAAAAAAAAAAAAAAAAAGTAAAAAAGAAAGGAAAAAAAAGAATAAAGTGAGAAGAATCAATCTATCTGATTTCAAAACTTATTATATAGCCATAGTAATCAAGACTGTGTGGTATTGGCAAAACACTAGTTACACAGATCAATGGACCAGAACAGAGAACTTAGAAAGAAAAAAAAATGTCCAAATGATTTTTGAGAAAGCTATAAAAGCAATTCAATAAAGGAGACGTCTTCAACAAATGGTGCTAGAACAATTAGGCATCCATAGGCCAAAAAAATAAAACTCAACCTAAACCTCACACCTTATGCAAAAAATAACTCAAAATGTATGATGAATTTAAATGTGAAACAGAAAACGATAAAACTTTTAGAAAAAAAAGCAGAGGCCAGGCATGGTGGCTCACACCTGTAATCCCAGCACTTTGGGAGGCTGAGGTGGATGGATCACTTAAGATCAGGAGTTTGAGACCAGCCTGGCTAACATGGTGAAACCCTGTCTCTACTAAAAATACAAAAATTAGCCAGGCGTGGTGGCAGGTGCCTGTAATCCCAGCTACTCAGGAAGCTGAGGCAGTAGAACTGCTTGAACCTGGAGGCAGAGATTGCAGTGAGCCAAGATCACGTCACTGCACTCCAGCCTGGCAACAGAGTGAGACTCCGTCTCAAGAAAAAAAAAAAAAAGAAAGAAAGAAAAAGAAAATTGATAAATTAGATTGCATCAAACATAAAAACTTTTGCTCTTCAAAAGACTGTTTAGAGGATGAAAATACAAGCCAGGGAATGGGATAAAATTATTTGCGGGCCAGGTGCGGTGGCTCATGCCTGTAATCTTCACACTTTGAGAGGCCGAGCGAGGCAGGAGGATTGCTTGAGTTGGAGACCAGCCTGAGCAACATAACAAGACTGTGTCTCAACACACACACACACATACACACACACACGACCACAAAAGACTGCAAAAACCACAACCTTGCACAAAGTCCACCACAACCTTACACATGCACAAAAATATATTTACATCTACCCAGCGACTGCCTGTCCAACCTTGAACTGACACCACCCTTGTTTTTGATACTTGTAGCCAAGGATAATTGATTCAGAACAATTATCTACTTCTCACTTTTTCTTTAAAAACCCTTATCTTCCTTTTCCTCCCTGAATACCCGCATCATTTACGATGCATGCATACTCCCGTTGCAATGCCCATTCTCAAATAAATATCATTCTCTTTGCCTTTTTTTTTTTTTTTTGAGACAGGGTCTCACTGTGTTGCCCAGGCTGGAGTGCAGTGGCGCAATCATAGCTCACTGCAGCCTCAAACCTCCCAGGTTCAAGCCATTCTCCCACCTCAGCCTCCTGAGTAGCTGGAACTACAGACATGCACCACCACACCCAGCTAATTTTAAAATTTTTGTAGAGACAGGGTCTCACTATGTTGCCCGGGCTGTCATTTCTTTCAGAGGGCTTCTCTCTGTTGCTTAAGTTGACACCTCCAACTCCCAAAAAAGCCTGGGGAACAACCTGGAAGACACTTTCCCCTTTCTCTTTCTTGTGTTATCATGACAATAAATCTAGAATATACTCACGCCGTAGAAATCACAAATGTGTAAAATAGCAAAAGAAATGTGTCGTAGGAAGAGGGGAACCAGGAGAGGCTGTTTACATTAGTCACACCATGAGGAGCAGACTCCATTCTCTTTTCCACACAAAAGTTTTAAGCCAACACAAATGAAAGCATCCAAAATGCTTCAAAGAATGAAGGGAACCAGAATTGGGTCCCCTACAGCTCCTGAAAATGGTGAAGACAGCCAGGTGCAATGGCTCGCACCTGTAATCCCAGCACTTTGGGAAGCCCAGGTGGATCACTTGAGGCCAGGAGTTCAAGACCAGCCTCGGCAACAAAGCAAGATCCCATATCTAAAACAAAAAATAATTTTTTTTTTTTTTAAGAAACAGTTTCACTCTGTCACCCAGGCTGGAGTGCAGTGGCACGATCTTGGTTACTGCAATCTCCGCCTCCTGGGTTCAAGTGATTCTCATGCCTCAGCCTCCCGAGTAGCTGGAATTACAGGTGCCTGCCACCATGCCTGACTAATTTTTGTATTATTAGTAGAGAAGGGGTTTTACCACATTGGCCAGGCTGGTCTCGAACTCCTGACCTCAAATGATCTGCCCACTTGGGCCTCCCAAAGTGCTGGGATTACAGGCATGAGCCACCATGCCCCGCCAAAAAAAATTTTTAATTAACCAGGTGTGGTGGCACACACCTGTAGTCCCAGCTACTCAGGAGGCTGAAGTGGAATGGCCACTTGAGGCCAGGAGTTCAAGACCAGCCTGGACAACAAAGCAAGATCTCATATCTACAAAAAACAAAATTTTTTAATTAGCCAGGCATATGGCATCCATCCATCATGGCACCCAGTTGGGAGGCTAAGGCATGAGGATCACTTGAGTCCAGGCATTCGAGGCCAAAGTGAGCTATGATTGTGCCACTGCACTCCAGTCTGAGCAACAGAGTGAGGCTCCCTCTCTTAAAGATAAATAAATAAGTAAATGATGAGGGGGAACAGACAAGAAATACACACATTTGCAAATTTCTATGTAAATGCTGGGGGTGAAATGTAGCAAGACACACTGAGCAGGCAGGATGGTAAGCAACAGAGTACCACACAAGGCGGCTACACAGGGCCCAGCTGGGGTTTGCCACCCTAACCTCAGAGAGCGGAATGCAAGATCAAGGCATGCCTAGGCCAGAACTGCCCGCTGGGAGCTGCCTCGGCTGACGTGCTGGGACCTGCTTCTGATTCTCTTCATAGCTCACCCATACTTTGGCCTCAGTCTGCATTCCCAGGGTTCTTATTACAGCAAGGCTCAGTGCAGGACCTTCCCCTGCAAACCTCACATCCCCTTCCAAGAACCTCTTGAGGCAGCCTTCTATCACCACCATCTTAGCCCTGGAGAAACTGAGGCTCAGAGGAAAAATGTTGACCAATGAGACATCCAGGGAAGTCTGCTAGGGATTCTGGAAAAGGCTGTACTCTCTGATAGGAGAAAACTGTGTCCCATCCCCTTCCTCTCTTTTTTGGGACACTGTGGTGTGAGACGTGATGCCTGGAGCTGCTGCTGCCCTTCTGCGACCTTGAGGAAGGTCATGGTGGACACACAGGTGTGGGTGGAGAGTTCAGTCAAAGGATCCCAGGATCTTCATGGCTGAGACCTGGCCGCCTCTCCCAGATAGATTGTGAGGTGAATATTCCCCCGTTATTGAAGCTTCTTTTGGTAACGTCATTTATAGTGATGACACAAGCCATTATGAGCCATGGGGAAACCAGTGCAGAAGACAGACCCTGCCTCAAAGTGCTCCCAGGAACCTTCCGAGTTCCTCCCACCCAGGCTCTGCTCGCTCAGGGAATTCTACCCAGCACGCAGACTCTTGCAGCAGACTCTTAAGAAAACTGAAAAACTATGCTAAAAAATTATGCTGGCCTGACGCAGCAGCTCATGCCTGTAATCTCAACACTTTGAGAGGCTGATGGGTGGATCACTTGAGGTCAGGAGTTCGAGACCAGCCTGGCCAACATGGTGAAACCTCATCCCTACTAAAAATACAAAAATTAGCCAGGTGTGGTGGCACACACCTATGGTCCCAGCTACTCAGAAGTCTGGGGTAGGACAATCGCTTGAACCCGGGAAGCAGAAGTTGCAGTGAGCTGAGATCACGCCACCGCACTCCAGCCTGGGTGATAGAATGACATTCCGTCTCCAAAAAAAAAAAAAAAAATTATGCTAAGAAGCACTGGGGGCCGGGCATGGTGGCTCACACCTGTAATCCCAGCACTTTGGGAGGCCGAGGGAGGCCGATCATTTGAGGTAGTTCAGGAGTTCGAGACCGACATGGCCAACATGGTGAAACCCCATTTCCACTAAATATACAGAAAAAAAAATTAGCCAGGTGTCCTGATGCACACCTGTAGTCCCAGCTACTTGGGAGGCTGAGGTGGGAGGATCACTTGAACCTGGGAGACAGAGGTTGCAGTGAGCCGAGATCACGCCACTGCACTCCAGCCTGGGTGACAGAATGAGACTCCATCTAAAACAAAACCCAGAGTTCTCTGACATCTCTGATCTGATTTCATCCTCCTAACCTAACCTCAATTCAGTAATGCTGCTTCATCTCCTGCAAGCCAGGTATGGGGAACACAGCAGCCAATGAGACAGTCCCGGACCTCCTAAGGCTCCCAGACTAGCAGAGCGGGCAGACGATGAGCAATTCGGCCAGGGAATGAACACTGCCTCCCAGGTTAAAGCGATTCTCCTGCCTCAGTCTCCTGAGTAGCTGGGATTAGAGGCACCCGCCACCACGCCTGGCTAATTTTTGTATTTTTAGTAGAGACAGGGTTTCACCATGTTGGGCAGGCTGGTCTCGAACTGCTGACCTCGTGATCCACCCATCTGAGCCTCCCAAAGTTATAGGATTACAGGCATGAGCCACCGCGCCTGGCCAAAATTTTTTTTAAATTAACTGGGCATGGTGGTGTGTGCCTGTAGTCCCAGCTACTCAGGAGGCTGAGGCAGAAGGATTGCTTGAGCCCAGGAGTTCAAGGCTGCAGTGAGCTATGATCACACCACTACACTCCAGCCTGGGGGACAAAGGGAGATCCTGACCCTTATAAAATAAAATAAAATATCCCTCCAGCTTCTGTGGAGAGAAGGAGCTAGAGCGGGGCAGGGTGGGGAGTGGGGAGACCAGTGAGATGGCTGCCACAAACCAGATGCTTCATATAGGCAAGGCCAGCAAAACCAGGACCTGAGACAGGAATGCATATGGAACCCCAGGGGACCAAAGGATAATGCTGCAACCTGTTGTCATCTTGCCTCTCCCTGCCCAGACAGCAGCCCCAAGGCCACAGACAGAGGGTGTGCACCCAATTCTAGCTCATTTATGAGTTACTAGTGAGAAAGAAAACTGTGTTAACCTCTCCTTCCCTAATAAATTATTAAATTTTTTTTGAGACGGAGACTTGCTCTGTCACCCAGGCTGGAGTACAGCAACATGATCTTGGCTCAGTGCAGCCTCCGCTTCCCAGGTTCAAGTGATTCTCCTGCCTCAGCCTCCTGAGTAGCTGGGATTACAGGTGTGCATCATCACACCTGGCTAATTTTTGTATTTTTAGTAGACACAGGGTTTCACCATGTTGGCCAGGCTGGTCTCAAACTCCTGACCTCAGGTGATCCACCCTCCTTGGCCCCCCAAAGTGCCGGGATTACAGGTGTGAGCCACCACACCCGGCCCATTCCCTAGTAAAATATAATAACAGCAGAAATTATGACAATTAAGATCAGCAATTTGGGATTTCTCTAAGAGAATGAAAATTAAGTTTTATTATTGTATTTATTTATTTATTTTCAGACACGGTCTCGCTCTGTCGCCCAGGCTGGAGTACAGTGGCACAATCACAGCTCACTGCAGCCTCGAACTCCTGGGCTCAAGCGATCCTTCCACCTAAGCCTCCCAAGTACAGGTGCGCACCACAACCCATGGCTGATGTTTTTTAAAAAATTTGTAAAAATGGGGTGGGTCTCACTGTGTTGCCCAGGCTGGTCTCGAGCTCCTGGCCTCAAGCAATCCTCCTGCCTCAGCCTCCTATGTAACTGGGACTACAGGTGTGAGCCACTGTCACTGGCCAAATTGTTTTAATTAGCAAGGTTCCCACTAGTTATATGTTATAGGCAAAGGGGAGACTTATGACAAATTCATGTCAGCCCTGACTGAATGTTCTGTTTTGGCCTCCGAACTCCAAGGAGTGAGTGAGAAGAACTCCCTGGAAAGTCAGTGAACACCACATCGAAGACCCCGGTCCTTCTTTTTTTTTGCGACGGAGTCTCACTCTGTCGCCCAGGCTGTAGTGCGGTGGTGCGATCTCGGCTCACTGCAACCTCCGCCTGCCAGGTTCAAGCAATTCTCCTCCCTCAGCCTCCCAAGTAGCTGGGATTACAGGCATGTGGCACCACACTCAGCTAATTTTTTTGTATTTTTAGTAGAGATGGGATTTCACCATATTGGCCAGGCTGGTCTCAAACTCCTGACCGTGTGATCCACCCACCTTATCCTCCAAAAATGCTGGGATTATAGGCGTGAGCCACCACGCCGGGCCGGACCCCAGCACTTCTGAAACATTGTTCAGATAATTACTTAAGTGGTAAAGGAGAGAACAACTATGCAACATTAATGATCACTTGAAAAATTTTCAGTCCAGGTCAGTGATTCAGGCGCTAGCTTGTCCAGCTTTTCTTATAGGTGCATTATTGTATTTTTCTTTTTTTTTGTTTGGTTTTTGTTTTGAGAGGAAGTCTCACTCTGTCGCCCAGGCTAGAGTGCAGTGGCACGATCTTGGCTCACTACAACCTCTGCCTCCCAGGTTCAAGCAATTCTCCCTGCCTCAGCCTCCTGAATAACTGGGATTACGGGTGCTCACCACCACACCTGGCTAATTTTCGTATTTTTAGTGGAGACAGGGTTTCTCCATGTTGGCCAAACTGGTCTCAAACTCCTGACCTCAGGTGATTCACCCGCCTCAGACTCCCAAAGTGCTGCAATTGCAGGCGTGAGCCACCGTGCCCGGCTGCGTTATTGTGTTTTGATAGTGTAACAGCTTTAACTTGTTGAGACCAGGCATGGTGGCTCACACCTGTAATCCCAGCAATTTGAGAGGCTGAGGCAGGAGGATCCCTTGAAGCCAGGAGTTCAAGACCAGCCTGGGCAACATGGCGAGACCCCTGTCTCTACCAAAGAAAAAGTAATTAGTGAGGCACGGTGATGCATGCCTGTAGTCCTAGCTATTCAGGCTGGCGCAGGAGGATCACTTCAGCCCAGCAATTGGAAGCTGCAGTGAGCCATGATTGCACCACTGCACTCCAGCCTGGGCAACAGAGCAAGATCCTGTCTCCAAAAAAAAAGAAAGAAAGAAAGAGTAGGACAGCCACTTCTCCAACAGAGCTCTGAGCCAAAGCCCAGCCTGTCAGGGTCACAGACAGATCAGACTTCAAAGACTTTTCTTCTCAGAAGCTGTTCCCAAATCAAGAGGCCATGACCTGGTAATCTGAAACTCCCTGCTGACGAGAAAGGCAGGAGAGTCTTGGAATTTAGCTCCTGGGGAAGTGGGGAAGGCAGGGGATAGGGAGTGTCTGTACCCTCTGCTGAAAAGGAAAAAGCTTTTTTTTTTTTTTTTTTTTTTCATTTTGGACCCACTGCCATCTCTCTAGTATAGCATTTAAAACCAGCATTTTTTTTTTTTTGAGATGGAGTTTTGTTCTTGTTGCCCAGGCTGGAGTGCAATGGCACAATCTCAGCTCACTGCAACCTCCTTCTCCCGGTTCAAGTGATTCTCCTGCCTTAGCCTCCAAAGTAGCTGGAATCACAGGTGCCCACCACCACGTCTGGCTAATTTTCGTATTTTTAGTAAAGACTGGGTTTCACCATGTTGGTCATGCTAGTCTCGAACTCCCGACCTCAGGTGATCCACCTGCCTCAGCCTCCCAAAGTGCTGGGATTACAGGCGTGAGCCACCGCAACTGGCAAAAGCAGCTGTTTCTAATAAAAATGAAAATGAATGACATTCCGTTTACCTAGCCATTCCCCTTGCAGAATGACCTGTATCAAAACACTTGTATGCAATAGGGGTCTCAAGTGAAGCATCTCTACTATTAAAGAAGAATGAAAATAGGAAATCACCATTTGGCAAACACCATAGCATTAACTGTTGCAAGCAATATGATAGTATGATGAGAAACAGGATGTTCGTATAGGTTTAAAATGTCTCCCCACAACATACATGTAAAAGACAAAGGGAAAGATAATTATGCAACAGTGGAGAAACCTGGTAGATACCATCATAAGCAAGCGATCAAAGTTAACATCACCAGTCATGAGACGTAGCAATTTCTTTTTTTTTTTTTCCAGGCTGGAGTGCAGTGGCGCAATCTCGGTTTACTGCAATCTCCACCTCCTGGGTTCAAGTGATTCTCCTGCCTCAGCCTCCTCAGTAGCTGGGATTGCAGGCGCCCACCACCACGCCTGGCTAATTTTTGTATTTTTAGTAGAAACTGGGTTTCGCCATGTTGTCCAGGCTGCTCTCAAAGTCCTGACCTCAAGTGATCCACCCGCCTCATCCTCCCAAAGTGCTGGGATTACAAGCATGAGCCACCGCACCCAGCCAAGATTAATTTAAATCAGTAGACTTGGAGTAAAGCAGGTTGCCCTCTATAATGTGGGTGGGCCTTGTCCAATCAGTCGAAGGCTTTAAGAAAAAGACTGACTTCCCCGGAGGAAGGAGGCATTTGACCAGCAGCCAGCCCATCTCAAGCTGCAACATCAGCTCTCCTCCCTGGGTCTCAGCCAGCCAGCCCACCCTGCAGGTTTGGAATAATCGCCAGTCTCCATAATCATACAAGCCAATTCCTTACCATTTCAATCTCTCTCCCACTCTCCCTCTCCCCCATCCCTTCCTATTGGTTCTCTGGAGAACCCTGACCCAGGCAAAATGTCCCGTTAGGGAGGGCACAAAGGAGGGGAAGGGATTTGGAGTTTGAGGACAGCGGCTCCACGGTGCTTGGGGTAGAGGCCCCAGGCTGGGCAGGCTGTGGGGAGAGTGGTTTGGGGAAGCCAGTCCCTGGAGCTAAGCACGGCCTGGAGAGGAGGAAGAAGGGAAAAGAAGGAGAGTTGGAACTTTGGAGACCGTGAATGCTGGTGTCTGACAGCAAGATCTCTCTGCGGATGCTGAAGAGTCCCTGAAGCCTGTGGTCTGGTCAGGGCTGGTGAGAGGGAGGGGCTGGTGAGAGGGAGGGGCTGGTGAGAGGGAAGGGCTGACTATGGGCGGGGCTGGTGAGAGGGAGGGGCTGGTGAGGGGTGTGGCTGGTGAGGGGCGTGGCTGGTAGGGGCAGAGCTGGTGAGGGGCAAGGCTGGTGGGGGCAGGGCTGGTGAAGGGTGGGGCTCATGAGGGTCAGGGCTGGTGAAAGGCAGGCCTCGTGAGGGGCAGGTCCAGTAACAAGTAGGGCCAGTGAGAGGGACATGCCTGGTGAGTGGGGCAGTGCTGCCAGGGGCGAGGCCTGTGATGGATGGGGCCAAAGACAGGCTGGATTTCCAAGGTCATTGTAGCCCCTCGTTCCAGCCTGGAGCCATAAGGCTGGTTGGTTCCCTCTTCAACCCCACCTGGCCTTCCCCGACCTCGGATCCCATACCCCACTCATCTGTGGTGGTCTTCTGTCTGTCAAACACCCACTGGGTTGTGTGGTTCTGTTGCGGTAGGAGCATGTCTCTGACATCTTTGCACACACACATATATACCCTATATACACACACCCATGCCTTATATACAGAAGGTGCTCCATAAATGCATGCTCAGCCTTTGTCTGTGAGCACAGCCCAGCCTCTCCCAGAGCCATCCTGGGACTGGTTTTGTCCGAGGGAATGGGAGGGAAGGGCAGAGCAGCCTAGCCCAGCGGCCTTTACCTTACGAGGTTGGCGCAGGGCCCCGGCCACCGGCAGCTCTGGTACACGCGCTGGACCACCGTCTCCGAGCCATTCTGCACCTGGCAGGACACCGTCCGTGTCACTGTGTGATGGCACCAGTGCCTGTGGAGAGAGCAACAGTCACATGAGCCCTGCCTGTTCCCAGAGCTGCCAACTTCGGGTCAGGGGGCCGTGCTGGACAGGGAGGGGCCCCCGCAAACCTGGGGTGGAGGCTCGCTCTCTTGGATGGGGGGCCCACTGAGACCCTCTGTCTCGGTCTGAGGGGAAGAGAGAACACTTGCAACCCTTGGCCACCAAGCCCTGGCATCATTCCCGTCACTGACCACTCAGTGTGGAATTGGTGAGAAAGACTCAGCCCTGCCCGTGGAAATCTCACCCTGGTGGGGAGAGGAGATGACACAGTCCATAGGAACAGCAGGTAACACGTTCCACCACGTGGTGAACACACAAGCTACAGGAACGGAGCAGGGCATCTCGCCCAGCAGGCCCTGAGGCCACCAGCTGAGTAGTGCAAGATAAGTTAGCCAACCGACCAACCGACCAACTGACCAATGTGTGGGGGCCGTGAGAGGGGACGAAGCCAGCAGGGGAAGCAGCGGTGTAACAGGCACAGAGCGGAGAGAGACCACGGCAAGTCTAGAGACTTGCCTGCAATGGGAAGTGGCCAGGCCAGGCACAGTGGCTCACACTTGTAATCCTAGCACTTTAGGAGGCTGAGGCAGGAGGATCTCTTGAGCCCAGGAGTTCAAGATCAGCCTGAGCCACATAGTGAGACCCTGCCTCTACAAAATAAAAATTAAAAAATTAGCCCAGGCGTGGTGGCACACACATGTAGTCCCAGCTACTCAGGAGGCTGGGGCAGGGGATGGCTTGAGCCCAGGATCATAGTGGCTATGATCATGCTACTTCACTACAGCCTGGGCAACAGAGTGAAACCCTGAAGAGAGGAGGAGAGGAAGGGAGAAGAGGGGAGGGGAGGGGAGGGGAGGGGAGGGGAGGGGAGGAGGAATGAGAGAGAAAGAGAGAGAGAAGGAGAGAGGGAGGGAGGGAGGAAGGGAAAGAGCCAGAGAGAGAGAGAGAGAGAAAGAAAGAAAGAGCCAGAAGGCTGAAGGAAGGGGAGGAGCCAGGAGAAAGGAAGAGACATGTGACCTGCCGGGCTAGGGAATAAATGCCTTCAGAGTACAAGAAGCAAGGGGCAGCAAGCTTGGGCAGTGGAGAGGAGGAAAGAGGAAGGGACGTACACAAACAATACGGGATCAGGTTAAGGTGCTCCCACCTCCTCCTCCCATCCCCATAGCCTAGAAATTGAAAATTAAAAAATAAGTCCCTGGCCGGGTGGTGGCTCAGCACTTTTGGGGTCCGAGGAGGATGGATCACTTGAGCCCAGGAGTTTGAGACCAGCCTGGGCAACATAGCGAGACCCCATCTCTACAAAAATATTTAAAAATTACCTGTGGTGGCACACGCCTATAGTCCTAGCCACTCAAGAGGCTGAGGCAGGAGTATCACTTGAGCCCAGGAGGTTGAGGCTACAGTAAGCTGTGATCATGCCACTGCACTCTAGCCTGGGTGACAGAGCGAGACCCTGTCTAAAAATAATAATAAAATAAAATAAGAAAAAAAGTCCTCAAGGGCATTGGAAAGAGAGAAGCAATGGGCCAGACATTTGGAGGGGTCCCTAAGAGACAGAAAGTAGATGGGCCCACATTGAAGGCAAAAATCACAGCCAGAAACACACAAAAGAGGACCGGGGCTGAAGCTAGGAGCCACATGGGGGCACAGATGCAGATGAGGAGGTAGAGAGGGACCCAAAGGTGACCATCAGAGAGATTGGTTAGGGGACCACCATAGAAAGAGCTGGACAGGTAGGACCCGGGTCCTTGTCCCTGCTGGTTTCAGGAATCAGGCATTGGAGGCTGAGTGCGGTGGCTCACACTCATAATCCCAGCATTTTGGGAGGCCAAGGTGGGAGAATCGCTTGAGCTTAGGAATTCTAGACTAGCCTGGGCAACATAGCAAGATCCTGTTTGTCTCTACAAAAAGTATATATATACGACTGGGCATGGTGACTCATGCCTGTAATCCCAGCACTTTGGGAGGTCAAAGTGGGCGGATCACCTGAGGTCAGGAGTTCGAGACCAGCCTGGCCAACATGGAGAAACCCTGTCTCTACTAAAAATGCAAAAACAAATAGCCAGGCTTGGTGGCACACACCTGTAGACCCAGCTACTTGGGAGGCTGAGACGGGAGAATCACTTGAACCCAGGAGGCAGAAGTTGCAGTGAGCCGAGATCGCACCACTGCACTCTAGCCTGGATGACAGAGTAAGACTCCATCTCAAGATATAAATATATTATAGATATAGATATCTATAGATATATCTCTATATCTATGTCTAGATATAGAGATATATCTCTATATCTATGTCTAGATATAGAGATATATCTCTATATCTATGTCTAGATATATAGATATACCTGTATCTATAGATATGTAGAGATACATAGATATGATAGTGCCACTGCACTTTGGCCTGGGTGACAGAGCGAGACCCTGTCTCTATTTAAAAAAAAAAAAAAAAGATATTAGGCATTGGATTCACCTGTCCTAAGGTAGGTATGGTCACAGGAGTGGGTGCTGGCTGACCTCAAAAACTGGTGACCTTTCAGTCTTGGGGGATGGAAAAAAGAAAAAAAAAAAAAAGCTTGTGACCTCCAGGAGAAACAGGGTCACTCTCAAAGTCAGACAGATAAATGAATTCTTACACACTCGTTTCCCATTCTTCATCCATACCTCCAGCCCACCAACAGACAAATTCTCAGGAAACAGAAACAAGCTAATGGAAAACCCCAGATACCAAGACTTTCAAATTATTTGAGGAAAAAAGGCCAGTATCATGGAAGAAAGGCACCAACTCAACAGGCAATAAATCACATCCCCTTAAAAAATAGTAAAGCAAATAGATGGAGATAATTTTTTAAAGCATAATTAATGTCCTCAAAGAAATAAGACAATGTATCACTCACTAAAAAATTCTGGCCAGGCATGGTGGCTCACACCCGTAATCCCAGCACTTTGGGAGGCTGAGGCGGGTGGATAGCTTGACCCCAGGAGTTTAGACCAGCCTGGGCAACATGGTGAAACACTGTATCTACAAAAATATACAAAAATTAGCCAGGCATGGTCCCTGACATGCCTGTGGTCCCAGCTACTCAGGAGGCTGAGGCAGGAGGATCGCTGGAGCACAGGAGTTTGAGACTGCAGTGAGCCATGATCGCACCGCTGCACTCCACACTGGGTGACAGAGCAAGACCCTGTGACATACACACACAAAAAAAATGAAATTAAAAAAATGCATTATCTTAGAAGTGAAATGTATGACTATGAAAAACAGAATGGAAACAGCTAAAGGGCAAACCGATGAGCTGCAAATCTAAGCTGTGACCTTTCCCAGTAGCCACTGCAAAAAGAAAAGGAGATGGAAAACAGGCAGAAACAGGCAACAAGGGACCTAGAGGAAGACCAAGGACCAACATCTATATAGTAGTAGCTCTGGAAGGCATGATCAAAAAAGAACAAAGAGAAGCATGTACTTGAAGAAATAACAAGAAAATTTACAAGAGCTGAAGAAAGACATGAGTTCAGGCTGGGTGTGGTAGCTCATGCCTGTAATCCCAGTACTTTGGGAGGCCGAGGTGGGTGGATCACTTGAGGTCAGGAGTGTAGTGGCATGATCATGGCTCACCACAGCCTCAACCTCCTGGGCTCATGCAATCCTCCCATCTCAGCCTCCCAGATAGCTGGGACCACAGGTGTGCGCCAACATGCTGGCTAACTTTTGCATTTTTGTAGAAACAGGGTCTAGCTATGTTGCCCAGGCTGGTCTCAAACTCCTGGGCTCAGGTGATCGTCCCACCTCGGCTTCCCAAAGGGCTGGGATTCCAGGCGTGTGCCACCATGCCCTGCTAAACTCAGGTTTAATAGACATGAAGAACAAGAAAAAAAAATTCCATATAGAGATTTAAATGTATAAGCAAATATTAGGTATAATCTTACATCAAAAAATTTCAAAAATCCTGACTACTGGACAATTTTCTAGGAAAATACATATTACCAGTACTAGCACACTCAAAAATACGTGAAAGGGGTTGGGTGCAGTGGCTCACGCCTATAATCCCAGCACTTTGGAAGGCTGAGGTGGGAGGATCACTTGAGCCCAGAAGTTCCAGACTAACCTGGGCAACACGGCAAGACCCCATCTCTATACAATAAAAAGTAAAAATTAGCCAGGCATGGTGGCACATGCCTGTGGTCCCAGCTACTCGGGAGGCTGAGGCAGGAGGATCGCTTGAGATCAGGGATCAAGGCTGGAGAGAGCTATGATCGCACCACTGCACTCCAGTCTGGATGACAGAGCCAGACCCTGTCTCAAAACAAAACAAAACAAAACAAAAACATGGAAGAAAAGGGAAAGTAGTGAAAAGTTGAGCCCTCTTCTCACAGGCACCAGGAAACCTAGTTTAAAACCAGGTTCTGCCACAAACCTGCTGTATGACTTAGGCAGAGTGATGTCCCTTCTCTGAGCCTCAGTTATATTTAAAATCTAACTTTTAAGGTTATGATGAGGCTGGGCACAGTGGCTCACGCCTGTAAACACAGCACTTTGAGAAACCAAGGCGGGTAGATCATCTGAAGTCAGGAGTTCGAGACCAGTCTGGCCAACATGGTGAAACCCAGTCTCTACTAAAAATACAAAAAATTAGCCGGGCATGGTGGAGGGCGCCTGTAATCCCAGCTACTGGGGAGGCTGTGGCAGAAGAGTCGCTTGAACCTGAGAGGCGGAGGTTGCAGTGAGCCAAGATCGCACCACGGCACTCCAGCCTGGGCGACAGAGAGAGAGACTCCGTCTCAAAAAAAAAAAGGGGGGGGGTTATGATCAGGACTAAATGAACACATCCCAGTCAGTAGTGTGTAAATCATGCAGCATTACCAAAATCAAGGCATCATTCTTAATCAACTGGTTACTTAAACCCTACAAAGGAATCTAACAGCTTAAAGACAGTCCTAGTTTGCAGATGGAAAAGAAAGTCTAAGAGGTTAAACTTCATTGCCCATAGCTACAGCTCAAACCACAGGCTGAGCTGCAAAGGGAGTCTAGTCTTCCTGACCCGAGGACTGGCGGGATCCCACCTACCCAGTACAAACTGTGAATTCCACCTCTGCCAATTAAAAAGGTCCTGAAACTGTGGGAGACTTCAGCAGCCTAGGCCCTTCCTTTGATTCTACTGGAAAGCCTCAGCTCCAGCTCAAGCACTCAGTGTGTGTTTCCAAAAAGAAAGGTGAGCCGGGCGCAGTGGCTCATGCCTGTAATCCCAGCACTTTGGGAGGCCGAGATGGGCGGATCACATGAGGTCAGGAGTTTGAGATCAGCCTGGCCAACATGGCAAAACCTCGTCTCTAATAAAAATAAAAAATTAGCCGGGTGTGGTGGCAGGTGCCTGTGATCCCAGCTGCTCGGGAGGCTGAGGCGGGAGAATTGCTTGAGCCCGGGAGGTAGAGGTTGCAGTGAGCCGAGTTCGTGCCACTACACTCCAGCCAGCGTGACAGAGCAAGACTCCGACACACACACACACACACACACACACAAACACAGAGTGAGAGCGAGAGCGAGCGAGAGAGAGAGAGAGAGAGAGAGAGGTGACTTTCCTCAGGATGGTTTAATGTGGGATCCTGAGATCCGCCCGAGGGTTCTAGAACAGACAGGCCGTCGTCCAGCATCTCTGAACCACACTGAGTCAGGGCTTTCCATAGAGAAATGAGCTGTGAATTGGAAAACATTTCCAAATACCTCAAATCACCGTCCCCATAACATTTGGTCTTTAAATGGGCTGGAAATGGCTTCCAAAAATCAAAACTTGGCCAAAAACAACGAAGAAGGGAGGCAGAGACAAGGAAAGGGCTCCAGGCCTTTCCAGATGGAGCTCTAAAGCCTGTGCATCCCCAGGTAGCCGCGGTTGTGGGGACCCCCATTGCCTTGCCCCTAGGATCCCTGCGTCCTGAGTGTTTTGTCTGCCTCTGTCTGCTGTCTGGTGGTGTCGTCCTGCCACCGCCCACCTGCGCACCTCAGCTCCTGACTATGGCGGGTGCACAGCAGTGGGTGAACAGTGCTCTGGGGGCCATAAAATAACTGCACCCAGAAAGGTGCTTAGCAGGAGACACATGTCCCTTTCACGACCCTCCTGGAAGGACTGACCCAGGAGGACAGAACTGGGACATGGCAGGCCTGGTCCTCGAACTGCCAAGAAATGAACACACTCCCGGCAGCCTCCATCAGGATGGCAAGGGACTGGCATTATCTCTGGGCATCATCTCAGCAATGTTCCTTCCTCATTTCCCTTCCCTTCTCCCCAGCTGAGCACTCAGGGAGGGTCCAAGACAGTAAACTCACTCCTAGCAAAGGTCTTGAGGACGGATCTGCTCCCAAACAAGTCTCCTTTTCTTTTTCTTTTCTTTCTTCTTTTCTTTTTCTTTCCTTTCCTTTCATTTCCTTTCTTTTCTTGAGATGGAGTTTTACTCTTGTGGCCCAGGCTGGAGTGCGATGGCATGATCTCAGCTCATTACAGCCTCCGCCTCCTGGGTTCAAACAATTTTCCTATATCAGCCTCCCAAGTAGCTGGGATTACAGTCACCCGCCACCATACCCGGCTAATATTTTGTATTTTTAGTAGAGACTGGTTTCGCCATGTTGGCCAGACTGGTCTGGAACTCCTGACCTCAAGTGATCTACCTGCCTTAGCCTCCCAAAGTGCTGGGATTATAGGCACGAGCCACCGCGCCCGGCCACAAGTCTCTTTTTCTTGCAAGAGGCGGCCCACTTCACCTAGGGGGAGGAGCAATCAAACCGTCCCGAGCCACCACCAGCTCAAGGCTTGCTTGCACAGTACTTTCACCCCACCAGGCGTTTGGCTCTGTGACTTGGCTGAGCCATCAAATCCTTAATTGGCGGTTAATAGAGAAAACAAGTGCTAAGTGATTTCAGGAAATCATGTCATGATGCGATAGAGAGATCTTCAGGACACTTCCCAGGTTCATGCCCATCTCGGAATGTGACCAGTCAACCCCTCTCCGAGGCTGCCTGCTGCCCTAAGAGATGCTGCTGAAGCAGCCTCTTCCCCCCATTGCCCTGGTGACACGGGACAGGGGAGCCCCAAAATTGAGGCTTAGCCAGGGAGGGTTCTTAGTTTCCCCCAGGAAAGAATTCAAGGACAAGCCAGTGGTGTTGCAACTTTTATTGAAGTGGCAGTGCACAGCAGCAGCAGAGGTCCTGCTCCCTGCAGAGCAGGGCTACCCCAGAGGCAGTGTGCCCAGAGTAGCAGCTCAGAGGCAGGGCTGCACTCATATCTATACCCACTTTTTTTTTTTTTTTTTTTTTTTGAGACGGAGTCTCGCTCTGTGGCCCAGGCTGAAGGGCAGCGATGCAATCTTGGCTCATTACAACCTCCGCCTCCCAGGTTCAAGGGGTTCTCCTGTCTCAGCCTCCCTAGTAGCTGGGATTACAGGTGCACACCACCACGCCTGGCTAATTTTTATACTTTTAGTAGAGAGGGGGTTTCACCATATTAATCAGGCTGGTGTCAAACTCCTGACCTCAAATGATCTGCCCGCCTGGGCCTCCCAAAGTGCTGGGATTACAGGCATGAGCCACTGTGCCGGCCCCACTTTTAATTGTATGCAAATTGGGGGTGGTTTATGCGTAAACTTCCAGGATGAGGGTGGTAGCTTTAGGGTTGTTGGGTCGTTGTCATGGAAAGGGGTGGTAACTCCTGGTGTTGTCATGGCAATGGGAAACTGACATGGCGCACTGGTGGGCATGTCTTATGGGGAGGCGCTTCTGCCCCGATCTGTTTTGTTTAGCTAGTCCTCAATTTGGTCTGGTGTCCAAGCTCTGCCCCTGGAGTCAAGTTCCACCTCCTACCTCACCACCTCTACCCCAGCCTCAGGCTTGGCCTTCCAAGCCCCAGTGCTCCTAACTGAGCTTTGCTTTGAGGGTTGATCTCATGCGTCCCCTCCCTCCCCAGGACACTTGAGTCCCGAGCCTGAGTCAGAGACCAGGGCTTTTGTTTTTTCTTTTGTTTTGTTTTGGAATGGAGTCTTGTTCTGTTGTCCAGGTTGGAGTGCAGTGGCACAATCATAGCTCACTGCAGCCTTGACCTCCTGGGCTCAAGCAATTCTGCAAGGCCCCAAGGCCTTGCCAGGGCCCCCCTCCTTTCCACCAGAACCACACAGTCTGTCCCCACTTCCTCATCCTGAGCTCTGTCCTGGCCCCCTGTTGAGTCACCACTGTGCCTGCCTGCTTGCCTAGACAGTGGTCACACACCGTCATGTCCCACAGGACACTGCAGTACACACAATGCCAACCTGTCCAATCCAACTGAATCCATCACTATTCAACCCCGACTTGCTCCTCCAGCTTGGAGGCCAGCACCTCTAAGTTCCCCGTTTCCTTACCAGGAGCAAATCACCCAGACTCCACCTTCTCCTTTCCTCCCTCCCTTCCCTGCCTCCTTACGGCCAATTAGGCACCGTGCCTGCAAGTCCGTGTCCTGACGCCCCTCCCATGGTGGTCCTGAACCTCGGCCCCTCCTGCCCTCCCAGCCTGCAGTCTCCTCTATCTACCACCAGAGGGCGCGCTCTCAAGCACAGACGTGGCCGTGTCCCTCCCGCGAGCCTTCCCTGACCCTCCAGCCAGGAAAGGTTCTCCTGTCCCACAGGGCCCCCTTGTATGCCTCTGTCTTAGCCTTCGTCCTATGGGAAGACTCCCAGCTCCTGAAGACGGCGGACACAGGGCAGGCCTGGTAAAGTTCTGTTGCTCCGACCCCAACCCCTGCATCCCAGAAGGAGCCCTCCCATCCACAGTCACTCAGCTCAACCACAGCAGCTGCTCTGGGCTGTGGTCTGTGCCAGGACCTGAGCCCCAGCAGGATCTGAGCCATCTCAAGGTTGGGGGTGTCCAGCTTCAGGCCCAGCTCCCCAGCACCACACCTGCCCTCACTGTTCTAATTACCTGGCCACACCTGCCCAATCCCTCAGAAAGGCCAGTGCCAGTGAGGTTGCCTGCCAACTGTGTTCAAGAAGCTCTGTTAGAACTAAGGTTTGCCCAGCCTGGGCAACGTAGCAAGACCCCAGCTCTACAAAAAAAAATTAGAAAAAAAAATTAGCTGGGTGTGGTGCCTCATGCCTGAAATCCTAGCACTCTGGAAGGGTGAGGTAGAAGAATCACTTGAACCTAGGAGGCAGAGGTTGTAATGAACTGAGATCGTGACATTCCACTCCAGCCTGGGCTACAGAGCAAGACTCCGTCTCAAAACACACACACACACACACACACACACCAAAATTAGCCGGGCGTGGTGGTGCACACCTGTAGTCCCAGCTACTCAGGAGGCTGAGGCAGGAGAATCTCTTGAACCCGGGAGAACTCAATCATAAGATGTTTGTTATATATTTTTTCCTTTCTCTCTGACCTTTTCATCCTTTATGCATGATTACATGTACAGTCATTTCAACAGACAGTAGTCACTAATAATTCACTACCTTCCTCTCCTAGTCCCAGGCAGGCTGTCCAACAAGATTAATAAACTTCTTTTCTTAAGAACAATGATCCTTAGTCATGTAACTTCTTTTGTGACAACCAAAAGTTGCTAAGATGCAGGTACGGTAAAACAAGAACCCACTATTTTTCCCTAGTTTGCTCTTCTGTAATAACTTAGCATTCAGGAGTCATGTTATTGTGAAACCTAAGACTGGTCTTTGCAATACTTTTTAGAGTTTGCATTCAGATGAACTGATGAACCAACGAACACCAGCTGGCCCAGCAATCCATGACCCTCCACCACCCAGAAATGGACTTGGTGCACAAAGATAGTTTTAACACCCTTAAGAGTTCATGCCCAACCAATCAGTAGCACCCATTCCCTAGCCCCCTGCCCACCAAACCAACCTTAAAAACCCTAGCCTCTGGCCAGGTGCGGTGGCTCACACCCATAATCCCAGCACTTTGGGAGGCTGAGGCGGGTGGATCATGAGGTCAGGAGATCAAGACCATCCTGGCTAACATGGTGAAACCCTGTCTCTACTAAAAACACAAAAAATTAGCCGGGCGTGGTGGTGGGCACCTGTAGTCCCAGCTACTCGGGAGGCTGAAACAGGAGAATGGCATGAACCCGGGAGGTGGAGGTTGCTGTGAGCAGAGATCACACCACTGCACTCCCGCCTGGGCAACAGAGCGAGACTCCGTCTCAAAAAAAAAGACCCTAGCCTCTGAAATCTCAGGAAGGTGGATTTGAGAACTATCTCCTGTCCTCCTCGCTCAGTTGCCTTGAAATAATTAAATGCTTTCTCTGCTGCAACACCTGCTGTTTCAGTATTTTGGCTGCATCTGCATGGTGGGTGAGAACCCTGATCAGGTGGTAACACACCTTGATCTACTTCCAGCTTCTACTTCCAGCTTCCAGAACTATGAGAAGATAAACTTCTTTTGTTTAAGCCACCCAGTCGGTGGCATGGCAGCCCTGGCAAATGAATACATGTACATTCTTCTGTTCGGTCTTCTCAACAATGTGACATGCAGGAATTTTACAGATAAGAAACTCCAGAGAAGACCACAAGTCACAGAATGAGTATGTAGTAAATTTATGCCTTGAAACTCAGTCTTCTCATTCCCAACCCCATGCTCCATCCACTTTGCTAATGAGAACAGGTGGATAATCAGAGAGCAAATAAAATATCCCCTCATAGGTCCTTCTTACCCATATCCCTCAAGGACCAGGAAAAATAGCAAGGAGGAGGAACTATCCCTACTCCTGTTTGAAACCAGTGAGATGAGAGTTGAGTGTGGTTCAGACCCCAGCCAAGCGCATGGAGTGGTTTCTCTTCCCCTCCTCATTCTGCTACCTAAGCAAGGTGTCCTGATCATCTTCACCCAAATCTGGGTGGTAAGTACTGTTATTATTCTACTTTTACAGAGAAGGAAACTGAGGCACAGGAAGGAGTAAATAACATGTCCAAGGCAACAACAAGTCAACGGGCAACTCTTAGACACTTTGCTAAACAGCCAGACGATCTGGGTCTTGGCACGTGGCTGTCTGTCTTCTTGAGGCCATGCCTCTAGGAGAGGAAGACCTTGACTGGGGAGGCAGTAAACTGCTGCTGGGAACTGTGGAAGACCAGGAGCCAGCAGAGACAGGGGCCTGGGTCTTAGGAGAGAGTTGGGATCCAAGCTAGATCTGCACAGCCGCAGCAAGGAGCCAAGTCTAACAACATGAAATACAACCAGGCAAATATGAAGTCCTGCACTGCAGCCCCAGAGCCCAGAGGACAAGCCTCAGATGGGATGTAGAGGTTCTTGCCAACAATAAGTTCAGCATGAGTCAACAGAGTTGTGGCCTCTACAAATCAAAGGCCATCCCAGGCTGTCTTACTAGCAAAATAGCATCAGGAACACACCTTGTTCCCCTCCATGCCCACCAGCCCTTGTGGTAGATGTTGGGCTGTGCCACCCAGATCCCCTGCATTGAGAAAGGCTTTTAGCCCCAGCTACAGGAAGTGCTGTCAACAGACATCCATCATTCAGCTGCTCAGAGTCACCTCATCCAAGGTCCCAGCTCTTCCTGGGGCACCCTCCATCCTGTGACTGGTGGAGGCGCACTTGAAAAGCCTGGACATATCCCTGCCTGGGGACAACGCTGAAAGAGCATCCCAGCTGCAGAGCCTCATGGGGTCTGGGGCAGCTGTCCTGGCCTATATGGAGGCTCGTCTCCTTCTGCTCATTCCTGCCTCAGTCCCCTCCCTTCCCCAGGGATTTATCCTAAAAGCCATCCCTAATAAACACCCTCCATGTTAGACTCTGGCTCAGAATCTTCTTCCACTGATGCAGTATAGGTGAACCCCAGTGTTGGGGCTTAACCAGGGAGGGTTCTTGGCTTAGCCTAGGAAAGAATTCAAGGGCAAGCCAGTGGTATTAGCAAATTTATCAAAGCAGCAGTGCACAGCAGCAGCAGACGTTCTGCTCTTTACAGAGTAGGGCTACCCCACAGGCAGTGTGCCCAGAGTAGCAGCTCAGAGGTAGAGCTTCACTCCTATTTATACCCATCTTAATGGTATGCAAATTAACAGGCAGGTTATTCATAATTTCTGTATAACCCGCCCCTTAATTTGCATATGATTAAGTGGTAACTTCCGGGTGATAACTTTGAAGGGGTGCTAACTGCTGGGTTATCAGGTCATTGCCATGGAAAGGGGCTGTAACTTCTGGGTGTTGCCATGGCAATGGTAAATCGTTATGGTGCTAGGGGGTATGTTTTATGGAGAGGTGCTTTCACCTCTTCCCTGTTTTAGCTAGTCCTCAATTTGGTCCAGTGTCTGCACCCCACCTCCAGAGTCAAATCCCATCTCCTACCTCACTGAGGACTCTCCCTGTGTCTGCCATGAGGTTCAATAGAAATGCAGAGAAACTGCCACCCAGAGCCCCGGGAGGAGATATCTATGGCCACTGTCCTACAAGCAGAAGGTGATTGAGCTGGGAGGGAGGGGAGGCTGATGTCAGAGTTAGAGCCGTGAGCTTCCATGGGAAGAAAAGTCATCACCCGGGATTTGGCCAGGTGAAAAGGAGGTCCCATGGCTCCTCAGGCTCAGACCTGCCCTCTCTAGAAGAACAGGTGAGGGCTGTTGAGGACAGGTTCCTCAGGAATATCGAGCAGAGACAAGCGGAGGGCCATGGTGAAGGCAGCCAGCTTTCTGCCCCAACATCCTGTAGGGGAGTTGGACCAGACTTGCTCTCATGGCCCCAGAGGGCATGGAGTCAGGTCAGAGCATTAAGCTGCTGGGAGACAGGCATCACTCAGGATAAGGAGGTACCCGCTGCCAGGAAGAGCTGCCCACAAGTGCAATGGGCTGCCCACAGTGGGTGGAGTAGATACCCCATCCTTGAAGGGGCGAGCAGGATACCCACTCGATGGGGGTGGAAGGTGGAGACATGTTGGCTCTGGAGGAGCTTGGAGACTCACCCTATTGGAAAAGAGGAGGTGAAAACGTGGAAAGTAGGATGAGGTTTTCTTGTTTGTTTTTTACAGGGACAGCATCTTGTTCTGTTGCCCGGGCTGGAGTGCAGTGATGCAATTCTAGCTCACTGCAGCCTCAACCTCCTGGGCTCAAGCAATCCTCCTGCCTCAGCCTCTCAAGTAGCTGGGACTACAAGTGCGTGCCACCATGCCCAGCTATTTTTTTAAGAAATGTTTTGCAGAGATGGGGTCCTGCTATGTCGCCCAGGCTGGTCTCAGAACTCCTGGGCTCAAGAGATTCTTCCACCTCTCAAGTAGCTAGGACTACAGGCCTGCACCACTGCACCCGGCCAACACATGGAAAGTTTTTAAAGAAGGGAACTCAGAGTGGGGTTCCAGGAGTACCTGCTGGGGCAGGATGGAGAGGCAGAAGCTGGAAGCTGAGCCCAGTGGGGGTAAATGGACAGTCCATGAAGGTGCTCATGGCCATAGCCCCCCAACAGCCCCCTGAGAGCACTTCTCCATCATCTGTCTGCCATCGAGCAAATTGGCACAAATCGGGTCATCCCTTCCAGCAAAATGAGTGTCTCTGAGGCTGCTGTTCCTGTCCATCACTCATCCGCCTCAACACCGCAGGGAGTGGTGGTTTTGTTCACATAGGAATAGCCGAGTGTATGTAACACCATGGCCTGATCAGTTTTTCGGGCACAAAAAACAGTAGGAGTGTTTGGATAGCAGATAGACCTGCCTGCGTTTCCTCATAATAGTTTTTACTGGAACTGTCCATTTCGAAGCACCGCAGGGAAGGAATTGAAAAGTTAAGGTCATTGATTTTTGGAGGGAAAAGATGATCTGAAATCTCCATGGCGACTGACCAAATCTTTTTGCAAAAACACAAAGGCGATGACATGGTTTCCAGGGCGCAGCACGGAGGTCTGAAGGGCAAAGGAGTTGTGTGGATTTCCATCCGGGGAGGAGGGAGAGGGGCTCCGGGAGTGCACGACCTACTCCACGGAGCACGGCCGTGCCACCAGCCTCTCAGCTTCCTCCCTCCTCGTTATCTGCATTTATTCTCCAGCAGCTTCCACGGTGGGGAATTTTGGGGCCCACCCCACCTGAGAGCCAGCCCCACAGGCAGCATCGGCTCCTTGCCTGCGCACTGGCGGGAAGGGCTGGCGGGGCCACTGATGGATTGAGTTTTCCATGTGGAGGGGGCAGCTGAGAAGTATGTGATTTGGCCAAGCAGGCTGTGTGGTTTTGAGCACTTCAGCAGTGATCCCCAACTACCGCCATTAATAGGAGGGCCAGAGGGAACAGGCTAGGGGGAGAGATGGTGCCAAGCGCTTTCTATAGGGTCGGCACTTAGGGAGGATCATGTGAGGGAGGACCACGTGAGAAAAGATCAGCATTCAGGGAGGAGCACATTTAAGGAGGATCATTTTAGGAAGCATCAGCATTCAGGGACAATCAGGATTTAGGGAGGACCAGCATTCAGGGAGGATCAGCATTTGGGGAAAAAAAAATTAGCTGGGCATGGTGGCTTGTGTCTGTAGTCCAATTTGGGGAGCTGAGGTGGGAGGATCACTTGAGCCCAAGGAGTCCAAGGCTGTAGTGAGCTGTAATTGTACCACTGCGATCTGGCCTGGGTGATACAGTGACTTTGTCTCTAAAAAAAAAAAAATGTAGATACCATGTGGGTAAAAAGTCTTGTCTCCTTTCCTTACCAGAAGAGATAGAGCTAGTTCAGGATTATGATTATATTTTCATTATAAAGTATAATTTTTTTTTTTTTAGAGACGGAGTCTCGCTCTGTTCCGTCACCCAGGCTGGAGTGCAGTGGCGCGATCTCAGCTCACTGCAAGCTCTGCCTCCCGGGGTTCACGCCATTCTCCTGCCTCGGTCTCCTGAGTAGCTGGGACTACAGGCGCCTGCCACCACGCCCGGCTAATTTTTGTATTTTTAGTAGAGACGGGGTTTCACCGTGTTAGCCAGGATGGTCTCGATCTCCTGACCTTGTGATCTGCCCGCCTCCGCCTCCCAAAGTGCTGGGATCATAGGCATGAGCCACCATGCCCGGCCCATAAAGTACAATTATTTATTTGTTTATTTATTTATTTTGGAGACAAAATCTCACTCTGTGACCCAGGCTGGGGTGCAGTGGCATGATCACAGCTCACTGCAACCTCTGCTTCCTGAGCTCAAGCAATCCTCCCTCTTCAGCCTCCTGCGTAGCTGGAACCACAGGCGCGTATCATTACACTTAGCTAATTTTCGCACTTTGTTTTTGTAGAGACAGGGAGATTCACTATATAGCCTAGGCTGGTCTTGAGCTCCTGGGCTCAAGCAATCCTCCTACTTCAGCCTCCTAAAGAGATGGGATTCCAGGTATGAGCCACTGTGCCTGGCCTATTTATAGTTTAATGGTAACATCTGCTATGCTTAGAAGTTTGCAGTCCACAAATTTACATTCATATCGGTGCTATTGTCTTTGGGACTTCTGGCTCCCCTGGGAAGGTGAACTGCTACTTTGTAGATGGAAAACTGAGGTTGTGGCATTGAGATTTGCCCAAAGCCATTTGGGGGGGGAGGGTAAATGGTGCAACCAGGACACCAAGTGTCTCCCGGTCTCACATTCTCACGCCTTGATAGTATGTTTTGACAGCAGGTTGTTTTGGCGAGGATGCTTTCAGATGCGTTGTAAAAACCCTACTGATAAATTGGGCTTGAACAACCAGGTCACTTAAGATTTCACATATTGAGAAGTGAGTGGCTGCAGAGTTGGCTAATTAGGCAGCATCACACAGTCAAAGACCCTGCCTCCTGCTCTGCCTTCCCCAGGCTGTCTTGCCTCATGGCTCTAAGATGGCTGCCACCGCTCCAGGCTTCACAACCTCACACAACTGTGTCCAGAAATAAGGACACAGCTTCTCTTCTTGCATAGCTCTGTTGCCCAGGCTGGAGTGCTATGGCATGATCTTGGCTCACTGCAACATCCACCTCCCTGGTTCAAGCGATTCTCCTGCCTCAGCCTCCCAAGTAGCTGGGACTACAGGTGCCCACCAGCACACCGGCAAATTTTATATTTTTAGTAGAGACAGGGTTTCACCATGTTGGCCAGGCTGGTCTCGAACTCCTGACCTCAAGTGACCTGCCCGCCTAGGCTTCCCAAAGTGCTGGGATTACAGGCGTGAGCCACCGTGCCCGGCCTGGATCAGGCTTTAATCTGAAATTTAACCAGGATAATCCTGGAGTCTTTTTTTCTGAATAAATGGCACTCTCATAAAAGCTGTTTTAAAATGTGGGCCAACAGAAGAGAAGAGGACTGCCATTGAAAAGATGGTTTAGGCTGGGCACGGTGGTTCATGCTGCAATTCCAGCACTTTGAGAGGTCGAGGCAGGAGCATCACTTGAGGCCAGGAGTTCAAGACCAACCTGGGCAATATAGCAAGACCTGGTCTCTACAAAAAGTTTTTTTGTTTTGTTTTGTTTTGTTGTTGTTGTTGAAGCAGAGTCTCACTCTGTCTCCCAGGCTGGAGTGCAGTAGCATAATCTCAGCTCACTGCAACTTCTGCCTCCCAGGCTCAAGTGATTCTCCTGCCTCAGCCTCCCAATTAACTGGGATTACAGGCACATACCACCACACCCCACTAATTTTTGTATTTTTAGTAGAGACTTAGTAGAGCTGCACCATTTCAGGGGGAGGAATGCTCCCCCATGAAGGAGGGGACACACAAGAAGGCCCCCACTCCTAATCTCCCACTGCAGCAACTGTCCCACAAGCATCTCCCACTCTGTGAAGACAGAATTTTGTTTAGGTCTATTGTCCCCTGAAACCATCTCTCTATGGACTTGAATGGAGAATTATTAAGACTTTGCCGGCCACACGCAGTGGCTCATGACTGTAATCCCAGCACTTTGGGAGGCTGAGGAGGGAGGATTGCTTAAAGCCAGGAATTTGAGACCAGCCTGGGCAATACAGCGAGACCCCATCTCTACTAAAAATTTAAAAATTAGCTGGGCATAGTGGCACGTGACTAATCCCAGCTACTCGAGAAGCTGAGGTGGGAGCATCTCTTGAGCCCCGGAGGTCAAGGCTGCAGTGAGCTGAGATTGCACCACCACACTCTAGCTTGGGCAAAAGAGCAAGACCCTGTCAAAGAAAGGAAGAGGAAAGATAGAGGAAAGAAAGAAAAGGAAAGGGGAGGGGAGGAGAGGGGAGAGGAGGGAAAGGACAGGACAGGAAAGGAAAGGGGGCAAGGGAGGGAGGGAGGGAGGGAGGAAGGAAGGGAAAGAAGGAGAGAAAGAGAGAAAGAAATGAAAGGAAGCAGTGAAAGGAGGGAGGGAAGGAGGGAGGGAGGGAAGGAAGGAAGGAAGGGAGGGAGGGGAGGGGAGAAAGAAAGAGAAAGAGAAGAAAGGAAAGAAGGAAGGAAGAAAAAAGAATGAAGGAAAGAAAGAAAGAAAGAAAAAGAGAAAGAAAGAAGAAAAGAAAGAGAAAATAGAATTTTCACAGCCAGAGGCCTTGGAAAGATCATCCCGCCCCAACCCCCTTTTTACAGGTGAGAAAACCGAGGCCCAGAGAAGGGGAAAGGGGAAGGGAAGGGCTCAAGCTGGCACGGCAAGCTGGTGACGAACCAGGACAACCGCCAGGATTCCTGCTTTTAATTTCCTCCCATCCTCCTGCAATCAGCGGGGAGGCTGGTTCCCAGTGTTCACTTGGGGGGGAAAATCCCTGATAAGAATCTAAGGAATGTGACTGCTGAAAGGGACTGACTGTGGAATTTGGCATCCGACACGATCACATCACAGCCCAGCGAGTCTCCACCAGCAGAACACCTTTTCCAAAGGACCAGGCTCTGGGACTAATTGTCCGGCAGCCGGTGGCACCCCCGCCACACACTGCTGTCTTGGCATCTCTGAGAAATTCCTCAGTTCCCCTGCAAAGGTCAGGCCCGGGAGAATTTGAAGCCACTCCGAATCCAGGGGAGAATGAAATAAACCCGGCTGGTAATGAAGTCTGCCTTTTATGTTGGATCATTTCTTTCCAAGTCTGACATTTCTTCCTACCTTTCAAGGTAGGAATTTTTGGCAGTTCACGTAACCCCCAGCAGGCAGAGAGGAAACGTGGCTTCGACACCACCAGATCCTGCAGCTTTCCGCTGGAGACAAGAGGTGGTGTCCTGGGTTGGGGCCCAGTTGGGAAATTGCTGCAGGGTCCATCCCTCTCCAGGGTCTTCCTCCTCCTCCTCCTCTTCTCCCTCCTCCTCTTCCTCCTCTTCCTCCTCCTTCTCTTCCTTCTCCTCCTCTTCCTCTACCTCCTACTCTTCCTCCTCCTCAGCCTCCAACATCTTCTTCCTCCTCTTCCTCCTCCACCTCCTCCTCTCCCTCTTCTGCCTCCTCCTTTTCCTCTTCTTCCTCCTACTCTTCCTCTTCCTCCTCCTTTTCCTCCTCCTCTTTCTCTTCTTCCTCCTACTCTTCCTCTTCCTCCTCCTTCTCTTTGTCCTCCTGCTCCCCCTCCTCTTCCTTCTTCTAGTCTTCCTTTTCCTCCTCCTCCTTCTCCTCTTCCTTCTCTCCTCTTTCTCTTCCTTCTCCTTCTCCTCCACCTCCTGCTCCTCTTCTTCTTCCTCCTCCTCCTGGCAGGATTAGAGCTGGGAGAGGCTTTAGAGACCATCCCGCTGACATAGCTTTCATCATCACCCTCATCATCACTGGTAGGAAGCTCAGAGCAGTGCTGCCTCTTGTCCAGAAGCCCAGTGACTGGGAGGCTAGGCAGGCAGAGTCAAAGGCCTCGTCATGTTCTACAATCCTCTGGGGCTGGTCTCCACTGTCCAGACGGCTTGAAGGATCAGGGAAAGCCTTACCCCTATGCCTTCTCCAGGCAGGTAGTTCTGCAAAGAGCTGGTATGACAGCGCCATCCCTGGGTCTGCAAAATCATCCCCAAGCCAGGGACTCGGTGACAACTTCCAGCCAAATGCAGCCTCACACGGGACACACCTGTGCAGACGTGCTGCTGTCCACCTGACCCGTGTAACTGCAGCCTGCAGAGAGACCACAGGCCCTTGAACTCCCGTCTCCGCATCTCCCCACCCCTCGTTCGGGTTTAGCGCAGGGCCCACATCAGTGGTATTTACTGAATGAACAAGTGAAGGAAGGAAGGCGGTGTGGGTCGGGCGCAGTGGCTCATGTCTGTAATCCCAGCACTTTGGGAGGCCAAGGTGGGTGGATCACCTGAGGTCAAGAGTTCAAGACCAGCCTGGCCAACATGGTGAAACCCGGTCTCTACTAAAAATACAAAACTTAGCTGGGCATGGTGATGTGCACCTGTAATCCCAGCTACTCGGGAGGCTAAAGCAGAAGAATCGTTTGAACCTGGGAGGCAGAGGTTGCAGTGAGCTGAGACCGCACCATTGCGCTCCAGCCTGGGCAACAAGAGCGAAACTCCATCTCAAAACAAATAAACAAACAAAAAATAAAATAAAATAAAAATACAAAAATTAGCCAGGAGTGGTGGCGGGCACCTGCAATCCCAGCTACTCAGGAGGCTGAGGCAGGACAATCACTTGAATCCAGGAGGTGGAGGTTGCAGTGAGCCGAGATCGTGCCACTGCACTCCAGCCTGGGTGACAGAGTGAGACTCCATCTCAAAAAAAAAAAAAAAAAAAAAAAAAATAGGAAAAAAAAGAAAGGCAGTGTGGACTGAGGTCTGGAAGGGACAAAGCCCACTCCATGACCGAGCCCACCAGGCCTTCTGCAAGGATCTCCCTGCGCTCCTGAACCCCTGAGCCCTAGGCTGAGCCATGCCTCTCTCCACATCTGGGCCTTTAGCCCACCAAAGTCTAGAATGCCTACTCCCCTCCCCACCCCTGCCTCCCTGAGGGCCACCTACTCGTCTTCCACATCCTGCTCAAGTGGCCCCTTCACTCTCAAATATTTGCTGTCCCCTCTGCACAGATTTGGTCCCCGCCCTTTGGTTCCTCCAACTCTGCCCACAGCACTCGCAGCCACTGTACCACCCCCGGACATGACTGTCTCTCTCTCCCTGAGAGCAGAGACTTACTCAACTTGGATCTCTGCGGCAGCATCTGGCATTGAGTGGGTGATAAGTAAATATCTGGGAAGGCCAGGGGCAGCGGGGGCCATGGAAGAACTAATTATACATAAACTGTGTATTGGAAGAAACAACTTTATGATTCTTATGTTGTTTCTAACATATTTTGTGATCAGATTATTTCCCATGGGAATGCATGTTCAAAATTAGAATGAAGGCGGGGCACAATGGCTCACGCCTGTAATCCTAGCACTCTGAGAGGTTGAGGCAGGAGGATCAGCTGAGGTCAGGAGTTTGAGACCAGCCTGGGCAACATGGTGAAACTCTGTCTCTATTAAAAATACAAAATTTAGCCAGGTGTGGTAGCTTATACCTGTAATCCCAGCACTCTGGGAGGCCGAGGCAGGAGGATCACCTGAGGTCAGGAGTTCAAGACCAGCCTGGGCAAAATGGTGAAATCCCATATCTACTAAAAATACAAAAATTAGCCAGGTGTGGTGGTGCACACCTGTAATCCTAGCTACTCAGGAGGCTGAGGCAGGAGAATTGCTTGAACACAGGAGATGGAGGTTCCAGTGAGCTGAGATCGTGCTTCAGAAAGAAAGAAAGAAGAGAGAGACAAAGGGAAAGAAAGCTCATTAGAAAGAATATTCCTTTTTTTAAAATTTTTGGACAGAGTGTCACTCTGTTGCCCATGTTGGAGTACAGTGGCACAATTATAGCTCATTGTTGCCTTGACCTCCTGGGCTCAAGCAATCCTCTCGCCTCAGCCTCCTGAGCAGCTGAGACTATGGGCCTGCGCCACCACACCTGGCTAATTTTGAAATTTTTTGTAGAGATGGGGGTCTCACTATATTGCCCAGGTTGGTCTGAAGCTCCTGGGCTCAAGCAATCCTCCTCCCTCGTCCTCCCTAAGTGCTGGGATTACAGGTATGAGCCACCACGCCTAGTGTCTCTCATCTTGATGGGCAATTCTGACCCACACTGAGTATTTTAAAGCTCTGTCCATCCCCCTGTGCAGCCCACCCAGGGGCTCACTCCACACCTGGGTAAGCATCCCGCACCACTCCCACCTTCCCAGCACAGAATCAGCCCCTCCTCCCATATCTACCCTAGCCAGGCATTTGTGATTCTAATCAGACTGCCGCCTGATAATGCCCTTATGATGAAGGGCTTCGACTCAGCAAAGTCGACCCCCTCCTCTGCAGCGGCCCTCTGAGAACTCTACGCGCTGCTTTGGGGAGTGATAACTGGGGAGGGGACTGAATTGCTTCCCGAGGTACAGACAAGGAAGCAGGGCTGAGAGGGTGAATAACACATTTGCCCTTGGTGCAAAGTCTGGCTCACGGAAGCACACGACGAAAAGCAGCCGCTGACACATTGATTCTTGCCATTATTGCAGGTCAGGAGGGAGACCTATGACATCTTAGAGGCTGCTTGGGTTCTCTGTGACCTGCTGACTTGGGGCGAGGGAAAGTCAGGATTCCGTCCATAAGCGGACATGTCCATAAGCCCAATAAGAGGACTTGGTTGCCGAGAAAGCTCAGGAGTTCGTATTTCTGCCCTTTATGGGCGGAGGGAGAGGGAATCACAGAGCTGTGTGTCAAGAAACTGGGGTCTTATCCCAGCTCAGCCTGTGACTTCCCAGGTGACATTGGCTAAGTGACCCCTAATCTCCAGGTCTCCTCATTGGAAAATGACAAGTTCAAGCTGACAAGCTCCAGCTCATATTCTCCAATAGATTGTAAAATAGATACAGTGAAAAACAATCCAGAATGTCCACGAAAGGAGAATGGAAGCAGCATGGGATTCCTGCAGTGGAATAGTACACAGCACTGAAAAAGCACAAGCCACTTCAACAATCTAAATGAATCACACAGAGATGATGCAGAGCAAAAGAAGTCACACCCAATAGAGTTCATGCTGAATGATTCTGTTTATATGACATTCAAGGACAGGCAAAGCTATTCTATGGTGATGAAATCAGAACCATGGTTACCTCTAGGGGGCCTACCTGGGCACACCAGAGCCCTCTGGGTGCTGGAAATGTTCTCCCTCTGGGCCTGAATGGTGGTTTACATGAGCATACACATAAGTAGAAACTCATCAAGCTGTATAGTTGAGATTATACACTTTAGACCAGGCATGGTGGCTCACACCTGTAATCCCAGCACCTTGGGGGGCTGAGGTGGGAAGACTGCTTGAAGCCAGGAGTTCGAGACCAGCCTGGGCAACCTAGCAAGATGCCTTGTCTCTGCAAACAACAAAAAATTATCCAGGCACGGTGGTGTGTGCCTGTAGTCCCAGCTACTCGGGAGGCTAAGGCAGGAAGATCACTTGAGCCCAGGAGGTTGAGGCTGCACTGAGCTATGACCCCACCATTGCACATCACCCTGGGTGACAGAGGGAGACCCTGTCTCAAAAAAAAAAAGGAGGGGGGGGGAGGAGAGAAGGAAGGGAAGGGAAGGGAAGGAGAAGGAGAAGGAAAGGAGAAGGAAGGAAGGAAGGAGAGCAAAGAAAGGAGGAAGGAGAAAAGAAGTAAAGAAAGAGAAAAGAAAGAAGAGAAAAAAGAAAGATAAAAAAAAAGAAAGAAGATGAAGAAGAAGGAAGGAAGGAAGGAAGGAAAAGAAAGCAATTCTAAGTCCTCTGTTCAATGAACATTTGTGAAGCCCTTTCTAAGCACCAGATCCTGAGACACTTACTGGCCTGAGACAGCTGAAAAGGAGACCTGCAATCTAATGAGAAGACACAGACAACACAAAGAATCACAGAAACATGACACAGGTGACAAGAACAGGCAAGGACCTGCAGTGCACAGGAGCCCTTAGAAGGTGGTGTCTGGTTCTGCCGGGGAGGGACAGGGAGGTCAACTTCACCCATTGCACAGGGACTCTAGCCCCTCCCTTTGTTCCCAAAGCCTCACCTTTGGCCATGTCTCTCCATCCCATGCTTTGGAGCCTGTCTTTGCTCCTCATTCCCCCACCTCTGCATCTTACAGCCCCATCTACCCAGCGTCACCCCAGGCCTGGGCTGCTGAAGGAGCACCCCACAGCCACAAGATGTGGAGCCCCAGTTCTTCCACACATTCACCGTCTGATCTCCACTGGGTCTTGCTCTAGGGAGCTGCATTCTCCAGTCTCTGACATCAAACCCTTGTCCCCAAGCCTGGGATTCTGTCCTCCTCTAGGGTGCCACAGTCCTCTAAAGAGCATGGCCAGGAGTGGTAGCTCACACCTGTAACCCCAGCACCTTTGGGAGGCCGAGGTGGGTGGATCACTTGAGGTCAGGAGTTCAAGACCAGCCTGGCCAACATGGTGAAATCTCATCTGTACTAAAATACAAAAATTAGCCAGGCATGATGGCGGGCACCTGTAGTCCCAGCTACTAGGGAGGCTGAGGCAGGAGAATTGCTTGAACCCGGGAGGCAGAGGTTGCAGTGAGCTGAGATTGTGCCACTGCACTCCAGCCTGGGCAACATAGCAAGACTCCATCTCAAAAAAAAAAGAAATGCTTAACAGCTCTGGAATTGTCAGAGGAGCAGCTCTATGGGGCTTGGAGTAGTCAGTCAGGGGCTGGGAAGTGAGGCTGAGGCTGGGCAGTAGACTAGGAAGAGACAAAGGCCTTAAGTGCCATGCTATGGGATTTGAACCTTGGCCTGAGGCATGGGGAACCACTAGGAGTTTTGTGTTGTGTTGTGTTGTGTTTTAAAGACAGGGTCTTGCTCTGTCATCCAGACTGGAGTGCAGTGGTGCGATCTCGGCTCACTGCAGCCTCAACCTCCTGGGTTCAAGCAATTATCCCCCCCTCACCCTCCCCAGTAGCTGGGACTATAGGCACTCACCACCACACCACACCTGGCTAATGTTTTTTTGGTTTTTTGGTAGAAACAGGATCTCACTATGTTGCCCAGGCTGGCCTCAAACTCCTGGGCTCAAGCAATCCTCCCACTGCAACCTCCCAAAATGCTGGGATTACAGGCGTGAGCCACCATGCTGGGCCACCAGGAGTTTTCAAGCAAGGGCCGGATGTGAACAAAACAAAGTTCCAGAAGGTTTTCTCCCAGAGCACCTAAGTGCACAAAGACCCCAAGGCTGAGACCCTCGACAACCCCAAGGCTGCAGCCTCCAGAGATACCTGAGCTGCCCTCAGCGGGTCGCAGGCAATTCCTTGGCCTGCTTTGTTTTCAGCGGTGATTAAAGGCAGATGTCCCTCAGGTGGAAGGAGCCACCTTCCCCCTATTTTTCCCCTCTCATCTGGCTGCTGTGCTCAAGTCCGACAGGCACCAGGGGGTTGACCACAAGAAAGTCACAAAATCACCGCAAAAGAATTGCAACTCTCCCCTGGCAACCAGAGGGAAAGATGCCGTTTCAAGTTCTCAATTCATTCCTGCAGAGCCATTTTCCCTCCAGCCCCGCTGATTAAAGAGCTTTTTTCCCAGGAACCCCTGCAGACGGCCAGTTCCCACCTAGCCTCATCCCAAGAGTGGGGCTACCAGGGCGGAGGGCCTGCCTAAGGCACTTCTACTCATTTGTGGTTTCACCGTGGGATCAAAACAGAAAATTAAACCCATCACAAGCTGCAGAATGCTCTGAAGTGGGCCACCCAAGGGTCACACATGAAAAAGCTGGAGACTCAGGACTTGCAGTTTTCCTACGAGAAAGATTTCTTTTAATCAGTCTGTGGTGGGTTCTCCAGGCTTTCGGTTAGAATTCCTCAGGATAAGGTTTTCTCCCTTTCAGAAGAGATCTCACAACAGGACATTCGGAGCCATATGACAGTGAGATCTAGAAACTGCTTTATGGGGCTGGGCGCGGTGGCTCATGCCCGCAATCCCAGCACTTTGGGAGGCCAGGGCAGACGGATCGTCTGAGGTCAGTAGTTCAAGACCAGCCTGGCCAACATGGAGAAACCCCGTCTCTACTAAAAATACAAAAATTAGCCAGGCATGGTGGCAGGCACCTGTAATCACAGCTATTCAAGGGGCTGGGGCACGAGAATCACTTAACCTGGGAGGCAGAGGTTTCAGTGAGCCGAGATCACACCACTGCACCTTAGCCTAGGTGACAGCACGAGACTCTGTCTCAAAAAAAAAAAAAAAAAAAAAAGAAAAGAAAAAGAAACCGCTTTATGGAAACAAATCTACAGCAACAGCCAAGGAGAACTGGAGGTCTCCTGCTTTCTCATCCTCAGAGACACAGAGTCAGGACAAGGATACTGAGACCATTCTACAGATGAGAGAAAAGAGTGTGGTTGGCCGGGCGCAGCAGCTCATTCCTGTAATCCCAGCACTTTGGGAGGTGGAAGCAGGAGGATCGCTTCAGCCCAGGAGTTCAAGACCAGCCTGAGCAACATAGCGAGACCCCATCTCTACAAAAAAAAAAAAAAAAAAGAAAAGAAAAAAATAGCTAGGCGTGGTGGTACACACCTGTGGTCCCAGCTACTCAGGAGGCTGAGGCAGGAGGATTGCTTAAGGCCAAGAATTCGAGGCTGCAGTGAGCTATTATTGTACCATTGCACTTTAGCCTGGGCAACACAGCAAGACCCTGTCTCTAAAAAACAAACAAAACCCCTTGTGCTATAACAAATTACCACCAACTGAGTGACTTAAAACAGCACACGTTTATAATCTTATCATTCTAGAAATGAGACGTCCAAGGTGACAGCAGGTGAGTTTCCTCCAGAGTCTCCGTGGGAGAATCTATTTCTTGCCTTTCCTGGCTTCTAGAGATCCCCCTGTCCCTTGGCTGGAGGCTTCTTTTTGACATCACTCCAACCTCTGGTTTCCATGGTAACATCTCCTACTACTCACTCTGGCCCTCTTGCTACCCTCTTACAAGGTCCACTGGTCCTAGCTCTAAGCCTAGTACACAGTAGGTGCTCAATAAGCATTGGTTCCCAGCCAGGCGCAGTGGCTCATGCCTATAATCCCAGCACTTTGGGAGGCTTACGCAGGAGGGCTACTTGAGGCCAGAAGTTTGAGACCAGCCTGGGCAACATAGCAAGATCCCATCTCTAAAAAAAAAATTTTTTTTTAATCTAAAAAATAAAATATTTTTAAAAATTAGCCAGGTGTAGTGGCACACACCTGTAGTCGCAGCTACTCAGGAAGCTGAAGTGGGAGGATCCCTGGAGCCCAGAAGTTTGAGGCTGTAGTGAGCTAGGATCACACCACTGCACTCCAGCCTGGGTGACAGAGTGAGACCCTGTCTCTAAAATAAATTAAAAATTGGCCAGGCACAGTGGCTCACACCTGTAATCCCAGCACTTTGGGAGGCTGAGGTAGGTGGATCATCTGAGGTCAGGAGTTCAAGACCAGCCCAGCCAACATGATGAAACCCTGTGTGATGGTTAATACTGAGTGTCAACTTGATTGGATTGAAGGATGCAAAGTATTGATCCTGGGTGTGTCTGTGAAGATGTTGTCAGTTTGAGTCAGTGGGCTGGGAAAGGCAGACCCACCCTCAATCTGGGTGGGCACCATCTCATCAGCTGCCAGTGCAGCTAGAATATAAAGCAGGTAGAAAAATGTGAAAAGGCTAGACTGGCCTAGCCTCCCAGCCCACATCTTTCTCCCGTGCTGGATGCTTCCTGCCCTGAAACATCCAACTCCAATTTCTTCAGCTTTGGGACTCAGACTGGCTTCCTTGCTCCTCAGCTTGCAGATGGCCTATTGTGAGACCTTGTGATCGTGTTAATTCAGGAGTTAATACTCCTTAACAAACTCCCATATACATATATCCTATTAGTTCTGTCCCTCTAGAAAACTCTGACTAATATACCCTGTCTGTACTAAAATTACAAAAGAATTAGCTGGGCATGGTGGCACACGCCTGTAATCTCAGCTACTGGGAGGCTGAGGCAGGAGAACTGCTTGAACCCAGAAGGTGGGGGTTGCAGTGAGCTGAGATTGTGCCACTGCACTCCAGCCTGGGCAATAGAGCGAGACTCCATCTCAAAAAAAAAAAAAACAAAAAAACATTTTTTTATTGAAAATGTAAAAAAGATCCTTATTTTGTTTACATCTGAACAGTCCCTTTTACCATGTAAAGTAGCATATTCACAGGTTGCAGGGATTAGGACTTACCTATCTTTGAGGGCCACTCTCCTGCGTCCCACCCGTGGCAAGCCCAGACCACACAGCTGATAGGTGACCAAGCTATCAGTGGTGAGGCCATGCGGTGGAGGGAGGCACATTTCAGACAACTAGGAATTGGATCACAAATGACTGTCACCCTTTCTGGGTTCCCAGCCATCACCAAAAAGCCTGGTTTTTGGCCAGGTGCAATGGCTCATCCCTGTAGTCCCAGCACTTTGGGAGGCTGAGGCGGGTGGATCACTCGAGGTCAGGAGTTTGACACTAGCCTGGCCAATGTGGTGAAACCCCATCTCTACTAAAAATACAAAAATTAGCCAGGTATGGTGGTGGGCACCAGTAATCCTAGCTACTCAGGAGGCTGAGGCAGGAGAATTGCTTGAACCCGGGAGGCGGAGGTTGCAGTGAGCTGAGATGGCACCACTACAGTCCAGCCTAGATGACAGAGTGAGACTCCATCTTAAAAAAAAAAAAAAAAAAAAAAGCCTGGTTGTTGGATACTTGTTCCCTAGCTGGTACGGAAGGCACCTGCTCATAACAACAGATGGAAAAAGGAACCGGTGCCTATAGCTGGGGGGCAGGAGGTAGATGCACACTGCCCCAACAGGCCAGACTCATGGCCCTCATGTACCTTCACTCCTGCTGTTTTCCTGCAACCTGGAGTAACCCTCCTGCCTGTGCACCCGCCACCCTCACGGCCCAGCCCCGTCACACCTCTGCAGTGAAATCTCTAGCAACTTCTCCCTCCTCTGCCAGAATGACCTCTTTCCTTAGCCATTTGCATCCACTGATGTCTCAGGCCCATACACTTCCCTGCCTCGAAGAACACACACTGCCCTGCTGGACTCTGAGAATGCACTTCCAGGCCAGGTGCTGTGGCTCATGCCTGTAATCCCAGCACTTTAGGAAGCTGAGGCGGGAGGATCACTTGAGACCAGGAATTCAAGATCAGCCTGAGCAACATAGCAAGACCACATCTCTACAGAAAAAAAAGAAAAGAAAAGAAAAGAAAAGAAAAGAAAAGAAAGGCTTGGCATGGTGGCTCATGCCTATAACCCCAGCACTTTGGAAGACCGAGGTGGGCAGATCATTTGAGGTCAGGAGTTTGAGACCAGCCTGACTGACATGGTGATACCCCGTCTCTACTAAAAATAGAAAAATTAGCCGGGCGTGGTGGCACACGCCTGTAGTCCCAGCTACTCGGGAGGCAGGAGAATCTCTTTGAACCTGGGAGGTGGAGGTTGCAGTGAGCTGAGATCGTGCCACTGCACTCCAGCCTGGGCAGAAGAGTGAGACTCCGTCTCAAAAATAAATAATAATAAAAATAGGGTCCAAATGCAGAGATCAATGTCTCCTTCCAGAGAACCATAGAGAAGACCTAGAAGGACTAAATGAGAAACATGAAGACTCTAGTTTGCTTCTGAAATTTCCTGGCTCCAGCTGTCATCCAATAGGACCTTCTCTAGGTCCTAGGATACGGGCCCAGGAGTATATCACAGCCCTTGCCCAAGATGAATTCACAGATCAGATACAATCAGGCCCCAGGAACACTTTTTAAAAAAAATAAAAAAAATAGAATCCCGGCCAGGCCCGGATGCTTCCAGCAAAAAGGGGGTGACCCACACCCCCCTATATGCTCCCACGCACAGTCATGTGTGAATAAACTGAGACCAGAGAAACTCCTGCCTTGCCCCCAGAACCGGACACCCCAGAGAGGCAAACAGGCCATGTTTTTCTTTGCCATCTGCTCAGCTTCAAGGGCTGGGGCCCTCCCCATCCCCCTTTCCTTCCGCTGCTCTGTTCCCCTGAGGCTCCTGTTACCACAGCCAGGCAGCGGCTGACCTCAGAACAGAAGGCTTTGGTTAGCAGGTCAGGCCAGAGGCAAAGGGCACAGGCCAAAGAGTAGACCTAGAGAGGGAAAGGATCTCTAAAGCCACAGTGGGAGGAGAGAGGAGCAAAGAATTCTGAGGTCCCCGGGAGGCCCACAGGCAAGGCCCCCTCCCCACACAGCCTGGACCGGTTGCACAGCCCACTGAGCTTCCCAGCCTCGGAATCCCTGAGACCTCACCAGATATTTCCAAGAAATTTTTAGAAATATCTCCCTTCTCCATCCACTTCCATGCCCTAAAGCTGGTGGCTTCTTTAAAAGTGGCTCCAGGCCAGGCATGGTGGCTCACATCTGTAATCTGAATGCTTTGAGAGCCTGAGGCTGGAGGATTACTTGAGGCCAAGAGTTTGAGACCAGCCTGGACAATATAGCAAGATCCCATTTCTCAAAAAATTTAAAAAGTAGCCAGGCATGGTAGTGCATGCCTGTAGTCCCAGCTACTCAGGAGGCAGAGGTGGGTGGATGGCTTGAGCCCAGGAGTTTGAGGCTGCAGTGAGCTATGATTGCACTACTGCCCTCCAGCCTGAACAACAGAGCAAGACCCTGTCTCACCAAAACAAAACTAAAGCCAGGCTCAGTGCCTCACATCTGTAATCCTAGCACATTGAGAGGCCGAGGCGGGCAGATCGCTTGAGGTCAGGAGTTCAAGACCAGCCTGGCCAACACGGTGAAACCCCATTACAGGTGGCACACACCTGTAATTCCAGCTACTCGGGAGGCTGAGGCAGGAGAATCGCTTGAACCCAGAAGGCAGGTTGCAGCGAGCTGAGATTGTGCCACTGCACCCTAGCCTGGATGACAGAATGAGACTTTGTCTCAAAAAAAAAAAAAAAAAAAAAAAAAAACCCTTAACATGAGACCTAAAAGGTCTAAAACTCTTAAAAGCTTCATGACACTAGATTGGCAATGATTTCTTGGCTATGACACCCAAAAAAAGCCCAGCCAACAGGAGAAAAAAAGAGATATCAATAAATTAAGTTACATCAAAAGTAAAAATTTCTGTGCATCGAAAGATCCAATCAACAGAGTGAAAAGGCAACTCACAGAATACAAGAAGAGGTGGGGAAATCTCCTGGGCTCTGGAGTTCAAGACCACCTGGGCAACACGGTGAAACCCCATCTCTACTAAAATACAAAAAATTGCCAGACGCGGTGGCTCACGCCTGTAATCCCAGCACTTTGGGAGGCCGAGATGGGCGGATCACCTGAGGTTGGGAGTTCGAGACCAGCCTGCCCAACATGGAGAAACCTCGTCTCTACTAAAAGTACATAATTAGCTGGGCATGGTGGCGCATGCCTGTAATCAGCTACTCGAGAGGCTGAGGCACGAGAATTTCTTGAACCCGGGTAGCAGAGGTTGCCGTGAGCCAAGATCGCGCCATTGCACTCCAGCCTGGGCAACAAGAGAAAAACTCCATCTCAAAAAATAAAATAAAATACAAAAAAAATAGCTGGACATGGTGGTGCATGCCTGTAGTCCCAGCTGCTCAGGAGGCTGAGGCAGGAGAATCGCTTGAGCCCCAGAGGCAGAGGTTGCAGTGAGCCAAGACTGAGCCGCTGCACTCTAGCATGGGCTTCAGAGTGAGACTCCATCTCAAAAAAAAAAAAAAAAAAAATGTGCAAATCATACATCTGATAAAGGGTTAATATCCAGATACATAAGGAACTCCTACAACTCAACAACAATATAGAAACAACCCAATTCAAAACAGGGCTAACAGCTTAATAATAGAAATTTCTCCAAGGAAGATATACAAATGGCCAGCAAGCACCTAAAAAGATGTTCAACATCACTAATCATTAGGAAAAGACAAATCAAAACCACAATGAGATACCACTTCATACCCATTCGGTCAAAACCCGCTCTTTCCCATCTTGCAAGACAGTGGGTGAAAATGTTAAGACGGATACTGAGGAAACCTGAAGCCAAGAAGGCTGATTCTGGTGGCAAGGTGAAAAACGGTCACCTCAAGGCTAAAAAGCCCAAGAAGGGGAAGCCCCATGGCGGCCAAAATCCTGTCCTTGTCAGAGGAATTGGTAGATATTCCTGATCTGCTATGTGTTCCAGAAAGGCAATGTACAAGAGGAGCTACTCAGTCGCTAAGTCCAAGGCTGAAAAGAAAAAGGGCCAGGCATGGTGGCTCACGCCTGTAATCCCAGTACTTTGGGAGGCCGAGGCGGGAGGATCACTTGAGGTCAGGAGTTTGAGACCAGCCTGGCCAACATGGTGAAACCCTGTTTCTACTAAAAGTACAAAAAAAAACTTAGCCGGGCACAGTGGCTGTGCCCCTAGTCCCAGCTAGTTGGGGGGCTGAGGCAGGAGAATTGCTTGAACCTGGCAGGTGGAGGTTGCAGTGAACTGAGATCGTGCCATTACACTCGAGCCTGGGCAACAGAGTGAGACTGTCTCAAAAAAAAAAAAAGAAAATAGGTGGTGATTGCCAGGGGCCAGGGGAGGACAGAAATGCAGTTAGCATTTCACAGGTACAGAGTTTCGGGGCTTTTTGTTTGTCTGTTTTTGAGACAGAGTTTTGCTCTTGTTGCCCAGGCTGAAGTGTAATGGCGCGATCTCGGCTGACTGCAACCTCCGTCTCCCGGGTTCAGGAGATTCTCCTGCCTCAGCCTCCCAGATAGCTGAATTACAGGCTTCCACCAGCACACCCAGCTAATTTTTTGTATTTTTAGTGGAGACAGGGTTTCACCATGTTGGCCAGGCTGGTCTTGAACTCCTGACCTCAGGTGATCCACCCGCCTTAGCCTCCCAAAGTACTGGGATTACAGGCGTGAGCCACGGCGCCCGGCCCAGAGTTTCAGTTTTGCAAGATGAAAAGAGTTCCAGAGATGGATGGTGATGGTGATTGCATGACAATGTAAATGTCTTTAATGCCACTGTGCTATACACTGGGAAATGGTTTAAGATGGTAAATTTTGGCAGGGCGCAGTGGCTCACGCCTGTACTCCCAGCACTTTGGGAGGCTGAGGTGAGCAAATCACTTGAGGCTGGGAGTCCGATACTTGGCCAACATGGTGAAACCCCTCTTTAATAAGAAACAAAAACTAGCCAGGTATGGTGGCGCATGCCTATAGTCCCAGCTACTCGAGAGGCTGAGGTATGAGAATCGCTTGAACCCAGGAGATGGAGGTTGCAGTGAGTCGAGATTGCACCACTGCACTCCAGCCTGGGTGACACAGTGAGACTCTGTCTTAAAAAAAAATATATATATATATATATATATATAAATATATATATATATATAATTATATTAAAATATATGTTAAAAAATATTACAATATATATATAAAATCTCTCTCTTTATATATATATGTATGTATTTATATATATATAAAGAGAGAGAGAGAGAGCGAGAGAGAGAATGCTTCACACTGCACTCCAGCCTGGGTGACAGAGTAAAACTCTGTCTCAAAAAAAAATAAAAATAAAAAGAAGAAAATAAAAGACAGTAAATCGTCTGTTAGGTCTATTTTACCACAATATAAATAATAAAAAGTTTAAAATGTTTGCAAAATACAATGATAAATGATTTTTCACTTTTCCAGATTTTCCAGGTTTTCTATAATAAATATAATCAAGGGGGAAAAAATAAACTTTTTTTTTTTTCAGTGTGTCGGGTTTCTTTCACCTAAACATCTGTGCTGACCACAGGAGCCTGAACCCTGAAGCACCCAGAGCCTGCTGGGCTATGGGCTTCCATCAGCTTTTTCTACCTGACACGAACATTTGGTTTCCATTCCCAACTCTTCTCATAATTCTTGGAGATCATCTCGTGCCGGTTTCGGGTCCAGCGGAAAGAAAGCAGCTCTTGGGAGTGTCAGCTTGCATCCCGTGGGGGTGGCTTTGGCTCAGCCAGCAGTGAGTCTGCCTTTCCCAGTGGCACCCCTGGCCGCCCCCAGAGCCCATCCATCCTGCAAGCTACCCACCCGCTGTCAGCAAAGCAGGCGCGTTTCCTGGTGTGCGGTAACCCTACCCCGGCTCTGCTCCCCAGGGGCGTGGCCAGGTTCTGGGATTAATCTAGGGCAGATGCTCTGTCCGACGCTGAGACAGCTGTCCCCACAAGCAGCTGTCCCGGACCTAGGCCTAGCAGGCAGACAACTTGCAATGCTACCACCCCCTTCCAGTACAGAATATTGAGCTTTCCTGCCAAACTCCTTACTCAGGCAACAGCCTGGACCCTCACATTGGGTCTGGGTCCACCGTGCTCCCTGTTCACTCCTGGTTCACTTCGGGTCAGAATCCAACTCCAGCCTTGTGAGCTCCTGCGTGAGTTGGACTTTGCAGCCCAAAAAGTCAACACAGCGCTGTCCCAGTGGGTCCAGCTGCCGTTGATTCAATAAGGGATTGTTTTAATTCACATCCTGTGCTCAGTGCTGGATTACCTGTCGTGACAGACATAACCTTCTGGGACAGGGCTCCTGACCCCCAGGGGCCTGCGGTTCAGCTGCAGATGAAGTGCGTGAAACGAGAACAAAGCAAGCCAGGGCCAGGTGCGGTGCACCGCTGCACTCCAGCCTGGGCAACAGAGTGAAACCCTATCTCAAAAAAAATAAAGATTAAAATTAGCTAGGTGGTGCACACCTGTAGTCCTAGCTACTCAGGAGGCTTGCTTGAGCCCAGGAGGTTGAGGCTGCAGTGAGCCGTGATCGTGCCACTGCACTTAGCCTGGGCAACAGAGCCAGACCCTGTCTCAAAAAATTAAAAAAAAAAAAAAAAAAAAAAACAAGCTAGGACAGGACCAGAGGAGGCCTGCTCAGGGCAGACACTCGGCAGGAGATACACAATTCAGAATGCAGTCTGGCCAACTGCAGCATCATCCCCTCTCTAGAACTTTTCTCTCCCCTCAGAGCCTTCTACTTCGGACATCCTCTGCAAAAAAGATGAAGCCCCACCCTTGATGAAACTCAACAAGGTTTTGAGGTTTTTTATTCCCCTATTTCTCTGAGGTATAACCAACATATAAAAATTGTGGCCGGGCGCGGTGGCTCACGCCTGTAATCCCAACACTTTGGGAGGCCGAGGCAGGCAGATCACGAGGTCAGGAGATCGAGACCATCCTAGCTAACTACTAGCTAACTAACATCCGGTCTCTACTAAAAATACAAAAAATTAGCCGGGCGTGGTGGTGGGCGCCTGTAGTCCCAGCTACTTGGGAGGCTGAGGCAGGAGAATGGCGTGAACCTGGGAGGCAGAGTTTGCAGTGAGCCGAGATCGCACCACTGCACTCCAACCTGGGCGACAGAGTGAGACTCAAAAAACAAATAAACAAATAAATTAAAAAATTAAAAAAAATTTTTTTCAATTGTATGGGGCCAGGCGTGGTGGCTCACGCCTGTAATCCCAGCACTTTGGGAGGCTGAGGCAAGTGGATCACTTGAGGTCAGGAGTTCGAGACCAGCCTGGCCAACATGGAGAAACCCCATCTCTACTAAAAATACAAAAATTAGCTGGGCATGGTGGCGGATGCCTGTGATCCCAGCTACTCAGGAGGCTGAGGCAGGAGAATCACTTGAACCCAGGCTGCGGAGGTTGCAGTGAGCCAAGATCACGCCACTGCACTGCAGCCTGGGCAACAGAGTGAGACTCCGTCACAAATATATATATATATATATACACACATATATATACACATATATATATATACATATTTAGTGTCGAGTATATATATACACACACACCGTATATACACACACATACTATATATATACACATATATATGTGTGTGTGTGTATATATATATATATATATAGTGTGTGTGTGTGTGTGTATATATAGTGTCAAATTGATTGGATTGAAGAATGCAAAGTATTGTTTCTAGTTGTTTCTGGGTGTTTTCAGAGGAGATTAACAGTTGAGTCAGTGGACTGGGTGAGGAGGACCCACCCTCAATGTGGGTGGGCACCATTCAATCGGCTGCCAGCGTGGCTAGAAAAAGCAGGCAGAGAAGGTGAAAGGAGCTGACTTGCTGAGTCTTCCAGCCTTCATTGTTCTCCCGTGCTGGAAGCTTCCTGCCCTCAAATATCAGACGCCAGGCTTTTCAGCTTTTGAACTCTTAAATGTACGCCAGTGGTTTGCCAGGGGCTTTCAGACCTTCAGCCACAGACTGAAGGCTGCACTGTTGGCTTCCTTACTTTGGAGGTTTTGGAACTAGGACGAACCACTGCTGGCTTCCTAGCTCCTCAGCTTGTAGACGGCTTATTATGGGACTTCACCCTGTGATTGCATGAGTCAATTCTCCTTAATCAACTCCCTTTCATATATACATATATATCCTATTAGTTCTGCCCCTCTAGAGAGTCCTAACACACACAATGACCAACACACATACACACACATTGGAAGACTATAAGAGTCTCCACTGGCCAGGTGCAATAGCTCATGCCTGTAATCCCAACACACTGGGAGGCCGAGGCTGGAGGATTGCTTGAGCCCAGGAGGTCAAGACCAGCCTGAGGCCAGGCACAGTACCTCATGTCTGTAATCCCAGCACTTTGGGAGGCCAAGGCAGGTGGATCACCTGAGGTCAGGAGTTCAAGATCAGCCTGTCCAACATGGTGAAACCCCATCTCTACTAAAAATACAAAATTTAGCTGGCTGAAGCCTGTAATCCCAGCTACTCGGGAGGCTGAGGCAGGAGAATGGTTTGAACCCCGGAGGCGGAGGTTGCAGTAAGCCGAGATGACGCTATTGAACTCTAGCCTAGGCAACACAGTGAGACTCCGTCTTAAAAAAAAAAAAAAAAAAAAAAAACCAGCCTGAACAATATAGGAAGACCCCCATCTCTACAAATAATTTAAAAATTAGTCAAGCATGGTGGCGCACGCCTGTGGTCTCAGCTACTCAGAAGGCTGGGATGGGAGGATCACCTGAGCCCAGGAGTTGGAAGCTGCAGTAAAGAGTGATTGCATCACGGCACTCCAGGCTTGTCAATGGAGTGAGACCCTGTCTCAAATAAATAAATAAATAAACAAACTTGCAAAAAATATTGCCTTCCTTAAAAAAAAAATTATCGGCTGGGCACAGCGGCTCATGCCAGTAATCCCAGCACTTTGGGAGGCCGAGGTGGGCAGATCAGCTGAGGTCAAGAGTTTGAGACCAGCCTGACCAACATAGAGAAATCCCATCTCTACTAAAAATACAAAATTAGGCAGGGCGCTGTGGCTCATGCCTGTAATCCCAGCACTTTGGGAGGCCGAGGCAGGTGGATCACGTGAGGTCAGGAGTTCAAGACTAGCCTGGCCAACATGGCGAAACCCTGTCTCTACTAAAAATACAAAAAGTAGCTGGGCACGGTGGCACATGCCTATAATCCCAGCTACTAGGGGGGCTGAGGCAGGAGGATCGCTTGAACCGGGGAGGCAGAGATTGCAGTGAGCCAAGATCATGCCACTGCACCCCAGCCTGGGCAACAGAGCGAGACTCTGTCTCATAAAAAAGAAAAAAAAAATTAGCCAGGCGTGGTGGCACATGCCTGTAATCCCAGCTACTTCGGAGGCTGAGGCAGGATAATCATTTGAACCCAGGAGGTGGAGGTTGCGGTGAGCTGAGATCGTGCCATTGTACTCCAGCCTGGGCAACAAAAGTGAAACTCCATCTCAAAAAATTAAAATTCAAAATAAAAAATAAAAATAAAAATAAAAAATAAAATTCTCCACCTCCAAAAACCCTAGAGAACTACCTAAAAAAAAATTAAAATAATTTTTTGAAAATTCACAAAGGTAGCTGATACAAAATCGACATGCCTCAAATGAACAGCTTTCCTACCTGCCAAACATAAATGTTTATAAATGGCAAGGAACAAAAGAGTCCTTTCATGACAGCAATAAAAATGATAAAATGCCTAAGTCTAAAAAACTCTGAGTCAATGGAGCAGCAGGACATGTTCCTAAAAAACACACAATGTTATAAGCATGTAATTCTTTCTTGTTTTTGTTTTTTTGAGACAGGATCTTGCTCTGTCACCCAGGCTGGAGTGCAGTGATGTGATCTCAGCTCACTGCAACCTCTGCCTCCGGGGCTCAAGTGATTCTCCTGCCTCCACCTCCAGAGTAGCTGGGATTACAGGCATACATCACCACGCCCAGCTAACTTTTGTATTTTTAGTAGCGATATTCTCCACGTTGGCCAGCCTGGTCTCAAACTCCTGGCCTCAAGCAGTCTGCCCGCCTCAGCCTCCCAAAGTGCTTGGATTACAGGTGTGAGCCACCAAGCTTGGCCATAAACCTGTAATCCTATGACTCCATTAATTTAACACACCCTGATCAAAATCCCAACAGCATTTTTATAAACCTAGAAAAGATGATTTTAAAATTCACCCAAAATAAAAAGATGTATAAGAACAACTAAGAATATTTTGATAAAGAACAGTGAAGGAGAAATTGTTCTATCAGCTAACAAAATATATGATAAAGATATAATAATTAAAACACAGAACTGTGGTTTTGGCACCAGACCAGATAGAGTTCAGTAGAAAATAAGAGTTCAGAAAAAGGATCATGCATATAGGGAAATTTATTATATGATAAAAGTGGCATTTCAAATTAGCAAGGAAGAATGGGTTATTCAATAAAAGTGTGAAGGCAGTTTGGGCAAAAAACTAAGTTAAATCCCTACCTCACAGCCTATGGAGAAACAGAGCCAGGTACGATGGCTCATACCTGTAATCCCAGTGCTTTGGGAGGCCAACCCAGAATTGCTTGAGGCCAGGAATTTGAGACCAGCCTGGACAAGATAGCAAGACCTCTTCTTTACAAAATATTTAAAAATTGACCAGATATGGTAGCATGCACCTGCAGTCCCAGCCACTCAAGAGGCTGAGGCAGGAGGATTGCTTGAGCCCAGGAGTATGAAACTGCAGTAAGCCATAATCATGCAACTGCACTCTAGCCCAGGAAACAGGCCAAGACCCTATCTCAAAATAGCAACAAAATATAAATAAAAATTTTAAAAAACAAATGGAAAATCCATGCTCTAATGACCCTTAGCTCAAGGCTGAATCTTAACAGCCTTTTGATGCCAAAGCCACTTTCAGTCTTAATTCTTTTTGGAGCCTAAGATCAGTGCAACCCTCCAAGGCTCCCCAGTATCTGGCACATCTTTCCCTTTTCATCTCCGTTTGTGTGTTTGGCCAAATAATATCTCCCCCAGGGACGTCCTCTTTCTAATCCCTGAAACCTGAGAAAATGTTATCTTATGCAGTGCTATGGTTTGAATGTGTCCCCCACAAAGCACACATTAGAAACTTAATCCCCAGTGCAACAGTGTTGGGAGGTGGGGCCTAATGGAAGATGTTTAGGTCATAAAAGCTCCACCCTCACGAATAGATTATACGGATTGTAAAAGGGCTTGAGGCTTAGAGTTTAATCTCTCGCTCTTTCTCTCCCTCTCTTTGCCCTTCCACCATAAAATGACACAGCCTTTGCCAGATACCAGCCCCTGGCTTTTGGACTTCCCAGCCTCCAGAGCCATGAGCCAATAAATTTTCATACATTATAAATTATCCAGTCTGTGCTTTTCTATTCCAGCAGCACAAAAGGAACTAAGACACATGGTTAAAGGGACTTGATGATTAAATTAAGCATACTGAAGTTGAGGGGGTATCCAGATGAGCCCAACCTAATCTAAAAGGTCCATACAAGAGAGAGGCAGGAAGATCAAAGTCAGAGAGAAAGGAGGTATCAGAAAGAAAGGTTGGAGTAATGCCCTTTGGAGATAGAGGAAGGAGGTACAAGTCAAGGAATGCTGATAAATTCTAGAAGCTGGAAAAGGCATGGAAATAGGTTCTTTCCCAGAGCCTCCAAAAAGACCAGCCCTGTAAATACCTTGATTTTAGCCCAGTGAGAGCTATTTTGGACTTCTGATCTCAAGAACTGTAAGATAATGAACTGGTATTATTTTAAGTCACTAAATTTGTGGTAATTTGTTACAGCAGCAAAACGAATCTAACACAGCTTGCAAAGAGGTTGGTCATTTCCCAAGCACCCTCTGTAATCCAGGCAAGGATGACAGAGAACAACCTAGAACCTAGAGCTACAGAAGAAAACCAGACAGGACCACTGCCCTGGGAGAATTTGCCATCTCTGGGAAGATAACCACTCATGAATTATCAATTCGTTAGTTATGGAATTTACTCACTGTTGTCATAAGCCTCTAAGTTAGAGAGCTAGCTCTAAGAGCTTTTAACAAAGGAACCTGATATTATCCTGAAGGGCAAGTAAAGGGTCCCTGAAGATGTGATGTTTAAGCTGATCTCTAAAGTCTGGGCAGGAGTTACCTAGGCCAAAAGTCACAAAGACTGATCAGGGTGTGGCCAGAAAGGGGTCCTGATCCAGACCCCAAGAGACAGTTCTGAGATCTTGTGTGAGAAAGAATTTGGGGCAAGTCCATAGAGTAAAGTAAAAACAAATTTATTAAGAAGGTAAAGGAGGGAGGCTAAGGTGGGTGGATTGGCTAAGCTCAGGAATTCAAGACCAACCTGGGCAACATGGTGAAACCCTCGTCTCTATTAAAATATAAAAAATTAGCCAGGCGTGGTAGTGCGTGCCTGTAGTCCCAGCTACTTGGGAGGCTGAGGGATGAGAATTGCTTGAACCTGAAAGGCAGAGGTTGCAGTAGCCAAGATAGCGCCACTGCACTCCAGTCTGGGCGACAGAGAGAGACTCTGTTTCAAAAAAAAAAAAAAAAAAAAATGTAGCTGGGTGCAGTAGCTTACGCCTGTAATCCCAGCACTTTGGGAGGCTGAGGCAGGTGGATCATAAAGTCAGGAGTTCGAGACCAGCCTGGCCAATATAGTGAAACCCCATCACTACTAAAAATACAAAAATTAGCCAGCTATGGTGGCAGGCACCTGTAGTGCCAGCTACTCGGGATGCTGAGGCAGAAGGATCACTTAAACCCGGGAGGCAGAGGTTGCAGTGAGCCGAGATCGCACCACTGCACTCCTGACTGGGCAACAGAGTGAGACTCCGTCTCAAAAAGAAAAAAAAGAAAGTAAGTAAGTAAAGGAATAGAGAATGGCTACTCCATAGACAGAGCAGCCCTAAGGGCCGCTGGTTGCCCATTTTTATGATTATTTCTTGATGATATGCTAAACAAGGGGTGGATTATTCATGCCTTCCCTTTTTAGACCATAAAAGGTAACTTCCTGACATTGCCAAGGCATTTGCAAACTGTTATGGCGCTGGTGGGAGTGTAACAGTGAGGACGACCAGAGGTCACTCTCATCTCCATCTTGGTTTTGGTGGGTTTTGGCCGGCTTTTTTACTGCAACCTGTTTTATCAGCAAGGTCTTTATGATCTTGTGCTGACCTCCTATCTCGCCCTGTGACTTAGAATGCCATAACCATCTGGGTAAGTAGCCCAGTAGGCCTCAGCCTCATTTTACCCAACCTGTATTCATGATGTAGCTGCTGTGGTTCACGCACCTCTGACAAAGGCAGGGGCAACAATCTGTGCAAAGGCCCTGAGGCAGGAAGGATCTGGAGGGTGAGAGGCAGGAAGGATCTGGAGGGTGAAAGGCAGGCAATGGTGAGCAGAGCACCAAGAGAGACCAGGAGCACAGCCAGGTCTTCTCCCATCAGGCAGAGCCAGGACGGGGCTCCCTCCGAGCCCCTGATGCAGAGGCTCACCTGCCTGCTCCACTCCTGCCCTGGTAGACACACATGTTCAGAGTCCCTGTGTGAAGCGTTTCAGGGTCTAATTGTCATCAGTCGCAGAACAAAAGATGGGAAGAGGCTGGCAAATCCTGCAGCCAGCCAGGATCACATCACGGCAGAAATGGGTGCCCGGGGCAGGCCAAGACTTCTTGGAGCCCAAGCATCAGCCGTGTGGCCAAGTCAATCAAAGGAGGCCAGGAAGGGAGATAAACCCTCCCAGAAGAGCAGGAATGACAAAAATGTCAGAAGCCAGAGGCAACTGGCTGGGGCGCAGACAGCCGGAGCCAAATCAGAAGGAAACTGCTACCTTCTCTCAAAGGCTTCGTAACTACGGGGGCTGGGGAAGCCCAAGTGAGACTCCAGTGAGTGTTTGGCAGGCCTGGTCGCCTCCAGGGGCCGCACAGCCGCAGACATCCTGCAACAAACCCTGATCCAGGGACAACTCCCCGGGGAAAAGAAAAGTCTGAGCCGATCATAAAGACTCCAAGCAGGGGACATCCTCCAAGGGGCTGGGAACTGTCGGAGATTCTCGGACAAATGCCGCAGAGTCCTTGCATTTCCAGAACAAGAAAGGGGGTGGGAGATCAAATTCTTGCAAACAAAGACAGATAATATTTAGGCTGCAAACCACCACTCAGTCATGAGTGCAAACAGCTTACACACATGCAGAGCAAATGTCTGTCCCCCCACCGGTCTTGGTGTCCCCAGCCCCCAAGTCTGGAGGATCGCTTGAAGCCAGGAGTTCGAGACCAGCCTGGGTGACATAGGGAAACACTGTCTGTACAAAAAAAAATTTTTTTTGTTTTAGATGGAGTCTTGCTCTGTCGCCCAAACTGGAGTGCAACGGCATAATCTCAGCTCACTGCAACCTCTGCCTCCCCGGTTCAAGCGATTCTCCTGCTTCATGCATATAGGGAAATTTAGTATATGATAAAAGTGGCATTTCAAATTAGCAAGGAAGAATGGGTTATTCAATAAAAGTGTGAGGGCGGTTTGAGTAAAAAACTAAGTTAAATCCCTGCCTCACAGCCTATGGAGAAACAGAGCCAATACCAAGTAGCTGGGATTACAGCCATGCACCACCACACCCAGCTAATTTTTGTATTTTTAGTAGAGACAGGGTTTCAACATGTTGACCAGGCTGGTCTCGAACTCCTTACCTAAGGTGATCCACCTGCCCCAGTCTCCCAAAGTGCTGGGATTACAGGTTTGAGCCACCAGGCCCAGCCCCCCAAAAAATTTTTAAATGATAAATTAGCCAGACATGCTGGTGCACACCTGTAGTCCAAGCTACTCAGGAGGCTGAAGCACGAGGATCACCTGAGTCCGAGAGGTGGAGGCTGCAGTGACCTGTGATTGTGCCACCGCTCTCTAGCCTTGGTGACAGAGCAAGACCCTGTCTCTAAAATGTAAAAAAATTAAAATTTAAAAAAGGATAGATGGAGCCCTCATTCAAATGAACAGCAATGATCAGTCAGCCTATCTACTAAACACATTTCCTCATTTGATTCCAACCTATTTTGTTTTGTTCACTGATGAGGGACTAAAGCAATGAAGGGAAGTTGCTGGCTTAACTGTGGGTCCTTCAGAAGTAAGTCACTGCTGGTCATAGTAGCTCCTACCTGTAATTCCAGCACTTTGGGAGGCTGAGGGAGGAGAATCGCTTGAGCCCAGGAGTTCAAGACCAGCTTGGGCAACGTTGCAAGACCCAGTCTTTACAAAAAATACCAAAATGATACAGGCATGGTAGTGCATGCCTATAGTTCCACCTACTCGAGAGGCTAAGGTGGAAGGATCACTTGAGTCCAGACAGTCAAGGCTGCAGTGAGCTATGTGATCACATCACTGCATTCCAGCCTGAACAACAGAGTGAGACCCTGGCTCCAAAAAAAAAGTGAGTCACTGCAGGCTGGCTGCATGAGACAAGGCAGAAAAAGCCCTTTCCCCCCAACCTTAGGGCCTCCCCAGGTCCCTTCTGCTCTCACACTGTCTGGGACATGAAGCTCATCAGAAATCCTCAGCCGGGCACAGTGACTCATGCCTGTAATCCCAGCACTTTGGGATGCCAAGGTGGGAGGATCACTTGAGGCCAGGAGGTTGAGACTGACCTGGACAACATAGTGACACCCCCATCTCTATTTAAAAGGAAAAAAGAAAAAAGAAAAGAAGGCCAGGCACAGTGGCTCAGGCCTGTAATCCCAGCACTTTGCGAGGCCGAGGCAGGCGGATCACCTGAGGTCAGGAGTTTGAGACCAGCCTGGCAAACATGGTAAAACTCTATCTCTACTAAACATACAACAGTTAGCCAGGTGTGGTGGCAGGTACCTATAATCACAGCTACTCGGGAGACTGAGGCAGGAGAATCACTTGAAGCCAGGAGGCAGAGATTGCAGTGAGCTAAGATCACGCCACTGCACTCTAGTCTGGGTGACAGAGCCAGACTCTGCCTCAAAAAATAAATAAAGAAAATAAAATAAAGAAAATAAATCCTCAGCCTCAGTCCTCACCACAGGCATCTGAGCACCCTCCGATCCCTCCCATCTGCTCCTCAATCACATCTGGGGATGATCCTCTGCACTGACGCCCAAAGTGGCTGAGGTTCAGCTGGGAGTGCAGATAGGCCCACACCCCTCACTCTGGTCTTGAAAACCTGAGCAGGGTCCTAAGAGACAAGGAAAAACCATCAGGATTACAGCTTCTGTTTTCTCCGGCTCCCCTGCAGCAGCAAGGGTGGGCTCAGCTACAGGAGAAGGTCCGAAACGACCCCAGTGAGCAGGCTTAGGACCAGCTCTGGGAGAGCACCGGAAACCTATCAGGACATTTTGCTCATCCTACAAGACCTGCTTTGAATGGAGACTCCTCTAGGAAGTCCTCAGCATTTAGCCCCCATCCACAACAGCATCTCACAGGGTGTGCAGTCTGAAAGACACCACCCTGGCAAAAGGCACCCTAGAAAAGGATTCTGTGGCCTCATATGTTTGTTGTTTTGTTTTGGGGAGGATATTTTTGAGACTTTTTTTGAGACAGGGTCTCACTCTGTCACCCACACTGGAGTGCAGTGACTTAATCATAGCCTCCACCTCCTCGGCTCAAGTGATCCTGCCGCCTCAGCCTCCCCTCCCAGGTAGCTGGGACTATAAGCATTCAACACCACACCTGGCTAGTTTCTATTCTTTTTTTTTTTTTTTTGTAGATACAGGGTCTTGCTATATTGCCAAGGCTGGGCTCATGCTTCTGGGCTCAAGTGATCCTCCCACCTCAGCCTCCTCTCCCAAGTAGCTGGGACTACAATCACACATCACCGTGCCTGGCTAATTTTCTTTTTTTTTTTTTTTTTCTTTGAGATGGAGTCTCACTCTTTCGCCCAGGCTGGAGTGCAGTGGCGCGATCTTGGCTCACTGCAAGCACCGCCTCCCGGGTTCATGCCATTCTCCTGCCTCAGCCTCCCAAGTAGGTGGGACTACAGGCACCCGCCACCACACCCAGCCAATTTTTTTATTTTTAGTAGAGACAGGGTTTCACCGTGTTAGCCAGGATGGTCTGGATCTCCTGACCTCGTGATCTGCCCACCTCAGCCTCCCAAAGTGCTGGGATTACAAGCGTGAGCCACCGTGCCTGGCCAATTTTCTTTTTCTTTCTTTCTTTCTTCTGTAGATATGGGGTCTTGCTATGTTGCCCAGGCTGGTCTCACACTCCTGGGCTCAAGCAATCCTCCTGCCTCAGCCTCCCCTCCCAAGTAGCTGAGATTGCAAGTGTGCCCTACCACACCTGGCTAATTTTTATTTTATTTTTTTGTAGACAGGGGATTTCGCTATGTTGCCCGGGCTGGTCTCGAACTCCTGGTCTCAAGTGATCCTCATGCCTTGGCCTCCCAAAGTGCTGGGATTATAGGTGTGAGCCACTGTGCCCAGCCATGCTTCCTATGTTTGTGAAATCCATCATCTTCCCAAGCTTTGCCAAGTCCCCATCAGCACACTACACCATCTGAGAGAAGCCTTTATCCTTTCATATGGCCTCCTAGAGCACATACTAGACATTGTTCTAAGCGCTTGATTAATATTAACTTGCATAAGCCCCAGAATGACCTTATGAAGGAAACACTCTAATCATACCCATTTTATAGATGAGGTGACTGAGGCATAGAGAGGGCAGGCAACTTAGTCAGGGCCACACAGAACCTGGACTCAGACTCAGGCAGCCTGGTTCCAGATCCTACTCTTCACAGCCTTCCTCTTTTTTTTTATTTATTTAAAAAAAATTTTTTTTTAAGATGGAGTCTTACTCTGTCACCCAGGCTGGAGTGCAGTGGTGTGATCTCGGCTCACTGCAACCTCCGCTTCACAGGTCAAGCGATTCTCCTGCCTCAGCCTCCCAAGTAGCTGGAATTACAGGTGCCCGCCAACACACCTGGCTAATTCTTTGTATTTTTATTGGAGACAGGGTTTCACCATGTTGGCCAGGCCGGTCTCAAACTCCATCATGACCTCAGATGATCTGCCCGCCTTGGCCTCCCAAAGTGTTGGGATTACAGGCGTGAGCCACCGTGTCTGGCCTGTGCACTTTATTTCTATTATTATGACATTGTAATATATAATGAAATAATCCTACTACTCACCATCATGTAGAATCAATGGGAGCCCTGAGCTTGTTTTCCTGCAACTAGACGGTCCCATCTGGGGGTGATGGGAGACAATGACAGATCATCAGACATCAGATTCTCATAAAAGTGCATAACCTAGATCCCTCGCCTGTGCAGTTTACAACAGGGCTGGAGCTCCTATGAAAATCTACTGCCGCTGCTGGTCTGACAGGAGGCAGAGCTAAGGCAGTAATGCGAGCGAGGGCAGCAGCTGTAGAGATGAAGCTTCAGGCTTTTTCGCCTATCACTCACCTCCTGCTGTGCGGCCCGGTTCCTTGAACTGGTCTTGAACCGGTACTTGTCTGTGACCTCAGGGTTGGGGACTCCTGCTTTACATAGATCACTCTGGAGGTAGTTAGGGGTGGGGCAAACAAGGAGATGCAGGGGGCCAGAACGCACACCGCTCTCCTCCAGTATTTCAGAATTAACCTGGACTCAGTCCAGCTTGTTTCAGGGTAGTCTGTTACAGGACTCCGAAGAGAAGCTCTAGACCCTGGTTTCTGGGAGGCAGGTAGAGACAAGGCCAGGCTGGGAAGGCCAGGGACCCCTGACAACTCGGAGGGCAGAACAGCACGGCATGTGTATGTTTCCGTAGGATTGTCTGCAGAATTCCCGGAGCACTTTGTGCTAACATTCCCGAAAATCCTCTAACAGTTAGTTATTGTTGCTCTTTTCCCCTGCCCCAGGCTGAATTGGTCCGGGTCCAGCTCACACACTCTGGAAGTGGCAATGAAGTGTCACACGAGTTCGAGCCAAGAGAAGCCTGGAGGAGTGCTCTTATTGCCATAGGAATTGTTTCTCTGGGAATGGATTTTAAAATAACAGATGAGCTGGGGGAAGAGGGGAGTGAGATGAAGAGAGGGAAGATTCAGAAAATCCTGGAGCTTGAGGACAAGGTCTCACTGATATTAACATCAAAGCCATTCTGTGTGATTCTCAGGAAAAGTCTCCCTCCTCTATGTGCTCACACTTCAAAGGGAGAAGCGGGACCTCTAAAGCTGGAGTCTCCATGGTTCCCCTAAAAGCAGCTTCAGGAGCTGGCCTGTGCAGAGAAAGGGACCTCGCTCCAGGATCCCTCAGAACTGCAAACGTGCACTGAGGCAGAGGCACTGCCTCGGTGTCCCAAAGGAGAAAGGTCAAGGTATTTGTTCATTCATTCATGTGTTCATTCATTCACTCAACAAACTTTCCTTGAGCACCTGATCCGTGCAAGTCCAGGAGATGCTGAAATTTGGGGTTGAAAACTCCATGCAGGAAAAATAAAAGTATTTCACAAAAATGCAAGATGTTTGAACTCTGCTTTGCTGCCATTGCAAACCAAGAAAGTGCTGCAAAAAATTTGCAATGTTCTGAGAAGCAAAGCAGCAGGCTCCTTGGTGTCCCCCAGGCACTGGAGACAGCCAGGAGCTCAGGCCTGTAGCCTGTCTCTGCCTATCCGTGATCCACCAAGGGGCCAGGTCCTGCTAGCTCTGAGCACTCCCTTCTCCCCTGCTCCATCCATCAACTACCTCCTAACTGGCCTCCCTCCTTCCACTATCCTTCCTCTGCCAGCCTCTCCCCGACCAGCAAAGTTGGCACAAGCCTGACTGTGACAAAGCCCAGACTATGAAGGCAAGCTCCTCAAGGTGGCAGGAAGGAGACTTCACATCCAGACTCCAAAAGCTCAGTGCCTGTCCTCTGCCTGCCCAAGCCCATGGTCTGCTCTTGCTCTGTCACCCTGATTGGAGTGCAGTGGCACGATCATAGTTCACTGCGGCCTCAAACTCCTGGGCTCAAGCAATCCTCCCACCTCAGTCTCCTGAGTAGCTGAGACTACAGGTGTGTTCCACCACACCTGGCTAATTTTTTATTTTTGGTAGAGACGGGGTCTTGCTGTGTTGCCCAGGCTGGTCTTGAACTCCTGAGCTCAAGCAATCCTCCCACCTTGGCCTCCCAAAGTGCTGGGATTACAGGCATGAGCCACCACATCCCATTAGTCCAGCCACTCTGAACTCAGTCCCACTAACTATATGTCAGGCAATAGCTAATGACACTTCCAAGCCTTTACACAGTTGTCTGTCTGCCCAGAATGCCCCAGTCACTGCCTCAAGCTCTCCTGTTCATCCTACAAAACCCACCTCCTATGTTGACTCCTCTGAGAAGTCCTCAACATTTAGTCTCTATCCACTAGAACATTTCCCTAAGTATGTGGTCAGGAACACAATCCTAACAAAATGCTCCCCAGAAGGCCAGGTGCGGTGGCTCACACCTATAATCCCAGCACTTTGGGAGGCCAAGGCAGATGGATCACTTGACGTCAGGAGTTCAAGACCTGGCCAACGTGGAGAAACCCCAGCTCTACTAAAAATACAAAACTTAGCCTGGCATGTTGGTGGGCGCCTGTAATCCCAGCTACTTGGGAGGCTGGGGCAGGACAATCGCTTGAACCCTGGAGGCGGAGGTTGCAGTGAGCCAAGATCGCACCACTGCACTCCAGCCTGGGCAACACAGCCAGACTCCGTCTCAAAAAACAAAATGCTCCCCAGAAAAAGATTCCAAGGCTTCATATATTTGTGGAACTCCCCCGTCCTTGCAACCTTTGCAAGGCATATGAATGCAGTCCACGGTCACATTCATGAACAGAGGGTTTACTATCCTTTTTCCTAAGAACATTATTAATATTAACCCATGTAAGCCCCAGAACAACTTAATGAAGTACTGAAGTCATTCCCATTTTACAGATGAGAAAACTGAGGCACAAAGACTCCCAGGCTCCCACAAACCCTAACTCCCCTAGCTCACTTTGCACACATTTGTATCACACCAAATTCCACTCTTGCTCATGGATCTGTTTTCCCCAACCAGTCTCTGAGCTCATCAAGGACGGAGGCTGGGTCTGAAACATCTCACTGCCCCAGAGACAGGGTCTCACTCTGTCACCCAGGCTGGAGCGCAGTGGTGTAATCATAGCTCACTGCAGCTTCAACTTCCTGGGTTCAAGCGTTCTTCCCACCTTAGCCTCCCAAATACCTGGGACTACAAGTGTGCACCACCATGCCCAACTAATTTTTTAAAGTTTTTTTTTTGCAAAGACAGGGTCTGACTATATTTCCCGGGCTGGTCTCAAACTCCTGGGCTCAAGTGATCCTCCTACCTCAGCTTCCACCAGGACTACAAGTGTGCACCACCACACCCAGCTAATTTTTTAATTTTTTTTTTTTTTACAGAGACAGGGTCTGGCTATGTTGTCCCAGCTGGTCTCAAACTCCTGGGCTCAAGTGATCCTCCCACCTCGGTCTCCCAAAGTGCTGGGATTAAAGGCATGAGGCACCATAGCTAATCACAGTTGCCAATTCTTGAATGTAGGGAACCAGAGAGCAAAGGCAGGGGTCCAACACTGCAGAGGCATGCAATCCAGTCGGAGGGACAAGTCCCCATGGATGTGATCATCCACTTCCCCAGAGTCTGCTGAGCTCTTCCTCCATGCAGGCCACCAGGCACAGCCCCCTGCCTTCACGTTTGAGTCCCCAGCCTCTACCCTACCTACACGTGGGCTCAGTGAATGCAAGGTGATTAAATGCCTGACCTGGAGCGGCTCACATTTCCAAGAGGCAGTGGTGGGTGGTGGGCAGGGCTAAGCTCCAGCTCATGCACGCTTGCCCAAGGACGGCTGCTCAGAGCCACTCCTGTAGGGAGTAAATGAGGAAGGAGAAATGACTCCATCTGCAAGGAGGGAAACTGGGGAAGTGAGTTCTAGAACCAAAACCACAATCACAGATGCAGGGGCTACCCACAAATCACAGGTGCAGGGGCTACCCACAAATGAGATGAACAGAAAGCTGGGAGGTAAATCCAGAGAGACTTCCTGGAGGAAGGGTGCTTGTGGTTCTACCAAAAGAGGGGGGAGTCAAGGTAAGAGGGAGGCATTTTGAGTGAGGAGGGGACACACCAAGCACTTTGGCTTAGACGAAACCACAAGAAAGTGAATTCAGAGACAGAGAGAGTTTGAAGCAGCAGGTATAGATGAAGGAAAGGTGGGCAGGGTGCAGTGGCTCATGCCTGTAATCCCAGCACTTTGGGAGGATGAGGTGGGCAGATAACCTGAGGTCAGGAGTTCGAGACCAGCCTGGCCAACATGACAAAACCCCATCTCTTCTAAAAATACAAAAAATTAGCCAGGCATGGTGGTGCATGCCTGTAATACCAGCTAGTCGGAAGGCTGAGGCAGGAGAATCGCTTCAACCTGGGAAGCGGAGGTTGCAGTGAGCTAAGATCGTGCCACTGCACTCCAGCCTGGGCAACAGAGCCAGACTCCGTCTCAAAAAACAAAAACAAAACAAACAACAACAACAAAACAAACAGTGTGTCAGCTTGATTTTATACTTTTAAATATCTAGCCAAATGGTGAATGGTCTTCATCTTTAGTCTTGCCCCAAGCCCCAAAAAGGTTAGGGGTGGCCAGGACTTGCAGGTGCTATAAGATCAGGGAAGTCTATTCTTACCCCTGAAAGGCCATATCAACCAGCATCATTTAAAATGTCCTCTTCAGGCCAGGCGCGGTGGTTCATGCCTGTAATCCCAGCACTTTGGGAGGCTGAGGCGGGTGGATCACCTGAAGTCGGGAGTTTGAGACCAGCCTGACCAACATGGAGAAACCCATCTCTACAAAAAATACAAAATTAGCCAGGCATGATGGCACATGCCTGTAATCCCAGCTACTACGGAGGCTGAAGCAGGAGAATCGCTTGAACCTGGGAGGCGGAAGTTGCGGTGAGCCGAGATCATGCCATTGCACTCCAGCATGGGCAACAAGAGCGAAACTCCATCTCAAAAAACAAATAAATAAAATAAAATAAAATGGACTCTTCAAAATGTACCCCAAGAAGAAACTGCTGATGGGAATGCAAAATGCTGTAACCCCAGTGGAGGGAAACTTGACGCTATCTAGCAGAATTAAACATGTGTTTGCCATTTACCAACACAAGTGTCTATCAGTAGAGGACTAGCTGAATAAATACAGTCACTCACACTGTACAGAACAACAGACCCATAAAAATGGATGCAGAACTCTACTAAAAAAAAATACAAAAATATTAGCCGGGTGTGGTGGCGGGTGATTATAGTCCCAGCTACTCAGAAGGCTGAGGCAGGAGAATGGCCTGAACCCGGGAGGCAGAGCTTGCAGTGAGCCGAGATTGCGCCACTGCACTCCAGCCTGGGCGACAGAGCGAGACTCTGTCTCAAAAAAAAAAAAAAAAAAAAAAAGATGCAGATTACCTTTGCTTTATTTATTTATTTATTTAAGACTGAGTCTTGCTCTGTCACCCAGGCTGGAGTGCAGTGACGTGATCTCAGCTCACTGCAACCTCCACCTCCTGGGTTCAAGCAATTCTCCTGCCTCAGCCTCCTAAGTAGCTGGGATTACAGGCATGCGCCACCATGCCCAGCTAATTTTTGTATTCTTAGTAGAGAAGGGGTTTCACCATGTTGGCCAGGCTGGTCTCGAACTCCTGACCTCAAGCGATCCACCCACCTTGGCCTCCCAAAGTGCTGGGATGACAGGCGTGAGTCATCATGCCCCCCCATCTTTGCTTTTTGATAGAGCCATCTCCACAACACGTTATGATGGAAAAAGGCCAAGTTGAAGACAGAGTAACTAGCATATTACCTCTGTGTAAGAAAAGGAGGAGGATACAGACACAAACACACACATACTCATACACACTGTTACGCTCACACACACACATACACACACAAATTGCTTACATTTGCAAAAAGAATTTTTTTTTTTGGAAAGAGCCAGATTTTGAGTGAGTTTTTTCTACCTACAAATAGTAAATAAGGGGGAAATTATAAGTATTCTAGCAATTACGAATTTTAAAAAGAGTCAAAATTATAGTACTACTTTGAAGTAGGAGGCGGGACTTGACTCTGGAGGTTGGGGTTGACACCGGACCAAATTGAGGACTAGCTAAAACAGGTTAGGACGAAGCACATCCCCATAAGACTCACTCACCAGGGCACCATGTCAGTTACCATTTGCCAGGGCAACACCCGGAAGTTACCATGCCTTTCCATGGCAACAACCCAACAACCTAGAAGTTACCACCTTCATCCTAGAAATTCCTGCATAAACTGCCCCTTAATTTGCATATAGTTAAAAGTAAGTATAAATAGTGCCAAACTGCCTCTGAGCTGCTAGTCTGGGCACACTGCCTATGGGGTATCCCTGCTCTGCAAGGAGCAGGACCTCTGCTGCAGCTGTACACTGCCACATCAATTAAAGTTGCTGTCTGAAACCACCCACTCACCCTTGAATTCTTTCCTGGGTGAAGCCAAGAACCCTCCTGGCTAAGCCCCAATTTGGGGGCCTGCCTGTCTTGCATCCACTTTGCGATCCTTAATGAAAGAATGACATACGCAATGATCACCAACACCTCAAGCATCACGAGAGAAAAAGAGAGACAACCAGACGTTGTGATTTCCAATGGAAAAACACTACAGCACCCAAGATGTAATTCTGCCAAAATAGAAAACGAAGGAGGAGGAAGAACTAGATCCAACCAAGCTCTTGATCTAATTTCCCATTATCTGGAAATAAAGAGGACAGATGAACATGTTCACAGGCACCATGAGCATATAACCAACAAAATCCTGAAAAAGGAACAATCTAGAAGGCCAAGTTTCTTCAACAAATAAATTGCAACAAAAAGAAGGGAGACAGTGGAGGAGACTTGTAGACAGTGGTGTTCTGCTGAATATTTAACACCCAGCTTTCCAGAATAAAGCCACATCCTTCTGTTAGTCAGCTCAAGGTTGCCGTAACAGAATACCACAGACTGAATGGCTTAAGTAGCAGACATTTATTTCTCATAGCCCTGGAGGCTGGGAAGTCTAAGATCAAGGTGCTGGCAGATTCAGTTCCTGGTGAGGGTTCTCTTTCTGGTTTGCAGACAGCCACCTTCTTGCTGTGCTGTGTCCTCACATGGCAAAGAGAGAGAGCTCTGATTTCTCTTCTTCTTTTTTTTTTTTTTTTTCTTTTTTGAGACAGAGTCTCACTCTGTTGCCCAGGCTGGAGTGCAGTGGCATGATCTCAGCTCATTGTACCCTCCGCCTCCCGGGCTTAAGCGATTTTAGTGCCTCAGCCTCCCAAGTAGCTGGGACTACCGGTGTGCACCACCACGCCCGGCTAATTTTTGTATTTTTAGTAGACACGGGTTTTCACCATGTTGGCCAGACTGGTCTCAAACTCCTGACCTCAGGTGATCCACCCACCTGGGCCTCCCAAAGTGCTGAGATTACAGGCATGAGCCACCGCACCTGGCCTCTCTTCCTGTTCTTATAACATCCCTAATCAAATAATGGGGCACAGCCCTCACAACTTCATCTAAATCTAGTTACCTCCAAAGGTCCCCCCTCCAAATACCACCACATTGGAGGATAGGGCTTCAACATATGAATTTGGTGGGGACACACACATCAGTCCAGAGCATCTCCTGATATAATATGGTAGACTAGACCACCTATGAAGAATTTCTGTCTCTCCCAGCAAGCCCAAATAGAGACCATAAATCTAATCAAACCTTCCAACCTAACTTCCAAAATAGAAGAGATACAGGGGGCAGAGGATCCAATTAATTACACCACTGGGAAGCAATTAGTCAAAACTAGTACGTGGACATTGCAGATCAAGTTAACTACACCACTGGGAAGGAAATAGCTAAATCTAGTACGTGGACATCGCAGAGAACAACTGGTCTTCAACAAGTCAACAGCGTGGAGGAAAAAGTACTCTCTCAAAGGGGGAAGACTTTCCTACACTAAAAGGGAGAGAAAAGACAGAATAACCAATAAGCAGACTTATTTAGATCCTGATTTGAACAAACTAACAATTAAAAACTGCTTTTTGGCCAGGCACAGTGGCTCACACCTGTAATTCCAACACTTCGGGAGGCCAAAGCTGAAGGATTACTTGAAGCCAGGAGTTCAAGACCACCCTGGGCAACATAGCAGGACCCCACCTCTATGAAAAATTTAAAAGTTAGCCAGCCATGGTGGCCCATGCCTATGGTCCCAACTACTTAGGAGGCTGAGGTGGGAGGATTGCTTGAACCCAGGAGGTCGAGGCTGCAGTGAGCTATGATTGCACCATTACGCTCCTGCCTGGGTGACAGAGCAAGACCCTGTCTTTAAAAAAAAAAAAAAAAAAAAAAAAAAAAAAAAAAAAAAAAAAATCAGACGTTAACAAGGAGCAGTAACAATGAAATTAAAGCACTCTTTGTCAAGAAACAGCCCTGTCATCATTGCCTGTCAACTGAAGCCAAGCCCCGGTAAACACACTACTGAAGGCCAAGGCTGCAAGGACCACTGCTGTCCCCAAGCCTTCAGCTTCTGGACATCTTGGATCTCAAGGACAAGGGACACTTGTGATAGATAGCTCATGAGACACAGAAACATGTGACGCCCAAGCCAGCTCCAGCCTGTAACTCACCCAGGCAACAACCAGGTGCCTGCAATGCCCACGCTGGGCTTTCTGGGCAAAGAGACTCAGTCACACTCTGGAATATCAATGTGCCCCAAGCCTCCCCAACACCTTCTGGTATCCTTTTTAGGAATCCATTGCCCACAGATTCATCCACATCCTCCCTAAACCTAATTATATCCTCTCCCTGTTCTTATCCTGGTGGAAAGAGTTCTGGAAGATTCCACACTTGTTTGAGCCTCTTTTTGTTTGTGCTAAAATGATCCCTTCCAAGTTTCTGCAGATGTCCCCAAGTTCCAACCCACCAAATGCCAGAATGAGGTCCCCATTCGCTCCCGCTCTTCATGGTCCTCACCTCTTGCTTTTTTGCAGGCGTATTTCAGGCTGCAAACACCTTTTTTTTTTTCCTTCCCACACCTTTTAATTACAAAAGTATTACATGAATATACGCTCCTTGCAAAACATCCATTCAATCCCCGTACCGGCCAGTAGGTTCTCTTAGGGACCAAGCACAGTGGCTCATGCCTGTGATCCCAGCACTTCGGGAGGCTGAGGCAGGCAGATCATTTGAGGCCAGGAGTTTGAGACCAGCCTGGCCAACGTTACATTTTTTATTGGCCAACAATACAAAAATTAGCCAGGCGCAGTGGTGGGCACCTGTAATCCCAGCTACTTGGGAGGCTGAGGCAGGAGAATCACTTGAACTTGGGAGGCAGAGGTTGCAGTAAGCCAAGATTGCACCATTGCACTCCAGCCTGGGAGACAGAGCGAGACTCTGTCTCAAAAAAAACACAGAAACCAGAAAAACATTCAGACAAGCCACAAGCAGACAGAGGGAAAATGGGACAGTCCCCTGGCCCAGCCCTAGACTTCTTCATAACATTAACTGCTGAAATGGTTTCCTAGAAACTTTTTTCAGGCATTTATCTACCTAGATGTAGATCTGATTTTCCTTTTCATAAATGAAATCGTGCTGTATATATTATTCTGTAACTTGAAAAGCTTGTTTTTTAGACAATCCTCATATGGAACTGTGCAGAGGCCACACTAGCGTGGGTGTTTGGAGAATGCTCCTCATAGAAGCCCCGGGTAAGTATTTCCAAACAAAATGAGAGAAATAGGATTGCATACAAACTTTTCCAGAGGCACTTTTATGCTTTTCTGGGTCCCGCCCTATTCAGCCATGACTGTATATTTCTTCCCAGCATGAAACATCCCTGTCTCCTTGTTATTAAGGAATTAGCCAGAAATCATCTTGGAGTCCTCTGATTTGGTAAATATCAAGGAGAAAAAAAGAACTAGGAGCTGTCTTTTAGCTTTGATAGGCAGAGCAGTATGCTAGAAAACACCAGATCTGGGCCTGGCGTGGTGGCTCACGCCTGTAATCCCAGCATTTTGGGAGGCCGAGGCAGGAGGATCTCTTGAGGCCAGAAGTTTGAGACCAGCATGTGTAACACAGTGAGATCCCACCTCTACAAAAAATCAAAAAATTAGCCAGTCATGATGGTGTACACCTGTGATCTCAGCTACACAGGAGGCCAAGGTCGGGGGATCACTTGAGCCTGGGAGATCAGGTTTGCAGTGAGCTATGATCGCACCACTGCATTCCAGCCTGGGGAGCAAGCAAGACCCTATATTAAAAAAAAAAAAAAAAGAAAGAAAGCACAAGAGGTCAGTCCTGAGTGGCTCCTAGGCCTAGCAAATCCTGAGCCTCTGTTTCTTCAGCTAAAGGAAAGATACTACTCTAATGTTTTAACCCTAGGGTTGTTAAGGATCAAAAGAAATGGAGATTGGGAGGCCAAGGCGGGAGGATCGCTTGAGCCCAGGAGTTTGCGACAAGCCTGGGCAACAGAGTTGAGATTCTGCCTCTGCAAAAAAAAAAAATTAAAATATAAAAAAGAGACGGAGGGAACAGACACAGGTAGTGCATTCCAGAGCGCTGTCATAGCTGTGTAGGTTGTAGTTATCACTAAATGAGAAAAGCTAAATTCAAGCGAGTTATGCAAACGAGGCGTTTGGCAACTTTTACTTGCATGCTTATGGTTTTCTGGGGAAATTCAAATGCGGGCTCCGGAGCCGCAGCCCTGAGCGTCCCGGGGGTGGCCATGGCGCCACCTGCCGGCCGAGAGGAAGGAGACGCCTGGCGGGTCCCGGCGCCCGGGCCCGGTGACCCTGCGCCCTCTCCAACCCCGCCACGGAGCCACCCGATCCCAGCCGGTTCCACGTCCCGGGGTGGCTGGGGAGTCGCAGCCGAGGATCCTCCGCGGCCTCAGCCCCAAAGACTGGGCGGGAATGACCCCTCTGGTGTCCTGGGGCCGCTGATAGGAGAGGGGTGCCCGGGACGCGAGGCCTTGGCCACCCGAGAACCTGCTCCGCGACACAAAGCCGCAGCCGCGCAGGTGAGCGGCAGAGCCACGTGAGCGGCCGAACGCCCCGGGCAGAGCCCCAGCCCCAGCCACGGCGGTCGGAACCACCTCTACTCGGAGCCCGGAACGAGGGGGCGAAGGTTGGGGAAGCGAAGAAAGGAAGGGACAGGGTGGGCGCGGCCAGAGACCACCGCAGCCCCGGAGCCGGACCCGAACCTTCAGCCCCCGCAACCCCGCAGCCCCGCAGCCCCGCGGCCCCAACCCCCAGCCTCCTCCATCGCTCGTTCCAGCTGCCCCGTCTGCAGCCCCCAACCCCCGCCGCCCCGCGCCCCAGCCCCCAATCGCCCTGCACCCAAGGCCCTTCGGTCTTTCCCCCCGTGACCCCAACCCCCAGCCACCGCCATTTCGTCCCAGTTGCCCCGTGTCCCCTGCCCCTGGCATCCGCCACCCCGCGCCCCCAGGCCCGAATCGCCCCGCACCCCAACCCCCTCCAGCTCTCGTTCCAGCTGCCCGGTGTCTGCAGCCCCCAGTCCCCGCTGCCCTGCGCCCCCAAGTCCCGGATCGCCCCGCTCTCCAGCCCCCAAGCCTCGCTCCAGCCACCCAGTGGCCAGGGCCCCCGCTGTCCGCTCCCTCCCCCCACCCCCCGGCCCCTCGGCCCCGAGCTACTCACCGGCGGCTCGCGTAGCCGCTGCCAGGGGAGCCGGCGCCGGGCTCGGGGTAGCCGTGCTGCTGCAGAGCTGCGGCCGAGAAGGGATAGAGGAAGCCGGTGGCCAGCGCCGACCCGCAGAGGCAGCAACACGCCCAGGGCAGGAGCAGGGCCAGCTTCATCGTGCGCAGCAGCCCGCGGGGACCCGGAGTCCCGGGCACGAGGACCGGCAGGAGCGCACCGGCGCCCGGACCGAACCCGCGGCACCGGCCGGGAGCACAGCGAGAGGAGCGGGGCGAGCGGTCGGAGCCCGGGTGCGAGCTGGAAATGTGTGGGGGGCGCCCACGCCTCTCCGGGGCCGCCTTTTCAAATTCGGCGAGGTGGGCTCTAAGCCGTCAAAGGGGGCGTGGGGCTTTTTTGTTAACCCTCGGCGGTCCGGGGCCGAGGAGGCGGCAGTGGCGGCAGAGCTAGGGTGCGAGCTCCGCAGGAGGTCCCTGGAGCCTAACACCCCGAAAGCCAGACCTCGCGCCCAGGCCCCCGCTACACACCTTAGAACCTTTGAAACCAAACCTTCTTCGGGTCCGCGAATGCTTTCGGAGCGCCCATTCTGTGTCTGCCAATTTCACCTGGACGATGTTGGTGAATCCTCGCCACACTGCCCTCGATGGTCCCATTCAGAAGTGGAAACTGAGGCTGGAGAAAGTTAAGCCAGACAAATGCGAGTCTTCCGATCCTTGTGCAGGGCTCTTTGGATCAAAGCGCTGCGTTCCCGTGAGAAACTGACCAGAGCTTCCCAGGATTCTCCTCCTTCCCCTTTAACCTCCAGCCCCCACCTGCCCCGCTGTCTCTTCCAGGTAAGAAGCTTTGGGAGGGGCGGAAGGGTCAGTTGGGGTGAGAAGTTGTAGCTAGATTGGGAGGCCGAGGTGGGCGGATCACCTGAGGTCAGGAGTTCGAGACCAGCCTGGCCAACATGGTGAAACCTCGTCTCTACTAAAAATACAAAAATTAGCCTAGTGTGGTGGCAGGTGCCTGTAATCTCAACTACAGGCTGGGCTGAGGCAAGCCAATCACTTGAACTCAGGAGGCGGAGGGTGCAGTGAGCCAATATCAGGCCACTGGCCTCCAGCCTGGATGACAAGGTGAGGCTCCATCTCAAAAAAAGAAAAAAGTTGTAGCTAGAATCACAGATTCATGAGACATCCTATCCAGAAAAGGGCTTCAGGAAGATGTAGGACAATCCCACCTTTTATAAACAGAAAAGCAGAGTCCTAGATCCCATGCTGGGCCCAAGGCCAGCCTGGACCCAAGTTTTGGTCTTTTCTATGTTGCAGGATTCCCATAGGGCTTGGACCCTGCTCCAGGCCCAGGTGGGACCAGAAATCCAGCCCGTACTCTACTCGCCCGGGTTAGGAGCATTTTGTTCCTTTTTTTTTTTTTCTTTTTCTTTTTTTTTTTTTTTTGAGTTGGAGTCTCGCTCTGTCACCCAGGCTGGAGTGCAGTGGTGCGATCTCGGCTCACTGCAACCTCTGCCTCCCGGGTTCAAGTGATTCTTCTGCCTCAGCCTCCCGAGTAGCTGGGATTACAGGCAAGCAATACCATTTCGGGTTAATTTTTGTATTTTTAGTAGAGACGGGGTTTCGCCATGTTGGCCAGGCTGGTTTCGAACTCCTGACCTCAGGTGATTCACCCACCTCCGCCTCCCAAAGTGCTGGGATTACAGGTGTGAGCCACCTAGCCCGGCCTGGGAGCTTTTTTCCTAATTCTTCCAAAAGCAACCTAAGGGTGCAGATGCCCTGAGGCTTGCTCTGCCCCTGTGACCAGTTGAAAACTCCTGTCTGTAAAATGCCTACAGGATGGAGAAAAACCATCAAATATGGAAGTGTTTGCTGGACTGGAGCACATTTTGCAAAAGGATTGTAGAGGCCAGTGGCAATGGCTCACTTCAGTAATCCTAATCCTTTGGAAGCCGGGCACAGTAGCTCACGCCTGTAATCCCAGCACTTTGGGAAGTTGAGGTGGGCAGATTACTTGAGGTCAGGAGTTCAAGACCAGCCTGGCTAACATGGTGAAACCCTGTCTCTACTAAAAAAATAGAAAAAATTAGCTGGGCGTAGTGGCATGCACTTGTAATCCCAGCTACTCAGGAGGCTGAGGCAGGGGAATCGCTTGAACCCGGGGTTGCAGTGAGCTGAGATCATGCCACTGCACTCCAGCCTGGGGGACAGAGTGAGACTCCGTCTCAAAAAACAAAACAACAAAGACCTAATGCTTTGGGAGGCTGAGGCGGGAGGATTGCTTAAGGCCAGGAGTTCGAGGCCAGCTTGGACAACATAGTGAGACCCCCCCATCTCTACAAAAAAAAAAAAAAAGCAAAGCGTGGAGGTGTGTGCCTGTAGTCCCAGCTACTCAGGAGTCTGAGGCAGGAGGATTGCTTGAGCCTAAGGGTTCAAGGCTGCAGTGAGCCATGATGGTGCCATGACACTTCAGCCTGGGTTACATACTGAGCCTGTCCTTCTCCCCTCAAAGAAGGATTGTAGGATTGTTGTTAGAAGACGACAGGAAGATGGCCAAGCATGGTGGCTCACGCCTGTAATCCCAGCACTTTGGGAGGCCAAGGCAGGTAAATCACAAGGTCAGGAGCTCGAGACCAGCCTGCCCAACATGGTGAAACCCCGTCTCTACTAAAAATACAAAAATTGGATAACTAGCCCTGCCCCTGCCCCTGCCCCTGCCCCTGCCCCTGCCCCTGCCTCTGCCTCTGCCTCTCCCTCTCCCCTCTCCCCTCTCCCTCTCGGTCTCCCTCTCCCTCTCTTTCCACGGTCTCCCTCTGATGCCGAGCCGAAGCTGGACTGTACTGCCTCTGCCTCTGCCTCTCCCTCTCCCCTCTCCCCTCTCCCCTCTCCTCTCGGTCTCCCTCTCCCTCTCTTTCCACGGTCTCCCTCTGATGCTGAGCCGAAGCTGGACTGTACTGCTGCCATCTCGGCTCACTGCAACCTCCCTGCCTGATTCTCCTGCCTCAGCCTGCCGAGTGCCTGCAATTGCAGGCGCGCGCCACCACGCCTGACTGGTTTTCATACTTTTTTGGTGGAGACGGGGTTTCGCTGTGTTGGCCGGGCTGGTCTCCAGCTCCTAACCGCGAGTGATCCGCCAGCCTTGGCCTCCCGAGGTGCCGGGATTGCAGACGGAGTCTGGTTCACTCAGTGCTCAATGGTGCCCAGGCTGGAGTGCAGTGGCGTGATCTCAGCTCGCTACAACCTCCATCTCCCAGCCGCCTGCCTTGGCCTCCCAAAGTGCCAAGATTGCAGCCTCTGCCCGGCCACCACCCCGTCTGGGAAGTAAGGAGCGTCTCTGCCTGGCTGCCCATCGTCTGGGACGTGAGGAGCCCCTCTGCCTGGCTGCCCAGTCTGGAAAGTGAGGAGCGTCTCTGCCCGGCCGCCATCCCATCTAGGAAGTGAGGAGCGCCTCTTCCCGGCAGCCATCCCATCTGGGAAGTGAGGAGCGTCTCTGCCCGGCCGCCCATCGTCTGAGATGTGGGGAGCGCCTCTGCCCCGCCGCCCCGTCTGGGATGTGAGGAGCGCCTCTACCCGGCGGCGACCCCGTCTGGGAGGTGAGGAGCGTCTCTGCCCAGCCGCCCCGTCTGAGAAGTGAGGAGACCCTCCGCCCAGCATCCGCCCCATCTGAGAAGTGAGGAGCCCCTCCGCCCGGCAGCCGCCCCGTCTGAGAAGTGAGGAGTCCCTCTGCCCGGCAGCCACCCCGTCTGGGAAGTGAGGAGCGTCTCCGCCCGGCAGCCGCCCCGTCCGGGAGGGAGGTGGGGGGGTCAGCCCCCCGGCCCGGCCAGCCGCCCCGTCCGGAGGGAGGTGGGGGGGTCAGCCCATCCGGGAGGGAGGTGGGGGCGGTCACCGCCCGGCTAGCCGCCCCATCCGGGAGGGAGGTGGGGGGGTCAGCCCCCCGCCCGGCCAGCTGCCCCGTCCGGGAGGGAGGTGGGGGGGTCAGCCCCCTGCCCGGCCAGCCACCCCGTCCGGGAGGGAGGTGGGGGTGTCAGCCACGTCGGGAGGAGGTGGGGGGTCAGCCGCCCGGTCCAGCCGCCCCGTCTGGAGGGAGGTGGGGTCAGCCCCCCGCCCGGCCAGCCGCCCCGTCCGGGAGGTGAGGGCGCCTCTGCCCAGCCGCCCCTACTGGGAAGTGAGGAGCCCCTCTGCCAGGCCAGCCACCCCGTCTGGGAGGGAGGTGGGGGGCTCAGCCCCCCGCCCGGCCAGCCGACCCGTCCGGGAGGGAGGTGGGGGGTCAGCCCCCCGCCCGGCCAGCCGCCCCGTCCGGGAGGTGAGGGGCACCTCTGCCCGGCCGCCCCTACTGGGAAGTGAGGAGCCCCTCTGCCCAGCCAGCCGCCCCGTCCGGGAGGGAGGTGGGGGGGTCAGCCCCCCGCCCGGCCAGCCGCCCCGTCCGGGAGGGAGGTGGGGGGGTCAGCCCCCAGCCCGGCCAGCCGCCCTGTCCGGGAGGTGAGGGGCGCCTCTGCCCAGCTGCCCCTACTGGGAAGTGAGGAGCCCCTCTGCCCAGCCAGCCGCCCCGTCCGGGAGGGAGGTGGGGGGGTCAGCCCCCCGCCTGGCCAGCCGCCCCGTCCGGGAGGTGAGGGGCGCCTCTGCCCGGCCACCCCTACTGGGAAGTGAGGAGCCCCTCTGCCCAGCCACCACCTCGTCTGGGAGGTGTACCCAACAGCTCATTGAGAACGGGCCGGGATGACAATGGCGGTTTTGTGGAATAGAAAGGGGGGAAAGGTGGGGAAAAGATTGAGAAATCGGATGGTTGCCGTGTCTGTGTAGAAAGAAGTAGACATGGGAGACTTTTCATTTTGTTCTGTACTAAGATAAATTCTTCTGCCTTGGGATCCTGTTGATCTGTGACCTTACCCCCAACCCTGTGCTCTCTGAAACATGTGCTGTGTCCACTCAGGGTTAAATGGATTAAGGGCGGTGCAAGATGTGCTTTGTTAAACAGATGCTTGAAGGCAGCATGCTCGTTAAGAATCATCACCACTCCCTAATCTCAAGTACCCAGGGACACAAACACTGCGGAAGGCCGCAGGGTCCTCTGCCTAGGAAAACCAGAGACCTTTGTTCACTTGTTTATCTGCCAACCTTCCCTCCACTATTGTCCTATGACCCTGCCAAATCCCCCTCTGCGAGAAACACCCAAGAATGATCAATAAAAAAAATAAAAATTAAAAAAAAAAAAAAAAAAAATACAAAAATTGGCTGGGCGTGGTGGCGGGCGCCTGTAATTCCCAGCTACTCAGGAGGCTGAGGCAGGAGAGTCACTTGGACCTGAAAGGCGGAGGTTGCAGTGAGCCAAGATCTCGCCACTGCACTCCAGAGCAAGACTCTGTCTCAATAAATAAATAAATGGAATGTCCATACTTCCCAAGTCCCAAGTCTCTGTCTTAAACTCAGAGTTGGTCATCTAGGAGTAAACAGCCTCCTAATGGAATTGCTTCGTTCCTCTCGCCCTCCTTCCCTCCCTTGAGGCCTAAAAGATTTGGAGAATTTAGGTTATCAGGGGATGTTCAGTGCCTCCCCCAAAAAGAATCTGAACTGTGCTCCTTGGGCAGTTGGCCAACACCTAATAAATGATGAGGTCATCCCCCCCCAGGAATTTGTAAGCGTTCTTCCTTCCACCTTCCCCGCATAATGAGATCTTAAAGAGCAGAGAAATTCCATATTCCATGTTGCTGTCAACCGGGCTTTATGCTGCTGGGCATCACGGTAAGGGAACAGCAATATCGTTTATTATCTTCAACTCATTTTTCCAGTGCCAGGGGCTGCACCCAAGCTAGAGTGACCATGGAGAAACAGGGAGACAAAGGAATAACATTACTCCATATAGTGCTAGAGTATTTTAGGACAAAAGCCTCTTTTTTTTTTTTTTTTTTTGAGACTGGATCTCGCTCTATCGCCCAGGCTGGAGTGCAGTGGTATAGTCTCAGCTCACTGCAACCTCTGCCTCCTGGGTTCAAGTGATTCTCCTGCCTCAGCCTCCCAAGTAACTGGGACTACAGGCGTCTGCCACCACACTCAGCTAATTTTTTTTTTTTTTTTTTTTTTTAGTAGAGAAAGGGTTTCACCATGTTTGCCAGGCTGGTCTTGGACTCCTGACCTTTGGTGATCCGCCCACCTCAGCCTCCCAAAGTGCTGAGATTACAGACGTGAGCCACTGTGCCCAGCCTAGGATGAAAGTCTTTAGGACAAGCATGAATACATCCCAGAAACTGCAGGAATAAGACAGTCATCTGAGTTTCATCTTTTTTAAACCGTGCCTCTGTCTCCCAGGCTGGAGTGCAGTGGTGCCATCTCAGCTCACTGCACCTCGACCTCCTGAGCATCATTCCTCCCACACCTCAGCCTCCCGAGTAGCTGGGACTACAGGCATGCACCACCAAGCCCAGCTGATTTTTATATTTTTAATAGAGATAGGGTTTTGGCATGTTGCCCAGGCTGGCCTTGAACTCCTGGCCTCAAGGAATCCACCCGCTTTGGCTTCCCAAAGTGTTGGGATTACAGGTGTGAGCCACCATGCCTGGTCCTCTTCTTCATGTCCAGGACAATAGGTTCATTCTGGCCCGTAAGCATATAACAAGCCACTTCTATGTGCCCGTCTCTGTGCTGGGTGCAGCGAAGGGATGTTGAAAATGCAAATAGCCTGGTACCCACCCTCCAAGTGCTTACAATATTATTTCAGAAGGCATTAAAAAGATAGCTGGCGGCCGGGCGTGGTGGCTCACGCCTGTAATCCCAGCACTTTTGGGAGGCCAAGGAGGGTGGATCATTTGAGGTCAGGAGATCGAGACCAGCCACACCAACAGAGTGAAATCCAGTCTCTACTAAAAATAAAAAAAAATTAGCTGGGCATGATGGCGCACGCCTGTAGTCCCAGCTACTCGGAAGGCTGAGGCAGGAGAATCGCATGAACCCGGGAGGCAGAGGTTGCAGTGAGCCGAGATCTCGCCACTGCACTCCAGCCTGGGCGACAGAGCAAAACTCCGTCTCAAAAAAAAAAAAGATAGCTGGCAGACTGCACAGATGCATACGAGATGAGGTTCCCTTTTTTATTTTTATTTCATTTTATATTTTTACTTTTTTTTTTGAGACGGAGTCTGGCTTTGAAGCCCTGGTAGTGTAGTGGTCTAATCTCGGCTCACTGCAACCTCTGCCTCCTGGGTTCAACCAATTCTCCTGCCTCAACCTCCCAAGTAGCTGAGATTCAAGCAATTCTCCTGCCTCAGCCTCTGGAGTAGCTGAGATTATAGTGCCCACCCCGACGCCCAGGTAATTTTTGTATTTTTAGTAGACACGGGGTTTCACCATGTTGGACAGGTTGGTCTCAAACTCCTAATCTCAAATGATCCACCCACCTCAGCGTCCCAAAGTGCTGGGATTACAGGCATCAGCCACCGTGCCCAGCCAATTTTATTTTTAGACAAAGTCTTGCTCTATTGCCCAGGCTGTAGTGCAGTGGCACAATCATAGCTCACTATAACCCTCGACCTCCCAGGCTCAAGCAATCCTCCCACCTCAGCCTCCCGAATAGCTGGGACTACAGGCATGCACCACCAAGCCTGGCTAATTTGCTATTTTTGTTTTTCATAGAGACAGAGTCTGGCCATGTTGCTTAGGCAGGTTTCGAATTCCTTGCCTCAGCCTCTCAAGGAATTTGCATTGTTTTTAATGAAAAAACACACATATGGTGAACAGTAAAAGTGGGAGAATTGAACAGCCCTAAAATCAAGTAGTCAACAGAGTCCTCCAAAGGGCCAAGTTTTCTACATTAGAATGTTAGCTGCAGGCCAGGCGCAGTGGCTCACGCCTGTAATCCCACGCCTGGGATTACACATGGGAGGCATGAGAGGCTGAGGTGGGCGGATCCCTGAGCTCTGGAGTTCAAGACCAGCCTGGCCAACATGGTGAAACCCCATCTCTACAAAAAATATAAAAATTAGCCGGGTGTGGTAGCTCATGCCTGTAATCCCAGCTATTCGGGAGGCTGAGGCAGGAGAATTGCTTAAGCCCAGGAGATGGAGGTTGCAGTGAGCCGAGATCATGCCACTGCACTCCAGCCTGGGTGACAGAGTGATTCTGTCACAAAAAAAAAAAAAAAAGAAAAAAAAAAAAGAATGTTAGCTGCTGTTGTCACGACAGCTGCCACCTCCACCCCTCGGAGTCCCGATATTCCACACAAGTACTTGTCTCTATTTCAAAACTGTGCCCTTGCCATTGTCTAAATCCATGCAAAACTTCTGGAAAGGCAGAAGCCATTATTCCCAAGAACCAGAGACATCTAGCATTAAAGGCCTTGATTTGGGCTGGGCACAGTGGCTCATGCCCATGGGAGGCCAAGGCAGGAGCTCAGGAGTTCAAGGCCAGCCTGGGCAACATAGTGAGAATATATCTCTACAAAAACAACTAAAAAAAAAAATAGCTGAGTAATTGTTAATTAATCCCGGCTGCTTGGGAGGCTGAGGCGGGAGGATCGCTTGAGGCCAGGAGTTGGCAGCTGCAGTGAGCTGTGATCACCCACTGCACTCCAGACTGGACGACAGAGTGAGACCGTGTCTCAAAAAAGGTTTTGGGCTATGCGTAGTGGCTCACGCCTGTAATCCCAGCACTGTGGGAGGCCGAGGTGTGTGGATCACCCGAGGTAGGAGTTTGAGACCAGCCTGACCAACACAGCGAAACCCCATCTCTACTAAAAATATTAAAAAATTAGTGGAGCATGGTAATCCCAGTTACTTGGGAGGCTGAGGCAGGAGAATCACTTGAACCCTGGAGGCAGAGGTTGCAGTGAGCCAAGACCGCGCCACTGCACTCCAGCCTGGACAACAGAGCAGATTCCATCTCAAAAAAAAAAAAAAAAAAAAAAAAAGATTTTGGAGTTGCGACCCAGGTTTCAGTTCTCCTTCCTCCTCCTTTCCTTGGTGACATTTGGTTACCACATAACCACCCCCCATATCCCCACTAAAATGGAAGCTGGACAAACATGGCTGTCTGTTCACAAAGTGCTTTCTTGGCCCTTGTGTCCTCAACTGCTCATAGAGATGCTGACATGGACAAGGTAGTGATTGTCATTATCCCTACTCCACCTCCTGGGTTCAAGCGATTCTTCTGCCTCAGCCTCCCAAGTAGCTGGGATTACAGGCATGCGCCATCACGCCCAGCTAATTTTGCATTTTTAGTAGAGTTGGGGTTTCTCCATGTTGGTCAGGCTGGCCTCAAACTCCCGACCTCAGGTGATCTGCCTGCCTCAGCCTCCCAAAGTACTGGGATTACAGGTGTGAGCCACCGTGCTCAGCCCATATCCCCATTTTACAGATGGGAAGACAGAGGAAGCAACTTGTCAAGGATCTTGTGTTCCTCCCATGCTATAAGTGCACAAAAGCCTTAGGAACACGGTTGTTTGTACAAAGAGTTCAGATTTCTGTTTTTTTTTTTTTTGAAAAGGAGTCTTGCTCTGTCACCCAGGCTGGAGTGCAGTGGCACAATCTCTGCTCACTGCAACCTCCACCTCCCAGGTTTGAGTGATTCTCCTGCCTCTGCCTCCCGAGTAGCTGGGATTACAGGTGCCTGTCACCACGCCCAGCTAATTTTTGTATTTTTAGTAGAGACGGGGTTTCACCATGTTGGCCAGGCTGGTCTTGAACTCCTGACCTCAAATGATCTGCCCACTTTGGTCTTCCAAAATGCTGGGATTACAAGCATGAGCCACCACACTCTGCCCCTCATTTTTCAAATAGGTCATTTTTTTGTTGTTGTTGTAACTTTTAAAGGAATTCAAAAACTGCCTGTTTTGACAGTTGCTCAAAAAATTAAACCTCATGTTACCCTGTGGCCCAGCAGGTATATATCCCAAAGTAGGAAAACACATACTCACAAAAACTTGTATATGAATGTTTATAGCCACATGATTGAAAATTGCCAAAAAATAAAAGCAATCCAAATGAATTGATTTTAAAAAAGGTGCTATATGTGTACAATGGAATATTATTCAGCCATGAAAAGGAATACAGTACTTGATACATCATGGATGAACCTTGGAAGCATTATGCTGAGTGAAAGAAACAAGACATGAATGTCACGAGTCCATTTATGTGAAGTGTCCAGAATACACAAATCTACAGAGATAAAAAGTAGAAGGAGATTAGTTAGAGAGATTAGTTATAGAGCATGAGACTGTCCCCAAGGCTGGAGTAGATTTTTTTTTTATTTTTGAGACCAAGTCTCACTCTGTCACCCAGGCTGGAGTGCAATGGCACGATCTCTCCTCACTGCAACCTCTGCCTCCTCAGTTCAAGCAGTTCTCCTGCCTCAGCCTCCCAAGTATCTGAGATTACAGGCACATAACACCACACCTAGCTAATTTCTTTTTTTTTTTTTTTTTTTTTTAGTAGAGACGGGGTTTCACCATGTTGGTCAGGCTGGTCTTGAACTTCTGACCTCAGGTGACCCGCCCGCCTTGGCCTTCTACAGTGCTGAGATGACATGCGTGAGTCACCATGCCTGGCCAGATCAGATTTCTAGATGAAAGAAGACAAGCTTCACCAAGGAAGTGGGCTCCGTGACAGTTTTGTTTCCAGACCTTTCTGATAAGAACGTAATCAGTCAGCATCCTCTTCAGCAGACAAAAAGCAGATCTTGCTTCTGCTGAAGTCAGCAGGGAGAGCCACTGAACAGAGAAGTAAATACTCATGATGCTAAAGCCAATGTAAATATTGACCTCTTGGCATGATAAATCCTCCTGTTAATCTAAAACAGAGATCCGCCCCACCACACCCATTGCCCTATAGAACATGGATTCTGCAATTCTCTCAGAAGTTCAGGAAGGTGCTGGTAGGAACAGAATTGTTTTCATCCTGATTTCTCCAGCAGTCTGTGCTCCCAGCTGTTCTGGATCCCAAAACAACGCAGGAATGGGCTGGAGTTAACTCAAGGGAGCAGGGGAGTCAAAACAAAAGATTTCTTTGCTTTGCTGCAAGTGTTCCCTACTTGGCCAGGGCAAGATGCAAGCAGAACATATAGATATTATAGAAGATCTCCACTTTTGATTTTTTTTTTTTTTTTTTTTTGGAGACATGGTCTCACTCTGTCGCCCAGGCAGGAGGGCAGTGGAGCGATCGTGGCTCACTGCAGCCTTGACCTCCTGGGCTCAGGTGATCCTCCCACCTCAGCCTCCCAAGTACCTAGGACCACAGGCACACACCACCATGCCCAGCTAATTTTTTGTAGAGACTGGGGTCTCCCTGTGTTGCCCAGGCTGGTCTCAAGCTCCTGGACTCAAGCAATCCCTCCACTTCAGCCTCCCAAAGTGCTGGGATTACAGGCATGAGCCACCTCGACCAGCCTGAATTTTCTTCTTTACCTGGACACCCCCAAAATTCCACTCAGGCCCTATGAAAGTGAATACTTCTTTGCTCTGCCTACCAACAGGTATAAACTTGCCTGTTTCCTCAAACATCAGTGGTGAACTAGATATTCGGAAGACAGCAAATTAAATGGCTATTCCAATAGTCCATTTTGTTTTTGTTTTTGGTCTTTTTGAAGATGGAGTCTTGCTCTGTCACCCAGGCTGGAGTGCAGTGGCCGATTTCCACTCACTGCAACCTCTGCCTCCTGAGTTCAAGCCATTCCCCTTCCTCAACCTCCCAAGTAGCTGGGACTACAGGCGCAAGCCACCATGCCTGGCTAATTTTTTTTTTTTTTTGACAGAATTTTGCTCCTGTTGCCCAGGCTGGAGTGCAATGGTGTAATCTCGGCTTACCGCAAACTCTGCCTCCCGGGTTGAAGTGATTTTCCTGCCTCAGCCTACCAAGTAGCTGGGATTACAGGCATGCGCCACCACGCCCAACTAATTTTGTATTTTTAGTAGACACCGAGTTTCTCCATGTGGGTCAGGCTGGTCTTGAACTCCTGGCCTCAGGTGATCCATCCTGCCTCAGCCTCCCAAAGTGCTGGGATCACAGGCATGAACCACCGCATGCACCCGGCTACCTGGCTAATTTTTTTTTTTTTTTTTTCTGAGACGGAGTCTTATGCTGTCGCCCAGACTGGAGTACAGTGGCGTGGTCTCAGCTCGCTGCAAACTCCACCTCCCGGGTTCAAGCGATTCTCCTGCCTCAGCCTCCTGAGTAGCTGGGACTATAGGCGCCTGCCAGCACACACGGCTAATTTTTGTATTTTTAGTACAGGTGGGGTTTCACCATGTTGGCAGACTGGTCTCAAACTCCTGACCTCATGATCTGCCCACCTCCGCCTCCCAAAGTGCTGGGATTACAGGTGTGAGCCACCATGCCTAGCCAATTTTTTTGTATTTTTAGTAGAGACAGGTTTCATCATGTTGGTCAGGTTTGTCTCAAACTCCTGACCTCGGGTGATCCGCCCTCCTCAGCCTCCCAAAGTGCTGGGATTACAGGCATGAGCCACCACACCTAGACTCAAAGGGATCTTCTTGATGCCTGTCCATCTGCACCGTTGGGGGGCCTGGTCACATTCCTGTCCTTCAGTTTCCCACCTGTGTCCTTCCTTCTCACCAATCCAACCCTAATCCATGGCAAGCCACACCAAGCCCGCTGGTGCCCAGCAGGTGAGACATCATGTCTCCCTCAGTTTGATTTACAGGATCTTTCAGAAGAATACAAAAAGACATTGTCCCTGGCCAGACATGGTGGCTCATGCCTGTAATCCCAGCACTTTGGGAGGCTGAGGTGGGTGGCTCCCCTGAGGTCAGGGGTTTGAGACCAGCCTGGCCAACGTGGTGAAACCCCATCTCTATTAAAAATACAAAAAAATTAAGTCATGCGTGGTACTGGGCACCTGTAATCCCAGCTACTTAGGGGACTGAGGCAGGAGAATCGCTTGAACCCGGAAGGCAGAGGTTGCAGTGAGCCAAGATCACGCCATTGCACTCCAGCCTGGGTGACAGAGTGAGACTCCACCTCAAAAAAAAAAAAAAAAAAAAAAAAAAAAAGACATTATCCCCGATACCACACAATTCGAAGTTAGCAGGTCAGAGGAGCGAGTGGAGGCAGAGGGTCTGGTGACCAGGAAATCCACGTGGTGTCGAGAGAGGATTGGAAGGTAGAGGAAGGTGGAAGGTAGAGGAAGGATTCAAACAAAGCTAAGAGGTAGGGAGGTGCCTTGAGGCAGAGGTGGGCAGAGGGTCAAAGGTAATACTGTGTGTGGGGCTGAGATGGCTGAAACATGAAGGGGCTAGGTTTGAACCAAAGGCGCACGCCCAACTAAACACACATGTGCTCTTGGCAGGGACTCACACCTGTGCACACCACAGGGGCTCATACCTGTGCTCACAGTGTGTCCAGAATTGGTGGGTCCTTGGTCTCACTGACTTAAAGAATGAAGCCACGGACCCTCACGGTGAACGTTACAGCTCTTAAGGTGGTGCGTCTGGAGTTTCTTTCTGATGTTCGGATGTGTTCGGAGTTTCTTCCTTCTGGTGGGTTCGTGGTCGCGCTGGCTCAGGAGTGAAGCTACAGACCTTCACAGTGAGTGTTACAGCTCTTAAAGCGGCGCGTCTGGAGTGGTTCGTTTCTCCCGGTGGGCTCATGGTCTCACTGGCTTCAAGAGTGAAGCTGCAGACCTTCGCGGTGAGTGTTACAGCTCATAAAAGCAGTGTAGACCCAAAGAGCAAAACAACAAGACTTCCACACTCTGGCAGAGGACCCGAGCAAATTGCTACTGCTGGCTCGGGCAGCCTGCTTTTATTATCTTATCTGGCCCCACCCACATCCTGCTGATTGGTAGAGCCTAGTGGCCTGTTTTGACAGGGTGCTGATTGGTGCGTTTACAATCCCTGAGCTAGATATAAACGTTCTCCACGTCCCCATCAGATTAGTTAGATACAGAGTATTGACACAAAGGTTCTCCAAGGCCCCACCAGAGCAGCTAGATACAGAGTGTCGATTGGTGCACTCACAAACCTGGAGCTAAACACAGGGTGCTGATTGGTGTATTTACAATCCCTGAGCTAGACATAAAGGTTATCCAAGGCCCCACCAGAGCAGCTAGATACAGAGTGTGGATTGGTGCACTCACAAACCTTGAGCTAAACACAGGGTGCTGATTGGTGTATTTACAATCCCTGAGCTAGACATAAAGGTCCTCCAAGGCCCCATCAGACTCAGGAGCCCAGCTGGCTTCACCCAGTGAATCCCACACCGGGGCTGCAGGTGGAGCTGCCTGCCAGTCCCGTGCCATGCGCTCGCACTTCTCAGCCCTTGGGTGGTCGATGGGACTGAGCGCCCTGGAGCAGGGGGTGGTGCTCGTCGGGGAGGCTCGGGCTGCACAGGAGCCCATGGAGTGGGTGGGAGGCTCAGGCATAGCGGGCTGCAGGTCCCGAGCCCTGCCCCGCGGGAAGGCAGCTAAGGCTCGGTGAGAAATCGAGCGCAGCGCCGGTGGGCTGGCACTGCTGGGGGACCCAGTACACCCTCCGCAGCTGCTGGCCCGGGTGCTAAGTCCCTCATTGCCCGGGGCCAGCAGGGCTGGCCGACTGCTCCGAGTGCAGGGCCCGCCAAGCCCACGCCCACCCAGAACTCCAGCTGGCCCGCAAGCGCCGCATGCAGCCCCGGTTCCTGCTCGCGCCTCTCCCTCCACACCTCCCTGCAAGCTGAGGGAGTGGGCTCCAGCCTTGGCCAGCCCAGAAAGGGGCTCCCCCAGTGCAGTGGTGGGCTGAAGGGCTCCTCAAGTGCCGCCAAAGTGGGAGCCCAGGCAGAGGAGGTGCCGAGAGCAAGCGAGGGCTCTGAGGACTGCCAGCACAATGTCATCTCTCAACAGCAGGGACTCAAACCTGTGCAGGCACACCGAGCTGGAGAGAGGACATCTCCCAGAGGCGGCTGACCAATGAGCCAGAGTTCTGCCTTGAGATACAATCAATCCCCCAATTCTCAAATCCCTTCCTCACCTCCAGCCCCACCCAGGAAGCCCAGAGCTCATGAAAAAAACCGTGAGGAGGAGGCATCTGTGCGGCTTTGGAGACCAGCCTCAGGCTACAGGTTGCAAGAGGAAGCCATGGTCTTCTGAAGAGCAAGTCCAGGGCAGTTGTCGTGGCTCACACCTATAATCCCAACAGTTTTGGAGGCCGAGGTGGGAGGATCACTGGAGCCCAGGAGTTTGAGAACAGGACAATAAAGTGAGACCCCATCTCTACAAAAATAAAAAAAAATTAGCCAGGCATGCTAGCGTGCGCCTGTGGTCCCAGCTAAATGGAAGGCTGAGGCAGGAGGATCACCTGAGCTCAGGAGATCAAGGCTGCAGTGAGCCATGTTTGTGCCACTGCACACCAGCCTAGGTGACACAGCAAGACACTGTCTCAAAAAATAAAGAAAATACGTGCATAAATATAAAAAGGAGACCAGGTCCGCAGCTGGAGGGCTGGGTGGCAGTGGGAAATGAAAATCCAAGGAGCAAAACCAAAAAAGTGTGCAAAAGCCAGGCACGGCAGAGAGCAAGCCATGGCCCCGGCGATCGCTGAGAGGGCGGCGCTGCCCCGTCCGCCCCCAGACATCGGCATCCTCCCCTCCCATAGGCCCTCAGACTCAGCAAGTTAAAAACTGAACCCGGGCTGGGCATGGTGGCTCACACCTCTAATCCTAGCACTTTGGGAGGCTGAGGCAGGCCAGATCACATGAGACCAGGAGTTCGAGACCAGCCTGGTCTATATCGTGAAACCCCGTCTTTACTAAAAATACAAAAATTACCAGGGTGTGGTGGCGCACGTCTGTAATCCCAGCTACTCAGGAGGCTAAGGCACGAGAATCGCTTGAACCCAGGAGGTGGAGGTTGCAGTGAGCCACTGTGCTCCAGCATGGGTGACAGAGGGGGACTGTCTCAAAAAGGCAAAAACAAAAAAACCAAAACCGAACCCAATCAGGCGCTGTGACTCATTCATATAATCCCAACGCTTTTGGAGGTTGAGGCGGGAGGATCACTTGAGCCCAGGAGGTCGAGGCTGCAGTGCACTGTGATCGTGCCACTGCACTCCAGACAAGATGCTGTCTCAAAAAAATAAATAAAATAAAATAAATAAAATAAAATTTATCATGCACATCCTCTGTGCTCCCAAAGATCTTTTCACCGCCTTATGACTACATTCACCTCCCCTCGGCATGACCACTTTTTTTTATGGGTTTTTTTTTTTTTTTTTTTTTTTGGAGACAGTCTTGCTCTGCTGCCCAGGCTCAGCTCACTGCAACCTCCGTCTCCCGGGTTCAAGCGATTCTCCTACCTTAGCTTCCGGAGTAAGTGGAGTGGGATTACAGGCACCTGCCACAATGCCTGGCTAAGTTTTTGTGTTTTTAGCAGAGATGGGGTTTCCACCATGTTGGCCAGGCTGGTCTCAAACTCCTGACCTCAAGTGATCCCTCCAGCTCGGCCTCCCAAATACTGGGATTACAGGTGTGAGCCTCGGTGCCTGGCCACTTTTTTTTTTTAAGAGATAAGGTCTCACTCTGTTGTTTAGGCTGCAATGGTGCAATCATGGCTCTCTGCAGCCTCAACTTCCTGGGCTCAGGTGATCCTCCCACCTCAGCCTCCCAAGTAGCTGAGACTGCAGGTGTCTGCACCGCCCTGCTCAGCTAATTTTTTTTTTTTTTTTTGGTAGAGATGGGATCTTGCTTTGTTGCCCAGGCTGGCCTTAAATTCCTGGCCTCAGGCAATCCTCCCACCTTGGCCTCTCAAAGTGCTGGGATTACAGGCATTAGCCACCGCGCCTGGCCTCATGCTCACTTCCTAACACATCTGCCATGTTAACACAGTGCACGACAGAGTGCACACTCAGAGAACAGGATAACTTCTCATTCATGTCTATGTTCCCAGGCCTGACAGCCTCATGCTCATCACAGCTTTTTTTCTGAGATGCAGTCTTGCTCTGTCACCCAGGCTGGAGTGCAATGGCACGATCTCAGCTCACTGCAACTTCTGCCTCCCAGGTTCAAGCGATTCTCCTGCCTCAGCCTCCCGAGTAGTTGGGATTACAGGTGCCCGCCACCCCGCCCAGCTAATTTTTGTATTTTTAGTAGAGATGGGGGTATCATCATGTTGGCCAGGCTGTTCTCAAACTGGTGACTTCAGGTGATCTGCCCGCCTCGGCCTCCCAAAGTGCTGGGATTACAGGTGTGAGCCACCATGCCCAGCCATACTAATCACACCTTAGTAAGTATTAGCTGGATATCTGAGTGGATCAACGAACCATGAGGTTCAGTCTCACAAGCCCCCAGAGAAAGGAGAGCTGCAGGCCACGCTGCCATGTGGGAGGCGGCCCCAAAACACAGCTCCTGCACTCGGCACTTAAGCTGGCAGCTCAGTGGGCAGAGGCTGCAGGTGAGGTCAGCTCCAACCGGGGCTTCCTTCACATTTAACATCTCATTAAGTTCCTGGAGGCATCTGGAGGGCATTCATTAAAGTTTCTCCAACCCTGAGCAACACAAGTGTTTACTGTGTGTTCTTATTTATTTTCTTTCTTTATTTTTTTTTTTTGAGACGGAGTCTCGCTCTGTCACCCACGCTGGAGTACAGTGGCACGGTCTCGGCTCACTGCAACCTCCACCTACTGGGTTCAAGCAATTCTCTGCTTCAGCCTCCCAAGCAGCCGGGATTACAGGCGCCTGCCACCACGCTTGGCTAATTTTTTTTTGTAATTTTAGTAGAGATGGGGTTTCACCATCTTGGCCAGGCTGGTCTCGAACTCCTGACCTCATGATCCACCTGCCTGGGCCTCCCAAAGTGCTGGGATTACAGGCGTGAGCCACCGCACCAGGCCTATCTGTCTTCATTTATTTTTATACAACAAAACCAAGGCCGGGCACAGTGGCTCATACCTGTAATCCCAGCACTTTGGGAGGCCGAGGCGGGCGGATCACTTGAGGTCAGGAGTTCGAGACCAGCCTGGCCAACATGGTGAAACCCCATCTCTACTAAAAATATGAAAATTAGTTAGGCATGGTGGCACACTTCTGTAATTCCAGCTACTCAGGAGGCTGAAGCAGGAGAATTGCTTGAACCCAGGAGGTGGAGGCTGCAGTGAGCCAAGATCGCACCACTGCACTCCAGCATGGGTGACAGAACGAGACTCTGTCTCAGAAAAAAAAAAAAAGTGAAGACAAAAACAAAGAGAACATTGCAAATAAAAATGTCAGGTGGGTCCTGTCATTTAACCAGCCCAAGAGAAAGAATTAATCATTCATTCCAATAAAGACCAGGACCTGTCTTCACACATCTCTATCCAAAATTATTGAGTTGAATACTTAAGAAAGGGTCATCCAGGGCTATCTTCAAATCAAAAGTCTCCAGATGGTCCTGGAAATATCAGCCCTACATCATCTTATGCTGATTACTTATAGAGGATCTGTGAGGTACGTGATCAAAGTACCTACCCTGTGCTCCTCAGAAGCTAATTTTTGCTCGGTGGCTGAAGCCTGTCATCTCAGCCCTTTGGGAGACTGAGGTGGGAGGATTACTTGAGGCCAGGAGTTTGAGAACAGCCTGGGCAATATAGCGAGGCCCCCCAATCTCCAAATAAATAATTAATTAATTAAAAAATAAATTAGGCTGGGCACAGTGGCTCTCATCTGTAATTCCAGCACTTTGGGAGGCTGAGGTGGGCAGATCACTTGAGGTCAGGAGTTCGAGACCAGACTGGCCAACATGGAGAACCTTGTCTCTACTAAAACTACAAAAATTAGCTGGGCATGGTGTAGCTATAATCCCAGCCACTCGGGAGAATCGCTTGAACCCGGGAAGCGGAGGTTGCCATGAGCCACGATCATGCCACTGCACTCCAGCCTGGGCAACAGAGCAAGACTCTGTCTCAACAAATATATATAAAAAATAATAAAATAATAAAAAAATAAATTAGCCAGAGGTGGTAGCATGAGCCTATAGTCTCAGCTACTCAGGAGGTAAGAGGATAGCTTGAGCCCAGGAGTTCGAAACCAGCCTGGGAAATATAACAAGACCCTGTCTCTACAAAAAGTTTTTAAAAAATTAGCCGAGTGTGGTGTTGTCCACCTTTAGTCCCAGCTACACGGGAGGCTGAAGCAGGAGGATCACTTGAGCTCAAGAGTTGAAAGCTGCAGTGAGCTATGATCACGCTGCTGCACTCCAGCCTGAGTGATACAGCAAAACCCTGTATCTAAATTTAAAAATTTTTTAAAGGGTATGACGGCTGGCCGCAGTGGTTCACACCTGTAATCCCAGCACTTTGGGAGGCCAAGGCAGGTGGATCACCTGAGGTCAGGAGTTCAAGACCAGCCTGGCCAACATGGTGAAACCCTGTCTCTACTAAAAATACAAAAATTAGCTGGACATGGTGGCGGGCGCCTGTAATCCCAGCTACTTGGGAGGCTGAGGCAGGAGAATCGCTTGAACCCAGGAGGTGGAAGTTGCAGTGAGCTGAGATCGCGCCACTGCACTCCAGCCTGGGCAACAGAACAAGACTCCATTTAAAAAAAAAAAAAAAAGGCGGGGTGTATGTTTTGCTAACAACCAGAGAGAAAGAGGGGAAGGTAGGTCATGTTTCCTAAGAGTGGATTTGCATTGATACCAAGACCCCGTAGAAAGAGCATGAAAATGTTATTTCACTTGATAAAACCTTATTGCAATTTACTGTTATGAAGTGTCTGTTTGAAGTTGAAACAAGTTCTAGGTAAGCCCTTTGTTAAGCAACCAGAAAATAGACAGGGAGAAAGCAGTTAGACTGGAATGCTGATTAGAGTCATTAATTAGTACCATGAAAGTCCCGCAGAGTTACCTTCCATTGGAAACCTAGATGACTGCAGAATTAAAGGCTTTGGTGGGGGGGGCGGGGAGGAAGGAAATCCTTTCATGCTAAAGACAGCCAGAGATTATTTCAAGGATTTTTAAATTAAGGCATTATTAAAGCTGACGCTTTAGTTGTGACCAGAAGACCCTGACGATTTAATCAAAATCTTATGGGGAGGAGGTGACTTAAGGAGGGAACCCGTTTGGTTTCCAAGCCCCATGCGGCTGTTTGGTCCCACTCTAACATGCCTTCAGGCTGGTCAGCGTGGCCTCTCAGAGCCACCCAGAGTGACACTGCCATAGGGAGGCAGCCCTCCAGCTCAGTGTGTGCTTCTTGGAGCCACCCAGAGGCTGCTACCTGCCTGGTGCAGGTGGGAGCGCCAGCCTTGTCCCACCCTAATCTCTTTTTAATAGAGACAGGGTCTTGATATGTTGCCCAGGCTGGTCTTGAACTTCTGGACTCAAGCAGTCCTCCTGCCTTGGCCTCCCAAAGTGCTGGGATTACAGGCCGAGGCTACTGCACTCGGCCATCAAATCTCCCTCTGACTTCCCTGCTGTCCCCTCCAGTCCCTCCAGGGTGTCCTGACAGGACTCCAACTCAGACACTGATGACAGGGTGCTCTGGGAAACTTTTTTTTTTTTTTTGAGACGGAGTCTCATTGTGTCGCCCAGGCTGGAGTGCAGTGGCGCGATCTCGGCTCACTGCAACCTCTGCCTTCCAGTTTCAAGCAATTCTTGTGTTTCAGCCTCCCAAATAGCTGGGACTATGGGCATGAGCCACCTCACCTGGCTAATTTTTGTATTTTTAGTAGAGACGGGGTTTCACCATGTTGGCCAGGTTGGTCACGAACTCCTGACCTCAGGGGATCCACCCGCCTCAGCCTCCCAAAAGTGCTGGGATTACAGGTGTGAGCCACTGCACCCGGCCTGGGCAACTTTCTTAACCTTTCTGAACTTCAATTTCCTTCTCTGTAAAGTGGAAAGAATACTTTCGCCTTAGGGCCACTGGGAAAATTCATACCTTGATATATTTCCATATATAATATTTGAAAAGGGGGCTGGGCACAGTGGCTCATGTCTGTAATCCCAGCACTTTGAGAGGCCAGGGCAGGAGGACTGCTTGAGGCCAGGAGCTCAAGACCAGCCTGGGCAACATAATGAGGCCCTGCCTCTACAAAAAAAAATCAGCCATGTGTTGTAGTGCCCCTGTGGTCCCAGCTACTCAGGAGGTTGAGGTAGGAGGATGGCTTGAGCCCAGGAGTTTGAGGCTGCAGTGAGCCATGATTGCACCACAGTACTCCAGCATAGGTGATAGAGTGAGACCCCATCAGAAAGAAAGAAAGAAAGAAAGAAAGAAAGAAAGAAAGAAAGAAAGAAAGAAAGAAAGAAAGAAGAAAGAAAGAAGGAAAGAAAGGAAGGAAGGAAGGAAGGAAGGAAGGAACGAAAGTAAGTTTCAGAACACGTGGAAAAAGGCAATAAAGAAAAATAAAGAAGGAGAAACAAAGATAGAGAAGGAAGGAAAGAGAGATAGAGAGAAAAGAGAAAAGAAAAGTATAAAGAGGCTGGGCATAGTGGCTCACCCCTGTAATTCCAGCTCTTTGGGAGGCCAAAGTCTGCGGATCACTTGAGGCCAGGAGTTCAAGACCACCCTGGCCAATATGGCAAAACCCCTTCTCTACCAAAAAAAAAAAAAAAAAAAAAATACATGTGCGGGCTGTACTCCCAGCTACTTGGGAGGCTGAGGCTTGAGAATCTCTTGAATCCAGGCAGCAGAGGTTGCAGTGAGCCGAGATTGCACCACTGTGCTCCAGCCTGGGCAACAGAGCGAGACTCCATCTCAGTTGAGAACAACAACAAAAAATGGCCAGGCGAGGTGGCTCACGCCTATAATCCTAGCACTTTGGGAGGCCAAGACGGGTGGATCACTTGAGGTCAAGAGTTCAAAACCAGTGTGGTCAACATGGTGAAACACCATCTCTACTAAAAATACAAAAATTAGCTGGGCGTGGTGGCATGCACCTGTAATTTCAGCTACTCGGGAGGTTGAGGCAGGAGAATCTGGGAGGCAGAGGTTGCAGTGAGCTGAGATTACATGCCACTGCACTCCAGCCTGGGCAACAGAGTGAAAAAAGAAAAATGCAAAAATTAGCCAAGTGTGGTGCTGCATACCTATAATTCCAGCTGCTCAGGAGGCTGAGGTGGGAGGATCACTTGAGCCCGGGAATTCAAAGCTGTAGTGAGCCATGACCATGCCCCTGTACTGCCTGGGCAACAGAATGAGAGTCTGTCTCAAAAAAAAAGAAAAAGAAAAGAAAGAGAGAGAGAGAAAGGGAGAAAGAAAGAGAGAGAGAGAAGGAAGGAAGGGAGGAAGGAAGGGAGAGAGAAAACAAAAGGCTTGATATTTGCAACTGTGAACGAATGAAAGAATGAGCTGTGAGGATTTGTGATCTCTGCTCACTGCAACCTCAGCCTCCAGAGCTCAAGTGATTCTCATGCCTTGGCCTCCCGAGTAGCTGGGATTACAGGTGCTAACCACCATGTCCGGCTAATTTTTTTGTATTTTTAGTAGAGACGGGGTTTCACCATGTTGGTCAGGCTGCTCTCGAACTCCTGACCTCAAATTATCTATCTGCCTCGGCCTCCAAAAGTGCTGGGATTACAGGCATGAGCCACTGCGCCCGGCCTGTAAAGATTCTTAGACCTAATTTCCAACTCCCGATCTCCCGATTCCCCGAGGTAATGCTTTTCCTCTGTTTGACGCCATCCCCTGCTCCAGAGCCACTGTCTGCCCTTCTCTGCCCTGCTCTGAGCCCTGGGAGGTTGAGCCCAGTGAATGGCATCGCCTGGCCGCCTTACTCATTGCACTCTGCGGTGGATTTAGCCAGTGGGAGGGATCAAGAGAAAAGATCAGGAGGAGAGCGAGCTTCAGATTAGGGTCTTCTCCCTCCAGCTTCGGATGCCTAAGTCTCTGGCGATAGCCGCACCCCCTCCAATACTACAGCTCTCACTGGGCCCCAACAGCACCATGACATTCCTCCTTTGCTTCCTTAGCTCTGTCCACACGACTGTAAGGGCCCTTTTTTTTTTTTCGAGATGGAGTCTCACTCTGTCACCCAGGCTGGAGCACAGCGGCACGATCTCAGCTCACTGCAGCCTCCGCCTCCTGGCGTCAAGCAATTCTCCTATCTCAGCCTCCCAAGTAGCTGGGATTACAGGTGCGTGCCACCACGCCCAGCTAATTTTTATATTTTTAGTAGACAGGGGGTTTCATCATGTTGCCCCGGCTGGTCTCAAACTCCTGATCTCAGGTGATCTACCTGCCTCAGCATCCCAAAGTCCTGGGATTACAGGCGTGAGCTACCGTGCTCAGCCAGGGCTTCTTCATTGAAGCTGCTTCATTTGAACCATTCAGGTTCCATTCTTTCCTGCCAGGACCCTGCTTGGTTCAGCCAGTTTAAAGAAACGAAACTGGAAGGCGGACAGATCAACTTTGAGCTCAGAAGTTCGAGACCAGCCTGGGCAACATGGTGAGACCCTGTCTCTACAAAAAAAATACAAAAATTAGCCGGGCATTGGTGGCTTGCGCCTGTGTTCCCAGCTACTCAAGAGGCTGAGGCTGGAGAATCGCTTGAGCCTGGGAAGCAGAGGCTGCAGTGAGCCGTGATTGCTCCACTGCACTCCAGCCTGGGCAACAGAGTGAGACCCTGTCGCAAAAAAAAGAAAAAAAAAAATGAAAGAAAGAAAACTGGCCTGGGGGCCGGGCACAGTGGCTCACGCCTGTAATCCCAGCGCTTTGGGAGGCCAAGGTGGGTGGATCACCTGAGGTCAAGAGTTCAAGACCAGCCTGGCTAACATGGTGAAACCCCGTCTCTACTAAAAGTACAAAAAATTAGCCAGGTGTGGTGGTGGGTGCCTGTAATCCCAGCTACTCAGGAGGCTGAGGCAGGAGAATGGCTTGAACCCGGGAGGCGGAGGTTGCAGTGAGCCAAGATCACGCGACTGCACTCCAGCCTGGGCAACAAGAGCGAAAATCTGTCTCAAAAAAAGAAATGAACAAAAAAAAAGAAAGAAAGAAAACTGGGCTGGGCACAGTGGCTCACACCTGTAATCCCGGAACTTTGGGAGGCCAAGGCAAGAGGATCACTTGAGGCTAGGAGTTCAAGACCAGCCTGGGCAACATAGGAAGACCCTGTCTATACAAAAAACAAAAATTAGTCAGACATAGTAGAGCACACTTGTGGTCCCAGCTACTGAGGAGGCTGACTTCAGCCCAGGAGGTTGAGACTGCAGTGAGCTATGATCACGTCACTACACTCCATCCAGCCTGGGCGACAGACTGAGACCTTGTCACCAAAAAAATTAAATAATAAATGAAACTGTTTTGCCCGAAGCAGGAGTTCGAGATCAGCATGAACAACATAGCAAGACCCCCATCTCTATAAAAATACAAAAATTAACCCTACGTGGTGGCACATCCCTGTAGGCCCAGCTACTCTAGAGGCTGAGGTGGGAGGATTGCTTGAGCCCGGGAGATTGAGGCTGCAGTGAGCTATGATGTACCATTGTACTCCAGCCTGGAGCAAAACCCTATCTCCCAAAAACAAACAAACAAACAAAAAACCTGGGACCTACAGAATGTTGTATAAGGTCCCAGAGTGGCTACAAACCCTTGTTCAGGTTGTAGACTGCACAACTGCAAGGATTACCATGCACTTTGCAATCTATGGGAATGATGCACTCTGGATTTATACAGCACACATTCTGTGTAGCTGAGCCTTAATGGTCCCGAATTTGCCTAAGGTCAACCAGCTATTTGGAGCTACTTGGAACTTGCAGCAGGGCCTTGACCCACGTCTCGTGGCTATTACACCACCCCAAGATGGCTCTCCACTCTGCCATATCACCCCTGAGATTGAGTTGAGCAGAGCTGCAAAGTATTATGTTGGTGCAAAAGTAATTGTGGTTTTGGCCCTTCTTTTCTTTTCTTTCTTTCTTTCTTTTTTTTTTTTTTCAGACAGTCTCGCTCTGTCGCACAGGCTGGAGTGCAGTGGTACGATCTCGGCTCACTGCAACCTCCGCCTCCTGGGTTCAAGCAGTTATCCAGCCTAAGCCTCCCAGGTAGCAGGGACTACAGGCACGCACAACCACACTCAGCTAATTTTTGCATTTTTTAATAGAGACGGGGTTTCGCCATGTTGGCCAGGCTGGTCTCGAACTCCTGACCCCAGGTGATCTGCCCACCTTGGCCTCCCAAAGTGCTGGATTATAGGCTTAAGCCATCACACTCAGCCCTTTTATTTATTTATTTATTTATTTTATTTTATTTTTTTTTTTTTTAAGATGGAGTCTCGCTCCGTCACCCAAGCTGGAGTGCAGTGGCGTGATCTCAGCTCATGCAACCTCCACCTCCCGGGTTCAAGCAATTCTTCAGCCTCAGCTGGGATTACGGGCACATGCCACCATGCTCAGCTAATTTTTGCATTTTTTAGTAGAGACAGAGTTTCACCATGTTGAGCAAGCTGGTCTCAAACTCCTGGTCTCAAGTGATCCTCCCACTTCGGCCTCCAAAGTGCTGGAATTACAGGCGTGAGCCGCCACACACAGCCTATTGGGGTTTATGTTGTTGTTGTTGTTGTTGTTGTTTTTAAGAGATGGGATATCACTCTGTCGCCTTCGCTGGAGTGCAGTGATGCAATTATAGCTCACTGCAGCCTCAAACTCCTGGGCTCAAGTGATCCTCTCACCTCAGCCTCCAGAGTAGCTGGGGCTACAGGCATGCATCACCATGCCCAGCTATTTTAAATTTTTTGTAGAGATGGGATCTCACTATGTGGCCCAGGCTGATCTCAAACTCCTTGCCTCAAGCAATCCTCCTGCCTTAATGTTCCAAAGTCCTGGAATTACAGGAGTGAGCCATCATGCTCGGCCTTCTGACCACTACTACTGAGAAAAAACTGTGAATATGTTTATTTTAAGGGCTGAATGACTAGCATCAATAGTTTGCCCCAGCAAGATTTGATTAGGAAAACTTAACCAGGCATCTGAAAATAAAAAGAAAGAAAGAAACTGTGTAATCCACAAACACTAATCCAAAGAGATAAAACTGGCTGGGCATGGTGGCTCACGACTGTAATCCCAGCACTTTGGGAGGCCAAGATGGGTAGATGACTTGAGGTCAAGAGTTTAAGGCCACCCTGACCAACATGGTAAAAGCCTGTCTCTACTAAAAATACAAAAATTAGCCAGGCATGGTGGTGCACACCTGTAATCCCAGCTACTCGGGAGGCTGAGGCAGGAGAATCACTTGAACCTGGGAGGTGAGGTTGCAGTGAGCTGAGATTGCAGCACTATACTCCAGCACGGGCAACAGAGCAAGACTCTGTCAAAAAAAAAAAAAAAAAAAAAAGGGCCAGGCACAGTGGCCCACACCTGTAATTCCAACACTTTGGGAGGCCGAGGTGGGTGGGTCACTTGAGGTCAGGAGTTCGAGACCAGCCTGGCCAACATGGTGAAACCCCGTCTCCACTAAAAATAAAAAAAATTAGCCGGGTGTGGTGTCGCATGCCTATAGTCCCAGCTACTCGGGAGGCTGAGGGAGGCAGGAGAATTGCTTGAACCTGGGTGGTGGAGGTTGCAGTGAGCTGAGATCGCACCACTGCACTCCAGCCTGGATGACAGAGTGAGATCCTGTCTCAAAACAAATAAATAAGTAAATAAATAATTTAAAAAAAAAAACTGGAAGTGGTATCTCCAGACATTAGGAGCCTTTTAATGCAATCCAATAGGAAAAACAAAAGCACCATCCACAAAGAATTTTGTAAAAAAAAAAAAAAAAAAAAAAAAAAAAAAGGCCAGGCATGGTAGCTCACGCCCGTAATCCCAGCACTTTGGGAGGCCGAGGTGGGTGGATCACTTGAAGTCAGGAGTTGGAGACCAGCCTGGCCAATGTGGTAAAACCCCATCTCCATCAAAAATACAAAAATTAGCCGGGCATGGTGGCATGTGCCTGTAATCCCAGCTACTCAGGAGGCTGAGGCAAGAGAATCACTTGAACCCGGGAGGTGGAGTTTGCAGTGAGCCAAGATCACGCCACTGCACTCCAGCCTGGGCGATAGAGCGAGACTCCATCTCAAAAAATAATAAGAATAAGAATAAATTATATATAAAACCTAAATCTAATCAAGCCTCTACCTCTAATCATCAATTTGTAGGAAATATATGGGGCAGAAGAGCAAGTTAAAAAATGCCATAAGAAAGCAATTAGCCAAGTCTAGATATAGGACATTCTATGGGCCACATGTCCTGGTTTCTCCAAACACCAAGGTCATGAAGAAAAAAACAGAGGTAGACTGATAGATTAAAAGGGACTTACTAAATGCAGCGTGGATTGGATCGCGGAATGGAAAAAGGACATTGCTGGAAAAACTGATGAAATCGAATAAATTCTGAAGCTTAGTTAACGGTAATGTTCCAATGTTAATTTCTGAGTTCTGACAGATGTACCACGGTTGTGTAAGATTTTAACATTAGAGAAAACTGGATGAAAGGTATACAAGAACACTCTGTACCAGCTTGTCTGTAATCTAAAATCATTCCAAAATAAAACGTTTATTTAAAAGAGAAAGACGGACTTCAAAAGTGTAACAGGCAAATGCAGTGGGTGGCTCTTGGTTGGATCCTGGGATGAACAAATCAATTGTGAAAATATATTTAAGACAATCAGGGAAGTTTGAACATGGACTGGATATTGGATGACAGTAAGGCATCATTGTTTATTTTATTAGGTGTGATAACAGCATGGTGGTTATGGGTTTTTAAAATGTCTATCTGGTAAACACATGTATTCACTGGTGAAATGATGTGATGTCTGGGATTTGTTTTAAAATACTCCAGAGGAGGCGGGGCGTGTTGGCTCATGCTTATAATCCCAGCACTTTGGGAGGCCGAGGCGGGTGGATCACCTGAGGTCAGGAGTTCGAGACCAGCCTGGCCAACATGGTGAAACCTCGACTCTACTAAAAATACAAAATTTAGCCAGGTGTGGTGTCAGGCACCTGTAATTCCAGCTACTTGGGATGCTGAAACAGGAGAATCACTTGAGCCTGGGAGGCAGAGATTGCAGTGAGCTGAGATAGCGCCCCTGCACTGCAGCCACTGCACCTGGCCCGTTTCTATCTTTAAAAAGAGAGAATTTGGCCAGGCGCGGTGGCTCACGCCTGTAATCCCAAGCACTTTGGGAGGCCGAGGTGGGCAGATCGCCTGAGTTCAGGAGTTCGAGACCAACCTGGCCAACATGGTGAAACCCTGTCCCTACCAAAAATACAAAAATTAGCCGGGCATGGTGGTGGGCGCCTGTAATCCCAGCTACTCGGGAAGCTGAGGCATGAGAATCACTCAAACCTGGGAGGCAGAGGTTGCAGTGAGCCGAGGTCATGCCACTGCACTCCAGACTGGGCAACAGAGGGAGACTCCATCTAAATAAATAAATAAATAAATAAATAGAATGTGAAATGCGATGTGCGAAGTACTTACAGCTGGGCATGGAACAGGGTAGGGACTTGAGTGTCAGTTGATATGATTACTGCTCATGCAGGTGGCTTTCTCTCACCTACCGCCTCCTCTTCCCACATCACAACAGCTTGATGACCCGAGTGTTACGTCTCTTTCCTCCCAGCCTGTCCTTGGATCCCTAACATGTCCCGTATGAATGGAAGAATCGCCTTGAGTCATTTGGCCACAGCAGTGCCTTTTAGCTTTCACATGCTTCTCAATTTCACATTAGATTCTCTTGTTTTCATGGTCTTTGTCAGAAACAATTTCATGAATCCCTTTCACAACATTTTGAAAGCCTTTGGTTGGGTCAAAGTGATCTCTTTTCAAATAAGAATTATTATTATTTTTTTTTGAGATGGAGTTTCGCTCTTATTGCCCAGGCTGGAGTGTAGTGGTGTGATCTCTGCCCACTGCAACCTCCACCTCCCGGGTTCAAGTGATTCTCCTGCCTCAGCCTCCCGAGTAGCTGGGATTACAGGCATGCACCACCACGCCTGGCAAATTTTTGTATTTTTAGTAGAGACAGGGTTTCACCATGTTGGCCAGGCTGGTCTCAAACTCCTAACCTCAGGTGACTCACCCACCTTGGCCTCCCAGAGTGCTGGGATTACCGGCATAAGCCACCATGCCTGGCCTCAAATAAGAATTTGCCAATCCTCTGTCTTTCCTTATAACTGGCTGGTGACAGACGTGAGGTGATGTTGAGCCTCACTTCCTCATTTCTCTGGGGACACAGGCCCGTCTGTTTGTCCTGTGGGGCTGGGTGCACTGTCCTGATGGCCATATAAGACAGTGCACACTGCTGATTTATGATCTGTTCCATGGATCTAATGCAGGGCCGGCGAGCCCTCAAGTGGAGCTTAGCCCACAAGTCTTCTTGGCTTTGCCCAGGAAAGACTTTTCAAGGACAAGCCAGAGGTAGAAGAAAACAGCTTTGTTTGAAGAGGCAGGGCTACCCTGTAGGCAGAGAGTAGCAGCTCAGAGCAATTCTGCAGTCATGTTTATACCCACTTTTTTTTTTTTTTGAGACCAAGTCTAGCTCTGTCGCCCAGGCTCGAGTGTAGTGGGAAACCCCGTCTCTACTAAAAATACAAAAATTCGCCGGGCGTGGTGGTGGGCGCCTGTAGTCCCAGCTACTCGGGAGGCTGAATCAGGAGAATCACTTGAACCGGGGAGGCGGAGGCTGCAGTGAGCCGAGATTGCACCACTGCACTCCAGCTTGGCCACAGAGTGACAGCCTGTCTCAAAAAAAAAAAAAAAAATATAGTGAGTATTGCCAGGCGCAGTGGCTCACACCTGTAATCCCAGCACTTTGGGAGGCCAAGGCGGGCAGATCACCTGAGGTTAGAAGTTCGAGACCAGCCTGACCAACATGGCGAAACCCTGTCTCTACTGAAAAAACACAAAATTACCTGGGTGTGGTGGCGCAGGCCTGTAATCCCAGCTACTGGGGAGGCTGAGGCAGGAGAATCGCTTGAACCCAGGAGATGGAGGTCGCAGTGAGCAGAGATTGCACCATTGCACTCCAGCCTGAGCAACAAGAGCAGAACTCCACCTCAAAAAAAAAAAAAAAAAGAAGGATTTAAAGGAATCCACCCCAAATAAATTAATCCTCATATGCACACACTAGCTATTTGCAGGGTAGGTATTTCGCTAGTCGGTTTACCTTTAATTGTACCACACAACACAATCAAGCCACTTCCTGGCTCTCCAGTGGTTCTAATTTGTAGTGCTCTTAAATGCCTTTCTTTGCAAGTTTGCATGCCTGCAGAGAAAGACTGGTTCATGAAACAGCATGCTATGCTGGAGCGCAGCCAGGTTTTCACAGTCATAAAAACCTAACATTGATGGGCCCCTTTCAACGTGCCAAAAGTTGAGCTGAGCACCTTGGATGAGTTAACGCATGTATCCTCCAAATAATTCCACAGGCCAGGTGGGGTGGCTCACTCCTGTAATCCCAGCACTTTGGGAGGCCAGTGTGGGAGGACCACCTGAGGTCAGGGATTCGAGACCAGCCTGGCCAACATGGTGAAACCCCATCTCTACTAAAAATACAAAAATTAGCTGGGTGTGTTGGGGGTTGCCTGTAATCCCAGCTAGTCAGGAGGCTGCGACACAACAATCGCTTGAACCTGGGAGGCGGAGGTTGCAGTGAGCTGAGATTGCGCCACTGCATTCCAGCCTGGGCGACAGAGTGAAAGACCATCTCAAAAAAAAAAAAAAAAAGGAATTCCACAAAGCGGGTGTTTTTTTGGTTTGTTTTTGGTTTTGGGGTTTTTTCGTTTGTTTTGTTTAGTTTTGTTTTGAGACAGAGTCTCCCTCTGTTGCCCAGGCTGGAGTGCAGTGGCGCGATCTCGACTCACTGCAACCTCCGCCTCCCAGGTTCAAGCGATTATTCTGCCTCAGCCTCCGGAGTAACTGGGATTACAGGCATGTGCCACCATGCCTAGCTAATTTTTTTGTATTTTTAGTAGAGATGGGGCTTCGCCGTGTTGGCCAGGCTGGTCCTGAACACCTGGCCTCAAGCGATCCGCCTGCCTCGGCCTCTCAAAGTGCCAAGATTACAAGCGTGAGCCACTGTGCCTGGCAAGGGTGTTGTTATTATGGCCATTTTACAGGCAGAAAAACTGAGGTCAAAGCACTTAAGTAACCAGTCCGGCATCACCCATCAGGGAAGTGGTGGAGCCAAGCTTTGAACTCAGGCCTTCTGGCTGCACAGATCCAAAGCCCATGTACCTTCATCACTGCCTCTCACAGCAACCCACCCAATGACAGCTGAAACAGCCACGCTCCAGCCTGAACTGTGAAGCTTTTCTGATAGCACTGAACTGATTGAATCAAGCCATTTTGTTATTGTTGCTGCTGCTGCTGTTGGGTTTATTTGTTTTGGGTTTTTTGTTTTGTTTTGTTTGTTTTCGAGAGAGTCTCATTCTGTCGCCCAGGCTGGAGTGCAGCGGCATAATCTCAGCTCACTGCAACCTCTGCCTCCCAGGTTCAAGCAATTCTCATGCCTCAGCCTCCCGAGTAACTGGGATTACAGGCATATGCCACCATGCCCGGCTAATTTTTGTATTTTTAGTACAGACGGGGCTTCACCATGTTGGTCAGGCTGGTCTCGAACTCCTGGCCTCAAACAATCCACCTGCCTCGGCCTCCCAAAGTGCTGGGGTAACAGGCATGAGCCACCGTGTTTGGTTTATTTGATTGGTGGTTGGTTGTTTTGCCTGAGTGAATTAATGTCTGGCTACCATGTGCCAAGTGTCTTCATATGATCTCACGTGATCTCATTTTATCTTCCCAATAATCCCATGACATATGGACGACTATTCCTGTTTTACAGAGGTTCAGACAAGACTTACATTCATAGGCTGGGCTCAGTGGCCCACACCTGTAATCGTAGCACTTTGGGAGGCCAAGGCAGGAGGATCACTTGAACCCAGGGGTTCAAGACCAGGCTGGACGACATAGCAAGATCCAGTCTCTATTTTTATTTTTATTTATTTATTCTGAGACAGAGTCTCACTCTGTCAACCAGGCTGGAGTGCATTGGCACAATCTCAGCTCACTGCAACCTCCACTTCCCAGGCTCAAGTGATTCTCCCACCTCCATCTTCCAAGTAGCTGGAACTACAGGGATTCATTACCATGCCTGGCTAATTTTTGCATTTTTCTGTAGAGACAGGGTTTTGCCACGTTGCCTAGGCTGGTCTCAAACTTGTGAGCTCAAGCAATCCTCCCACCTCCCAAAGTGCTACAATTACAGGCACAAGCCGCCTAGCCCAGGCCCATCTCTACTTTTTTTTTCTATTTTGAGACAGAGTTTCTCTTTTGTTGCCCAGGCTGGAGTGCAATGGCACAATCTCGGCTCACCGCAACCTCCGCCTCCCAGGTTCAAGCGATTCTCCTGCCTCAGCCTCCCGAGTAACTGAGATTACAGGCACATGCCACCACACCTGGCTAATTTTGTATTTTTAGTAGAGACAAGGTTTCTCTGCGTTGGTCAGGCTGGTCTCAAACTCTCGACCTCAGGTGATCCGCCTACCTCAGCCTCCCAAAGTGTTGAGATTACAGGCATGAGCCACTGCCCCCCGCCAAATCCCAGCTACTCGGTAGGCTGAGGCAGGAGAATTGCTTGAACCCGGGAGGTGGAGGTTGCAGTGAGCCGAGATTTCACCATTGCACTCTAGCCTGGGCAACAAGAGTGAAAACTCCATCTCAAAAAATAAAAATAAAAATAAAATATCAAAAGACTTATAGTTACCCTAAGTCACATTGGTAGTGTTTACACTGAACGAAACCCCTTCATTGGCAATGGCTACAGATGACGGCTTTCAGCTCATAGACTAGGGAACGTGACTTCCAGCCCCCATTTCCACCAAGAGATTTGAAGGGAACAGGCGGAGTCCGCGACAGAGCAGGGGACTCTCCCGGGGCAGGAAACAGCCTCCTGCTCCTGGTCGCATTGTCTTGTGCAGTCCTGACTTGCAGGCACCATGACTTGAGGAAAACCATCTTCCCTTCCAAAAACTGCTCTGGAGATTGATTAGATAACCGTGGCAAAGTGCTTTGAAGACAAGGGATGTAGGAAATGTTCTGTGTGGGTGGATTCCCAGGGCGCTTCAGACGAGATTAAGGCCCACGAATGGGTCTGCTCGGCTGGCCGGGATGCTTTGTGTGGAAAAGGAGTCTTTCCCAAAACATTTCTCCTAGAGGGGCTGCCAAAATCCGCCCAGCTCTGCTCCACACCCAAGCGTGTCTTCCTTCAGCGTGGCTGTCACATGACGAAAAGGAAACTTCTACACTCAGTTCAATTGTGGACTGGTCCATGTGATGTTGACATGCACTTAGATATCAAAGTGTGTCTTTGATGAGAAACAACTACTGAATGTTTTATTTGTGCCTGTATTTTTTAAAGTATTTTATTTGTAGAAAAAAATAAATAGAGATTAGGAGTGGTGGCTCACGCCTGTAATCTCAGCACTTTGGGAGGCCGAGGCAGGCTGATCACGATGTCAGGAGTTCGAGACCAGCCTGGCCAATATGGTGAAACCCCATCTCTACTAAAAATACAAAAATTAGTCAGCATAGTGGTGCACGCCTGTAGTCCCAGCTACTCAGGAGGCTAAGGCAGAAGAATCACTTGAACCTAGTGGGGAAGAGGTTGCAGTGAGCCGAGATCACACCACTGCACTCCAGCCTGGGAGACAGAGGGAGACTCTGTCTCAAAAAAAAAAAAAAAAAAAAAATTAGCCAGGTGTGGTGGCATGTGCCTGTAATCCCAGCTACTTGGGAGGCTGAGGCAGGAGAATCACTTGTACCTGGGAGACGGAGGTTGCAGTGAGCCAAGATCATGCCACTGCACTCCAACCTGGGCAACAAAGTGAGACTCCATCTCAAAAAATAAAATAAAATAAAATAAAATAAAAAACAGAGATCAGGTGCGGTGGCTCACGCCTGTAATCCCAGCACTTTGGGAGGCCGAGGCGGGCAGATCACCCAAGGTCAGGAGTTGAAGACCAGCCTGGCCAACATGGTGAAAACCCATCTCTACTAAAAATACAAAAATTAGCCAGCGTGAGGGTGCACATCTGTAGTCCCAGCTACTCGGGAGACTGAGGCAGGAGAATCGCTTGAACCTGAGAGGCAGAAATTGCAGTGAGCCGAGGTCACGCCATTGCACTCCAGCCTGGGCGACGGAGTGAAACTCCATCTCAAAAATAAAAAATAAAAATAAAATAAAACAGCTTTATATGAAGGCAGCAATTTTATTCAGGGGAGAAAAAGACTTTAGAATTATCCTGGTTAAATATCAGATTAAAGCCTGACTCAAGAAGGAGTAATGCGACCAATTTGAAATGGCATTAGGAAAGTAAGTGTTACTGGATATGGTGGCTCATGCCTATAACCCCAGCACTTTGGAAGGCCAACAGGAGGATCATTTGAGGTCAGGAGTTCAAGAACAGCCTGACCAACATGGTGAAATCCTGTCTGTACTAAAAATACAAAAATTAGGCTGGATACAGAGGCTGACGCCTGTAATCCCAGCACTTTGGGAGCCTGAGGCGGACAGATCACTAGAGGTCGGGAGTTCAAGACCAGCCTGACCAACATGGAGAAACCCCATCTCTACTAAAAATACAAAATTAGTCAGGCGTGGTGGCGCATGCCTGTAATTCCAGCTACTCGGGAGGCTGAGGCAGGAGAATTGCTTGAACCTGAGAGGTGGAGGTTGCAGTGAGCTGAGATCATGCCATTGCACTCCAGCCTGGGCAACAAGAGAGAAACTCCGTCTCGAAAAAATATATATATACAAAAATTAGTCGGGTGCAGTGGCAGGCACATGTAGTCCCAGCTACTCGGGAGGCTGAGGCAGAAGAAGCACCTACACCTGGGAGGCGGAGTTTGCAGTAAGCTGAGATCTCATCACTGCACTCCAGCCTGGGCGACAGAGTGTCTGTCTCAAATAAATAAATAAGTAAATAAATAAATAAATAAATAAATAAATAAATAAATAAAAGCAAGTCTTTCTGTGAATGTATAAAGTTGCAAGCCCAGTAATGCAGGTGCTCTAAGCAGTCCACAGGTGTGTCAGTCATTCCTGGGCACTATCAGATATAATTTTGTGTGCCTATAGGATCTCATTTGCCCTTGACCGTAAATGCAGTGTGGAGGGTATATCAAGACTTTTTAGGTCATGAGTGTAGTTGGACTTTGCAGCTGCCTGTTTCATGTACTGTAGCCTTCACTTTAAGCAGATAAAATATACAGAATTTTGAGCAAACTAAGTTGGAAAAGCAGGAAATCAGCTCACATTAGCAAGCACAAAATGGCTATATAAAAATAAATTTTAGGCCAGGCATGGTGGCTCATGCTGGGAGGCCGAGATGAGAGGATCACTTGAGGCCAAGAGTTGGAGACCAGCCTGGACAACTTAGGGAGACCTCATCTCTACAAAAAAATGTTTTTTAAAAAAATGGCCAGGCATAGTGGTGCACACCCTGTGGTTCTAGCCACTCGGGAAGTTGAAATGAGAAGATCATTTGCACCCAGGAGCTCGAGGATGCAGTAAGCTATGGTCTCGCCACTGCACTCCAGCCTGGGTGACACAGTGACACCCTGTCCCTAAAAGAAAAAAGAAATTTCAGCAGGCGTGCATCATATGTTAGAGACATTAATTTATCTGCAGTAAGTTAAACATGTAAGTGCTTTCTCCTGGGAGGGCAACGAAGGGAGGCAGAAAAAACCATAAAGTTTTAGTGCTCAAAAGATATAATCAATGTAGCGGGACAGCCCGGCGCAATGGCTCACGCCTGTAATCCCAGCACTTTGGGAGGCCAAGGCAGGTGGATCGCTTGAGTTCAGGAGTTCGAGACCATCCTGGGCAACATGGCAAAACCCCATCTCTACAAAAAATTTAAAAATTAGAGGCTGAGGCGGGCGGATCACGAGGTCAGGAGATCGAGACCATCCTGGCTAACACGGTGAAACCCCGTCTCTACTAAAAATACAAAAAAATTAGCCAGGCGTGGTGGCAGGTGCCTGTAGTCCCAGCTACTCGGGAGGCTGAGGCAGGAGAATGGCGTGAACCCGGGAAGTGGAGCTTAGAGTGAGCCGAGATTGCACCACTGCACTGCACTCCAGCCTGGGGGACAGAGTGAGACTCCATCTCGAAAAAATAAATAAATAAATTAGCTGGGCATGGTGGCATGTACCTGTGGGAGGCTGAGGCACAAGGACTGCTTGAACCTGGGAGGTGGAGGTTGCAATGAACTGAGATCATGCCACTGCACTCCAGTCTGGGTGGCAGAGACAGACCCTGTCTCAAAAAAAAAAAAAATGCAATGGGAAAATTCTGTGGGTGTGGAGACATTAGTCAAAAGCATCATGAGGCCGGTCATGGTGGTTCACGCCTGTAATCCCAGCACTTTGGGAGGCCAAGGCGGGCAGATCACCTGGGGTCGGGAGTTTAAGACCGGCCTGACCAACATGGAGAAACCCTGTCTCTACTAAAAATAAAAAATTAGCCAGGAGTGGTGGCACATGCCTGTAATCCCAGCTACTCAGGAGGTTGAGGCAGGAGAATCACTTGAACCCAGGAGGTAGCGGTTGCAGTGAGCAGAGATCGCGCCATTGTATTCCAGCTTGGGCAACAAGAGCGAAACTCCATCTCAAAAAAAAAAAAAAAAAAAAAAACGCATCACAAAAATATTCTAAAGGCCTATGAGTGCTATAAGTGATCACAGCTATCAGATATCAACCATCTGTCATGTGCCGGGAATTAGACTAAATAACTTGCATGCCTCATCACATTCAATCCTCGTAACAACCCTATAGGATTAGTTTTAGGATCCTCAGTTTAGTTTATTTTGTTTTATTTTATTTTTGTGAGAGTCTCACTCTATTGCCCAGGCTGGAGTGCAGTGACACGATCTTGGCTCACTACAACCTCTGCCTCCTGGATTCAAGCAATTCTAGGATCCCCATTTTAGTGAGAGAAAAACTGAGGCTTGGCTAATTTTATAATTTTTTTTTTTTTTTGAGAGGAAGTTTTGCTCTTGTCGCCCAGGCTGGAGAGTGCAGTGGTGCAACCTTGGCTCACTGTAACAGTTGCCTCCTGGGTTCAAGAGATTCTCCTGCCTCAGCCTCCCGAGTAGCTGGGATTACAGATGTGCACCACCACGCCCGGCTAATTTTTGTATTTTTAGTAGAGACGGGGTTTCACCATGTTGGCGAGGCTGGTCTTGAACTCCTGACCTTGTGATCTGCCCGCCAGCCTCAGCCTCCCAAAGTGCTAGGATTATAGGCGTGAGCCACTGTGCCAGGTCTAAACCTCTTTTCTTTATAAATTACCCAGTCTCAGGTATGTGGTTGTTTTTGTTTGTTTGTTTGTTTGTTTGTTTTGTTTTGTTTTGTTTTGAGACAGGGTCTCGCTCTTGTTGCCCAGGCTGGAGTGCAATGGTACAATCTCGGCTCACTGCAACCTCCACCTCCTGGGTTCAAGCGATTGTCCTGCCTCAGCCTCCCAAGTAGCTGGGATCACAGGCATCTGCCACCACACCTGGCTAACTTTTGTATTTTTAGTAGAGACGGGGTTTCACCATGTTTGCCAGGCTGGTCTTGAACTGCTGGCCTCGAGCGATCTGCCCGCCTTGGCCTCCCAAAGTTCTAGAATTACAGGTGTGAGCCACCACACCTGGCCTCACTCACCTACTTTCAAATTGTCTTACTCCAAAATCGGTACTCTTTCCATGGCACAACACCACCTCCCAAAATCCCTTCTACAGGACACGGCCAAATGCAGGCTATAGGCTCCTGGTCCAGCCATATCCCTGTTTCACTGCTTTGCCAAAAGCTTTATCTTCAGTTGGCTGGGAAATATTTTTTATATTGAAAGTATAGCTCAGGCTTTCTAATGAGAATTGATGAAAAGTTGATCATTTTTTGTCCTAAATTGATTTTGTCCATCATTGATTTTGTCCTAAACCAAACTTGCTGGACATCATCTCTGGCTACAGCTTTATTCCTTTTTTTAAATTAAAAAAAAAAAAAGATGACAGCATTCATAGGGGACAAAATATTTCCAGGTTACAAACCATCTGGTAAAATTCCTGTCTTCAAGAGTTGAACGGAAAAGGTTCAAATCCTCCCGCTGCAGGAGAAGGTAATTGAAGGGCATTTGATTCCCTTGAGTCACGGGAAACCCACAATTTATTCTTTAGTAATAAAAACTGCATGTGTAATCATTGAGACCGTGGAGGGTCAACTCAAAGACTTTATGGCTGGGGGTTATATTAAATCTTTTCAAAAATTTATAGAAGGGATTTGAAATATGTCAAACTTATTTCTTTAGGTTTTTTGCAAGAGAAAGATTTTATTGCATTGAATCACAGAAGGAGGAGAAAAATGACCGAGTTCACCCAGTTCTCACCCCCGCTAATGATCTATTGCTCACTTTACAATCAAAGCCTGGGTATTAAGCTGTCTGAAGTCAACCTCTTCTAATTAAAATGAAAGTCATAAAGCAAAAGTATTTCAATAATTTACAATAATCATCCCAAATGTATACAGCACATATATTGAAGAAATGTAACGCATTTCATATTTTTTATTTCTCTCACCTGGGCCAAAAACTAAAGGTTCTTGGCAAGATTAAGGGAACATTCATTAACTTAAATATTTATAGAGTAAATGAATATGTATGTGTTTCTATGTGTGTGTTATGAAGGGGAAGATGAAACTGACACTTCTTTTATCTTTTTTTTTTTTTCTTGAGATGGAGGCTTGCTCTGTTGCCCACGCTGGAGTGCAGTGGCACGATCACAGCTCACTGCAACCTCTGCCTCCCAGGTTCAAGCGATTCTCCTGCCTCAGCCTCCTGAGTAGCTGGGACTACAGGTGTGCACCACCACACCCGGCTAATTTTTGTATTTTTAGTAGAGACGGGATTTCACCATATTGGCCAGGCTGGTCTCGAACGCCTGACCTCAGGTGATCCACCCACCTCAGCCTCCCAAAGTGCTGGGATTACAGGCATGAGCCACCGCACCTGGCTTTATCTTACTTTTTTTGAGTCAGGGTCTCGTTCTGTTGCTGAGGCTACAGTGCAATGGCACGATCATGGCTCACTGCAGCCTCAAGCTTCTGGGCTCAAGCGATCCTCTCACCTCAGCCTCCCCAGTAGCTGGGACTACAGGCATTCCACCATACCTGGCTGAGTGTGTTTGTGTGTCTGTGTGTGTGTGTGTGTGTGTGTAGAGACAGGGTCTTTCTTATTGCCCAGGCTGGTCTCAAATGCCTGGTGTCAAGTGATCCTCCCACCTCAGTCTCCCAAAGTGCTGAGATTACATGCATGAGCCACTGCACTGGCCCAGAACCAACACTATTCAGCATCTGTGGTGTATCAGGCTTAGAGTTGTGATCAGTGGACCCAAACACCGATGAGACCCTTCAGTGAGGGCGTGTGTTGTTAAGATTTGTAGCACACAAACTACCTCCCAGTGCAATGAAGTAAACGCTGAGGTGAGGAAGCCTGGACTCTGGACCTGGCAAGAGGCACAACCATTACTGTACATAGAGGGGAAATGGCATCTTTACACATAGAAAGGAGAACCGGGCTGGGCGCGGCGGCTCACACTGTGATCCCAGCACTTTAGGAGGCCAAGGCGGGCGGATACCATGAGGTCAGGAGTTTGACACCAGCCTGGCCAACATGGTGAAGCCCTGTTGCTACTAAAAATACAAAAATTAGCCAGGCATGGTGGTATGCGCCTGTAATCCCAGCTACTCGGGAGGCTGAGGCAGGATAATCACTTGAACCGAGGAGGCAGAGGTTGCAGTGAGCCGAGATCTCGCCACTGCACTCCAGCATGGGCGACAGAGCAAGTCTCCATCTCAAAAAAAAAAAAAAACAGAAAAAAAGAAAAGAAAGGAGAACTGGAGCTGCTGAAAGCCCATGGTTCCCGCCTCCTCCCTGACATCAATTTAGGATACTCATCACTTCGCCTTACTGTAATAGCTCCATTTGCAAATGAAAATTAAACTGTACATGGGGGTGGGATCAGTGGCTCAGGCCTGTAATTCCGGCACTTTCAGAGGCTGAGGCGGGCAGATCAGAAAGGACTTGAGGTCAGGGGTTCAAGACCAACCCAGCCAACATGACAAAACCCCGTCTCTACTAAAAACACAAAAATTAGCTGCATGTGATGGCATGTGCCTGTAATCCCAGCTACTCAGGAGGCTGAGGCAGGAGAATCACTTGAACCCGGGAGGTGGAGTTTGCAGTGAGCCGAGATCACACCACTGCACTCCAGCCTGGGCGACAGAGCTAGACTCCATCTCAAAAAATAAAATAAATAAAATAAAATAAAAATAAAAATAATAATAAAAAAAAACCTGTGCATGGGAATGTGCATGGGAAAACACTTGACAAGCGGCACTCTGCAGGGTGGTCTCCCCATCTGGCCTAGAATCTACCAGGACGAAGGGACTGTGCAGAACCTCAAGTGATCCACCTGCCTCGGCCTCCCAAAGTGCTGGGATTACAGGCCTGGGCCACCGCGGCCAGCCAAGTAGTTCTTTTCAATACAAAGACTATGTAACTATGTTACCGAAGGTTAAAGATTTGATACGGGGTTGACTAGAAATTTTTGTCATTTCAGCCCTTTTATGGGCTAGCATATTTTGTACCGGCACTCTCGGCACATAGACATTTAATATCATGGCTTATCCAAAATTCTGACTTGACTCTGTATTTTCAGACTGACCTAACTGATTGAATTTAGCAGCAATGTTTCTAGACACCTGCACTGACTAAACGATTCCAGTCATCATCTCTTTGGTTTCTCCTAGGTCAGACGAATGATAGTGAGTGGTGAATCCTTTTACAGAAACCAGACTTTCACCTGATTTTTTCTGAGCTGTGCCACGGCAGTGATAAATCGGCTCCCAGGTGGACGGCCACAGTGATATCATGCCACAGTGATAAAGGAGTCAAGGCCTGGTTCCAAGGCCAGCTTGGCACTTGTATGGCCTGTCTGAGCTCTCGGGATTATTGGGAGAAACAAAGGTTTGGAAACGGCCATTCCGCCCCCTCCTGGAGTCTTGCTTTCCGCGTCTCTACCGAGACTGGTGGAACGGGCCTGCAGTCCCAGAATTTTGGGAGGTGGAGATGGGAGGATCATTTCAGCCCAGGAGTTCGAAAACAGCCTGGGCAACATAGCAAAACCCAGTCTTACAAATAAAAAAATTTTAAAAATTAGTCGGACGTGATGGCACATGCCTGTAGTGCCAGCTACTCGGGAGGCTGAGGCAGAAAGATCGTTTGAGCCCAAAAGTTGGAGGTTGCAGTGACCCGAGATCGCGCCACTGCGCTCCAGCCTGGGCGACAGAGTGAGACCCTGTCTCTAAAAGAAATACAGGCCAACCCTGCAGAACCGCGTCTGCAGCCCGGGCTTTGTGGCTTCTCTCCGACCCCCTCCCAGTCGCAGACGCGCCCGCTTTCCGCCCCGCGCGCCGGAAGTGGCCGAGTCCCGTCGGCCCTGCGGGCCTCTCTCCGTCGCCATGGAAACGAAAGCGGCCAAGTAGAGCTCCGTCCTGACGCGCCGCCTCCCGTGGGCTCCGGCCGGCTAAGCCGCGGCGGACAACTATGCTGAAAGCCAAGATCCTCTTCGTGGGGCCTTGCGAGGTAAGTCCTGGCCCGGCGCGGCAGAGGGAGCGGGGAGCAGGCCTCGGGGCCTGGGCGAGCGCAGGTCCCCACCCGTCTGATCTGCGGCTTGCTCCCGGAGGCGGGAACCCGGGCCCACCGCGCCCATCCCGACTGGCGCCCCTGCCCTTTCCGTGAACTCGGTGCTTTCAGACCTTGATTCCAACCACTGCCCGGAGGAGGTAGTGGAGGCGAGCCCGGTGTTAATGAGCCCCGAAGGCCCAAGGTACTGAGTGGCATCATTGGAACCATAGCCTAGGTTTCGTGACTCTTTCTTTTGCCCCCGGGATCCCCCTAATGAATGCGTCTGTGGGTCTGGACTTTTGTTTGAGACAGGTTGTCGCTGTGTCGTCCAGGCTGGAGTGCAGTGGTGTGATCATAGCTCACTGCAGCCTCGACTTCCCTGGGCTCAAGCAGTCCTCCTGCCTCAGCCTCCTGAGTACCTGGGACTACAGGCGTGCACCACCACGCCCGACTAAATTTGTTGTTTTTGTTTTGTTTTGTTTTTTTGAGACAGAGTCTCGCCCTGTCACCCAGGCTGGAGTGCAGTGGCATGATCTTGGCTCAGTGCAAACTCCGCCTCCCGGGTTCAAGCGATTCTCCTGCCTCAGCCTCCTGAGTAGCTGAGATTACAGGCCCACGCCATTACCCCTGGCTAATTTTTGTATTTTTTGTAGAGGTGTGTTTTCACCTTGTTGGCCAGGCTGGTCTCTGCTGACCTCAAGTGATCCGCCAGCCTCGGCCTCCCACAGTGCTGGGATTATAGGGATGAGCCACCGCGCCTGGCCTTAATTTGTTAATTATTTGTAGAGACAGGATCTTGCTATGTTGCCTAGCACCTAGGCTGGTCTCCAACTCTTGGGCTCAAACAGTCCTCCCGCCTCAGTCTCTCAAAGTTCTGGGATTACAGGCATGAGCCTTTGCTCGAGTCCTGGGCGTTTTACTATATGGTCCTGGAACCATTGGCTATTAATGTGTGTGTTGGGGGCGTGGTAGTGGGGATCACATCTACATGTATACTTCACATCATCCACAGAAATAAAGCTCAGATGGACTAAGGCTAAATGCGTTTAAAAAAAAAAAAAAAAAAAAAAGGCCGGGCGCGGTGGCTCACGCCTGTAATCCCAGCACTTTGGGAGGCCGAGGCAGGCATATCACAAGGTCAGGAGATCGAGACCATCCTGGCTAACACGGTGAAACCCCGTCTCTACTAAAAATACAAAAAATTAGCCGGGCGTGGTGGCGGGTGCCTGTAGTCCCAGCTACTCGGGAGGCTGAGGCGTGAACCCGGGAGGTGGAGCTTGCAGTGAGCCAAGTCTGCGCCACTGCACTCCAGCCTGGGAGACAGAGCGAGACTCCGTCTCAAAAACTAATAATAATTAAAAAAAAAAAACCCAGCCGGATGCGGAGGCTCACGCTTCTAATCCCAGCACTTTGGGAGGCCAATGCAGGTGGATCACCTGAGGTCAGGAGTTCGAGTCCAGCCTGAGTAACATGGTGAAACCCCATCTGTACTAAAAATACAAAAATTCGCTGGGCTTGGTGGTGCATGCCTGTAATCCCAGTGACTCGGGAGTCTGAGGCAGGAGAATTGCTTGAATCCGGGAGGCAGAGGTTGCAATAAGCCAAGATCGCGCCATTGCACTCCAGCCTGGGGAACAAGAGCGAAACTCCATCTAAAAAAAAAATAAAATAAAACCTGTAGAAGTCTTAGGCCAGGCACAGTGGCTAACACCTGCCAGCACTTTGGGAGGCTGAGGTGGGGAGACCACTTGAGCTCAAGCATTCAAGACCAGCCTGGGCAACATAGGGAAACCCCATCTCTACAAGCAATACAAAAATTAGCTGGGCATGGTGATGCACACCTGTAGTCCCAGGTGGCTCAGGAGGCTGAGGCAGGAGGATCACTGGAGCCCTACAGATCAAGGCTGCAGTGAGCTATGATCACATTGCTGTACTCCAGCCTGGGCAACCGAGCAAGACCTTGTCTCAAAAAAAAAAAAAAAAAAAAGCAATGTGTATTACTCATATAATCGAGATGGACAAACAGCTGCATGTGAGATTATGAGACAGCTAGCCACGAGTCCCCAGGCTGACTTTGATCCTCTCTGTGACCTAAAAGAACTCCTTGGCTGGGCACAGTGGCTCATCCCTATAAACCCAGCACTCTGGGAGGCCCAGGTGTGTGGATCACCTGAAGTCAGGAGTTCGAGACCAGCCCGAGTAACATGGTGAAACCCCAATTTCTACTACAGATACAAAAGTAAGCCGGGCGTGGTGGCAGGCGCCTGTAATCCCAACTACTCTGGAGGCTGAGGCAGGAGAATCGTTTGAACCCGGGGGTTGCAGTGAGCCTAGATCACAGCCTGGGCAACAAGAGTGAAACTCTGTCTCAAAAAATAAAAATAAAAACTCCTTAATCCCATGCTCCCTGGACCCCAGACCAGGCTGTGCCCACTGCACTAGAGCAAGACAGTGAGGTCGTAACCACCCCAGTGATCTCAGGGTGCCCATGACCTATACTGCACCACACCGGGTTCCAGGCCACCTCTTGGGGTCATTTTTTTGGTTTCCTTTTCTGCCTTTCAGCAAAGACCTTTATTTGCACTCATTTTCACAGAGTGGAAAAACTGTTTTGGCCAACTTTCTGACAGAATCTTCTGACATCACTGAATACAGCCCAACCCAAGGAGTGAGGTGAGCCCTGACAAATCTGTGTCCCAGAGTGTCCAACTGGCTCGGCAGGGAGGCTCATTCCTCTAATCCCAGTGCTCTGGGAGGTCAAAGCGGGAGGATCGCCTGAGGCCTGGGCAATATAGGGAGACCCCGTCTCAACTAAAAATAAAACATTAGCCAGGTGTGTTGGCATGTGTCTGTAGTCTCAGCTACATGTTAGGTTGAAGCAGAAGGATTGTTTGAGGCCAGGAGTTGGAGGCTGCAGTGAGCTATGATCGTGCCACTGCACTCCAGCCTGGGTGACAGAGTGAGACCCTGTCTCAAAACAAAATTAATAATAAAACAATTTTAAAAGACTGCCCAGCCATCACCCACTTCCTACTTTTGTTGCTGTTGGCATTCCAAAAGTGTAATGCAGCCTCATTATTGGTGCTGCTACTGTTCGTCTTTTTTTTTTGGGATGGAGTCTCGTCCTGTCGCTGAGGCTGGAGTGTGGTGGCACGATCTCAGCTCACTGCAATCTCCGCCTCCCAGGTTCAAGCGATTCTCCTGCCTTAGCCTCCCCAGTAGCTGAGATCACAGGTGCACACCATCATGCCCAGCTAATTCTTTTATTTTTAGTGTAGCAAGGGTTTCACCATGTTGGCCAGGCTGGTCTCGAACTCCTGACCTCAAGTGATCTGCCCGCCTTGGCCTCCCAGACTGCTGAGATTACAGGCGTGAGCCACTGCACCCAGCCTACTGCTCTTCTTTTTCCTTTTAGGATCCTAGAATTTGAGAACCCGCATGTTACCAGCAACAACAAAGGCACGGGCTGTGAATTCGAGCTATGGGACTGTGGTGGCGATGCTAAGTATGTTTCCTTTAAAGAAAGTCACTTCATCAAATGGTTTAAAAATCAGCTGCCCAAGCCAGGGGCGGTGGCTCACACCTGTAATTCCAGCACTTTGGGAGGCCAAGGTGGGTGGCTCACCTGAGGAGAAGAGTTCAAGAGCAGCCTGGCCAACATGGCGAAACTCCGTCTCTACTAAAAATACAAAAAATTAGCCAGGCTTGGTGGCAGGCACATGTAATCCCAGTTGGGAGGCTGAGGCAGGAGAACTGCTTGAACCTGGAGGCGGAGGTTGCAGTGAACCCTGGAGGTTCAAGCGGAGGTTGCTTGAACCCGGGAGGCAGAAGTTGCAGTGAGCTGAGATCGCACCATTGTACTCCAGCCTGGGCGACAGAGCTGGACTTCTAGCTCAAAAAACAAAACAAAACAAAAAAATCAGCTGCCCACCAGGCACCATGAAGTTGGGCCTAGTATGTTTCCTGGCACGTATGAGGAGCTTGATAAATGATTTGCTGACATGCATTGCTTTATACACTTTAGTGATTAGGTTATGATGCAGTTAGAAGTCATCAACCTTGGCCAGGCGCAGTGGCTGACGCCTGTAATCCCAGTACTTTGGGAGGCTGAGGCAGGCAGATCACCTCAGGTCAGGAGTTCAAGACCAGCCGGCCCAACATGATGAAACCTCATTTTAAAAAAAAAAAAAATAGGGGCCAGGCACCATGGCTCACACCTGTAATCCATTGCTTTGGGAGATCACCAGAGCTCAGGAGTTTGAGACCAGCCTGGCCAACATAGCGAAACCCTGTCTCTACTAAAAATACAAAACTTAGCCCAGTACGGTGGTGTGTACCAGTAATCAGGAGACTGAGGCACGAGAATCGCTTGAACCTGGGAGGTGGACATTGCGGTGAGCCAAGATCGTGCTACGGCACTCAAGCCTGGGCGACAGAGCCAGACTCTTGTCTCCAAAAATAATAATAATAATAATAATTTTTTTTTAATGAAGAAATCATCCACCTTTACAAAAAATAAAATTGACCTGATGTGGTCCTAGCTACTCAGGAAGCTGAGGCAGAAGGATCACTTGGGCCCACATTGGAGGCTGCAGTGAGCTATGATCCCACAACTGCACTTCAGCCTGGGAGACAGAGCAAGACCCTGTCTCTTAAAAAAAAAAAGTCATCCCCCAACTTTTTTTAAAATTTTTTTTATTTTTTTGAGACAGAGTCTCGCTCTGTCACCCACGCTGGAGTGCAGTGGCACGATCTCAGCTCACTGCAAGCTCTGCCTCCTGGGTTCACGCCATTCTCCTGCCTCAGCCTCCCGAGTAGCTGGGACTATAGGTGCCCACAACCACACTCCCCTAACTTTTTTGTATTTTTAGTAGAGACGGGGTTTCACCGTGTTAGCCAGGATTGTCTCGATCTCCTGACCTCGTGATCGCCCGCCTCGGCCTCCCAAAGTGCTGGGATTACAGGTGTGAGCCACCACGCCCAGCCGTCATAGACCAACTTTTAATACTAAGATATTCTTTTTAAAGTCCACAGTTAGAAACCAGAATGACCTAACTTTCCCTGTTGTTCCTTTTCTTCCTCGCAGGTTTGAGTCCTGCTGGCCGGCCCTGATGAAGGATGCTCATGGAGTGGTGATCGTCTTCAATGCTGACATCCCAAGCCACCGGAAGGAAATGGAGATGTGGTATTCCTGCTTTGTCCAACAGCCGTCCTTACAGGACACACAGTGTATGCTAATTGCACACCACAAACCAGGCTCTGGAGATGATAAAGGAAGCCTGTCTTTGTGTAAGGAAACTGGAATTTCTCTTCCTCTTTTGTCTTGAATGTTTTGGACACCTACATATTGTCCCATGTCCTAGAAACCAGCAGCTCTGTCCAGTTACTGAGCACCTACTGTACCCTAGGCAATTGTTACCCTCTCCATGTGAGTCCACTACGTCTCTACTAAAAATACAAAAATTAGCCAGGCATGATGGCAGGCGCCTGTACTCCCAGCTACTCAGGGGGCTAAGGCAGGAGAATTGCTTGAGCCCAGGAGGCGGAGATTGCAGTGAGTTGAGATCTCACCACTACACTCCAGTTTGTGTGACAGGGCGAGACACCATCTCAAAAAAAAAAAAAAAAAAAGAGAAAAGACCGGGTGCGGTGGCTCAGACCTGTAATCCCAACACTTTGGGAGGCCAAGGTGTGCGGATCACTTGAGGTCGGGAGTTCTAGACCAACCTGGCCAACACGGTGAAACCCCATCTCTACTAAAAATACAAAAATTAGCCAGGGGTGGTGGTGCATACCTGTAATCCCAGCTACTCAGGAGGCTGAGGCAAGAGAATCACTTGTACCTGGGAGGTAGAGGTTGCAGTGAGCTGAGATTGTGCCATTGCACTCCAGCCTGGACAACAAGAGTGAAACTCTGTTTCAAAAAAAAAAAGAGCAGAATACAGAGTGGGAAAATCCTTGTAGCTATTCTTGGGTACAACTAGGGGGGCACTCTTTCTGAAAGAACTTTTCTGGAGAAAAACCTCCAATTCACATAACACACATCCCAGAGGTGACACAGTCATCCTGAAAAAGAACTCACAAAATATTCAGAAACAAAATGAGAATAATAGAGAATCTATTCCTTTCTGGTTTAAGAACAGAAGACCTGGAAAGTGGTTTGTAAGGTTTTCATCCTGTCGCCAGGGGGCAGTATAGCAAACCCATTCTCTGTTCTCTGGTGTCAAGAAGACAACTTGATCTGTGAACTTCAGAAAGTTAAATTTCTTCTAGAAGTTTCATTGGGAGCTATAAAGGGCCCTTCATGGAAACTCTTTGCCTAATTAACCTTATCTTCATTTTCAAGCGCCACCCTTGAACAAGCTGAAGCTGGTGCACTCAAACCTGGAAGATGACCCTGAGGAGATCCGGATGGAATTCATAAAGTATTTAAAAAGCATAATCAACTCCATGTCTGAGAGCAGAGACAGGGAGGAGATGTCAATTATGACCTAGCCAGCCTTCACCTGGGACTGCCACATCCCCAGTGAAATCAGCATGTTTCTCGGTGCAGATCTGAAATCACATCCAGCTCCTGATGTTTTCTTCTCCCTCTGACTGCAGAGGAAGTGTTCCTACCTGCAGGAAGGCACCTGTCACACAGGGCGTTCACTCAGACCATCTGTGCTCTGCCCTGAGTTCAGTTGAGAAAATCCTATTATCAAATTTGGATTTCCTGGCCCCAGAACTTCCCAAAGACCTGTAAAATGGAGGGATTTACCACCTCACATATGTCCAGTTAAACAGTTTGTGGACTTGTAACCGTCGCAGCCCAATGATACAACAGTAGTTTAATCACGTGTATTGGCTTGAATGTGATTTTCATTCCTTGATTCACCCAACAAATACCGACTGGCTGAGCACCTGCTGTGTGTGCACTGCTGTTCTAGCTGCTGACCATAGACAGCATAAATGAAAAAGACAGAAATTCCCACCTTCGTGGAACTCTCCATTTTCCTAAATGTTAGGTTGGTGCAAAACTAATCGTGGTTTTTGCCATTTTTAATTTTTAATGGCAAAAGCCACTATTACTTTTGCACCAACCTAATAGGCCGATTCAGAAACTTGAGTGCAATGTCTTGGATATGCAAAAAAGAAAATCAAAACGCATTCTTCATTCTCTATAAGAGTTCTAGGCGGGGCGTGGTGGCTCACACTTGTAATCCCAGCACTTTGGGAGGCCAAGGTGGGCGGATCATGAGGTCAGGAGATCGAGACCATCCTGACCAACGTGGTGAAACCCCATCTCTACTAAAAATAGAAAAATCAGCTGGGTGTGGTGCCGCGTGCCTGTAATCCCAGCTACTTGGGAGGCTGAGGCATAAGAATTGTTTGAGCCCGGGAGACAGAGGTTGCAGTGAGCCAAGATTGCGCCACTGTACTCCAGCTTGGGCAACAGAGCAAGACTCCATCTCAAAAAAAAAAGAGTTCTAGCCCAGGAGCGGTGGCTCACACTTGTAATCCCAGCACTTTGGGATGCTAAGGCAGGCGGATCACTTGAGGCCAGGAGTTCAAGACCAGCCTGGCCAACATGGCAAAATCCCATCTCTACTAAAAATACAAAAATTCACAGGGTGTGTTGGCACACGCCTGTAATACCAGCTACTCAGGTGGCTGAGGCATAAGAATTGCTTGAGCCTGGGAGGCAGAGATTGCACTGAGCCGAGATCGCGCCACTATACTCCAGCCTGGGCAACAGACATCCTGTCTCAAATAAATTAAATTACATTAAATGTTTAAGAAGAAGTCTAAATAAGTTTCATATGCTGCCCTCCCTCAGATAATGAGGGAACCTGGGGTACTTAAAATGCCAAATGAACGTATACTTGATCCTTATTCATAGATTTTGTATTTGAGAATTTGCCTACTCACTAAAATATGTTTGTAACCCCCAAATCAATACTGTGGCACTTTCTCAGTTATTCGCAGACACACAGAGACAAAAAATTTGAAGTGCCTGGCTGGGCGTGGTGGCTCACGCCTGTAATCCCAGCACTTTGGGAGGCCGAGGCAGGCGGATCACAAGGTCCAGAGATCGAGACCATCCTGGCCAACATGGTGAAACCCCGTCTCTACTAAAAATACAAAAATTAGCTGGGCATGGTGGGGCATGCCTGTAGTCCCAGCTACTCAGAAGGGTGAGGCAGAATTGCCTGAACCCGCGAGGCGGAGACTGCAGTGAGCCGAGATCGCACCACTGCACTCCAGCCTGGTGACAGAGCAAAAAAAAAAAAATTGAAGTGCCTGGCCAGTTGCAGTGGGTCACACCTGTAATCCCAACACTTTGGGAGGCTAAGATGGGAGAACTGATGGAAGCCAGGAGTTCAAGAACAGCCTGGCCAACATGGCGAAACCCCATCTCTACTAAAAATACAAAAATTCGCCAGGCATGTTGGCACACACCTGTAATACCAGCTACTCATGTGGCTGAGGCATAAGAATTGCTTGAGCCTGGAGGCCGGGTGCAGTGGCTTACGCCTGTAATCCCAACACTTTGGGAGTCTGAGACGGGTGGAAATCCTGAGGTCAGGAGTTCAAGACCAGCCTGTCCAACATGGTGAAACCCCGTCTCTACTAAAAATACAAAAATTAGCTGGGCGTGGTAGCACGTGCCTGTAATCCCAGCTACCTGGGAAGCTGAGGCAGGAGAATCGCTTGAACCTGGGAGGCGGAGGTTGCAGTAAGCCGAGATTGTGCCATTGCACTCCAGCCTGGGCAACAAGAGCAAAACTCCATCTCAAAAAAAAGAAAAAAGTGCCGAGTGGAGTGGCTCACACCTGTAATCCCAGCACTTTGGGAGGCCAAGGCAGGTAAATCACAAGGTCAGGAGTTCGAGACCAGCCTGTCCAACATGGTGAAACCCCGACTCTACTAAAAACACAAAAAATTAGCTGGGCCTGGTGGCGGGTACCTGTAATCCCAGCTACTCAGGAAGCTGAGGGAGGAGAATCACTTGAACCCAGGAGGCAGAGGTTGCAGTGAGCCAAGATCGCGCCACTGCTCTCCAGCCTCGGCAACATAGCGAGACTCCGTCACAAAAAAAAAAAAAAAAAAAACAACTCTCTCCAAAACATTATATTTATTTAGATGACCTTGATATGGACACTATATCCAGTTGGAAAGTGGAGTACAGACACAATTTTTTGTTTTTTGTTTTTTTGAGACACGGTGTCACTCTGTCATCCCGGCTGGAGTGCAGTGGCATGACCACAGCTCACAGCAGCCTCAATCTCCTGGGCTCCACTGATCTCGCCAGCTCAGCCTCTGAGTAGTTGAGACTAGAGATACACACACCAGTAATGGTCCAGCCCACTAATTAGTGCACGCCTGGCTAATTTTTGTACTTTTTGTAGAGATGGGGTTTTGCCATGTTGCCCCAGCTGATCTCGAACTCCTGTCCTTGAGTGATCCGCCCGTCTCAGCCTCCCAAAGTGGTGGGATTACAGGCATGAGTCATTGTGCCCAGCCCATACACAACCTCTAAAAAATTTTTCATAACACCAAATTGGTAAACATGTTCAAAAGATTTAATGTACAGAATCACTAGATACGGTGAGTTTACGGTTTATTGTAGAAGCAAGTTTGTTTTAATCATCTTAGGAGATTTTTTTGTGTTGTTTTGTTTTTTTGAGAGTCTCACTGCAATCTCCACCCTCCGGGTTCAACTGATTCTCCTCCCTCAGCCTCCCAAGCAGCTGGGATTACAGGTGCCTGCCACTGCACCCGGCTAATTTTTGTATTTTTAGTAGAGACGGTTTCACCATCTTGGCCAGGCTGGTCTTGAACTCCTGACCTTGTGGTCTACCCGCCTCAGCCTCCCAAAGTGCTGGGATTACAGGTGTGAGCCACTGCACCCAGCCATGGAGTTATTTTTCATTCATAATTGTTATGTTTGTAATTTTTTAACATAGCCAATAAGAAAATACACTAAGTAGATGAAATGGTAGATGTAGCTCTTTTCAGCTGAGAGTGGGAGAAAAAGTTGAGGCACCTAAGGGAGATGAATAAAAATGCTAGGGTGTCTGTCACTTTCACAGTGAGGAGGGCTGACATGTAGCTGTGTGAGCAGTCTACTGGAGAGAGTGGCTTTTCTAGACCATGACAATTCCCTGGCAATTTAGTTTGAACCACATTCACCTGTTAGGATTACCATGCGTATTATTAATGTCAACTGAACTAAATCATCTTTCCATGACAGCTGCCTAACAAGAATCCATCTCACAAAATTGACCACCTCAAAAGGAAATTATTTTCATTTCACCTTTAATGATTATTCAAGACCCCAGTATAACAACCCAAGGCCAGGCGCAGTGGCTCACGCCTGTAATCCCAGCACTTTGGGAGGCCGAGGCGGGTGGATTACGAGGTTAAGAGATCGAGACCATCCTGGCTAACAGTGAAACCCCACCTCTACTAAAAATACAAAAAATAAGCCGGGTGTGGTGGCGGGCACCTGTAGTCCCAGCTACTCAGGAGGCTGAGGCAGGAGAATGGCGTGAACCTGGGAGGCGGAGCTTGCAGTGAGCCGAGGTCCCGCCACTGCACTCCAGCCTGGGCGACAGAGCGAGACTCCATCTCAAAAAAAAAAAAAAAAAAAAAATTAACCCAGCAGATTTTGTTCACCTGAATGGCCAGAGTACAACCCATTAAATATTTGAATTGAGTAAAAGCCTTCAGATTTTAAGTTTTGAGAGTTTTTTTTCTGCTTGATCTAGTCTATCATTGAAGCTTTCGAGTATACTTTGTATTTCATCCAGTGATTTCTTCAGTTCCACATTTGCCATGTGCTCTGGAAAACTCTGTATCTGGTTGGTAAATACCTCAACCATATCCAGAATTGCTGTTGACATTTCCTTACTTTCTTTTTCAGAAGTCTCTTGAATCCCTCTAATCTTGGTTAAAATCAGTTTCCACAATTCTCTATATGACATTTCTTGAATTTCTTTTGGATGGGGATCTGTTGCTGGAGAATTACTGGGTTCCTTTGGAGGCGTCCCACTTCCTTGCTTTTTCACGTTTCCCGTGTCCTTCCATTGAGATCTGCACATCCTGTGTAAATTGCTTCTTCCAAGTTTGTGAATTTGCTTTGTAGGGGAGGACTTCTTCCTAAAAATGTAGATAGGGTGTTGGTTAGGTGGGGCACTTTGGCTTTGATTGGGGTAGTACTGTAGGCTCTGTATGATTTCTTGGGTGGCTTAGGGTGTGGTTATTAGTGGAGGGTGTGGTTGCTGGGGACTAAGAGGCTAAGGTGGGCCAGTCTTTGAGCCCAGGAGCGGTGTAGGCTGGCTCTGGCATTAATGGGTTCAGGGGAGCAATTTGGAGTCCTCTAGGTGCTCTGCTCGAATCCTGGTAGTGGCAGCCCCTGTGGGCGGCAAGCTACCCAGGCGCCGAGGCAAGAGACCGAGGACACGAGCTGTTCCAGTACAATAAAATATAAAACAAGAATAGTTATACCAGATATAGATCTTAGAGATGATTATATATGAATATCATTAATCATTAGTTGGTAGTAATTAATTTATCCCAATATTATAATAATCCTTGCTCTAAAATCATAACCTAGGAAAAACCAGGCCATACAGAGATAGGAGCTGAGGGGACATAGTGAGGTGTGACCAGAAGACAAGAGTGCGAGCCTTCTGTTATGCCCAGACAGGGCCACCAGAAGGGCTCCTTGGGCTAGCGGTAACGCCAGCTTCTGGGAAGACGCCCCTTGCCGAGCGGACGGTAGTCTAGTGGTAGCCTCAGTGTCAAGGAAAAACACAGGCTACTTAGCAGACCGGGAAAGGGAGTCTCCCTTTCCCCGGGGGAGTTTAGAGAAGACTCTGCTCCTCCACCTCTTGTTGGAGGGCCTGACATTAGTCAGGCTTGCCCGCAGTTATCTGGAGGCCTCACCATCTCCCTGTGATGCTGTGCTTCAGTGGTCACGCTCGTAGTCCGCCTTCATGTTCCATCCTGTACACCTGGCTCTGCCTTCTAGATAGCAGTAGTAAATTAGTGAAAATACTAAAAGTCTCTGATATGCAAAAATAATGGCGTAAGCTGTCTTTCTCTTTGTCTCTCTCTCTCGCTGCCTTGGCTGCCAGGCAGGGAAGGGCCCCCTGTCCAGTGGACACGTGACCCACGTGACCTTACCTATCATTGGAGATGACTCACACTCTTTACCCTGCCCCTTTTGCTTTGTATCCAAAATATAACAGCGCAGCCAGACATTCGGGGCCACTGCCGGTCTCCGCGCATTGGTGGTAGTGGTGCCCCGGGCCCAGCTGTCTTTTCTTTTATCCCTTTGTCTTGTGTCTTTATTTCTACACTCTCTCGTCGCCGCACACAGGGAGAAGCCCCCCGACCCTGTGGGGCTGGTCCCTGCAAGCCCCAGCTAAGCTCGTGGTTGATCCCAGGCCCTGGAGCAGTGAGTGTGATGTGGATGAGGACAGTTGCAGTTGGGTGGTATCCCACAGGCTGGGTCCCTGACCCCAGACCCCGGGGAGGAGTGTTCAGCCGCCAACGGTGGCGGAAAGGGCAGAACAGCCACCAATCCCCAGGCCCCTGGCCCTCCTGCTCAAGGTCCTCAGGGGACGGAGCCGCCAGTGGACTGTCCTCAGGCCCCCGGGGTTTGGGCTCTGGTTGTGACAGACAGGGAAGGGCTGGGCCCCAGGCGGCGGACGGAAAGCTCAGGCGGGGCAGGGCGGGCGCGCAGTTGGCTCGTGTCTGGGTCCCGCGGCAGCGGCGGGATTATTTGTCCTTTGGGACTCCTGAGAGCGCCTGGCCTCCCCTCTCCCTCCCTGGCCCTCAGCTGGCGGCGGCGGTAACCGCAGGCAAGGCAGGAGCTGCCCTCGGGGCTGGACTCTCGGGGTGGCAGGGGCTGCAGCTGCAGCTGCTCAGGGCAAGGAAGCCCGTGGGCTCCACGTGGGCTCCACGTGGGCTCCTGCAACGCCGCTGGGGAATCTCTCGCCCGCTGCCCCCTATTCTGGAGGTCCGCGAGGGTCGGGGGGCTGTGGAAGTCCCTGGGGGAACTGCATAGCCCCGGGGTCTCTCACTCACCCTTTCCCCGCGCGCGGGAGCTGCAGGCCGTCCCCGCCGATCCAATTTCTCCGCGCAGGCTGCCTGGGTGCCTCTGCTCCGCTCCTCGGGCTCCCCGTGGCTTCTCGGCTGAATCCCGCGTTCTCTTAGCGGATCTGCTGCAAGTGTGAAAACCTACCGGCTCCTTCGGTTCCCGTCAGAGGAGAGGTGCGTGCCGGCTGCATCTACCAGGCCATCTTGAGCCTGTAGTCCTAGGTGGAAACGGGCCCCAAGTGCGCGAGTTACTCAAGGGCGTTCCCTGGAGGGTCTGGGTCGGCCCCGCCCCCTTCACTCCCGGGAAGGCCCCGCCCTCCCCTTCCAGACTGGACTGAAAGCTCCGTGTGCACACAGGTGTGTTAGCTAATAGAAATGGGAGCAGACTATTTACACTTTTCCACAAAAGTGTTCATTTTTCACTTTTTTTTTTTTTTTTGAGACGGAGTGCAGCGGCGCGATCTCGGCTCTCTGCAACCCGGGTCCAGGGTCAAGCAATTATCCTGCCTCAGCCTCCCGAGTAGCTGGGTTTATAGGCAAGCGCCACCACGCCCAGCTAATTTTTGTATTTTTAGTAGAGACGGGGTTTCACCATGTTGGCCAGGCTGGTCCTGAACTCCTGACCTCGTGATCTGCCCGCCTCGGCCTCCCAAAGTGCTGGGATTACAGGCGTGAGCCACGGCGCCCAGCCATTTTTCACTTTCTATACTGGGGATTTGTGTTAGTACTCACAGAGCCACCTTATTCTTTTTTTTTTTTTTTTTTAGACGGAATCTGGCTCTTGTTGGCCAGGCTGGAGTGCAACGGCGCGATCTCGGCTCACCGCAACCTCCCCCTCCCGGGTTCAAGCGATTCTCCTGCCTCAGCCTCCTGAGTAGCTGGGATTACAGGCGCACGCCACCATGCCCTGCCTAATTTCGTATTTTTAGTAGAGATGGGGTTTCACCATGTTGGCCAGGCTGGTCTCAAACTCTTGACCTCAGGTGATCTGCTCACCTCGGCCTCCCAAAGTGCTGGGATTACAGACGTCAGCCGCCGTGCCCGGCCTGCCTTATTCTTTTTTACAGCTAAATAATATCAATATAATCATCTATATTGGAATGTCACATATTGTTAGATGTTTGAAAAATCTTTTATGTTGAAATATGCATTTTTATAGATGGCCTTTGAACAGTATTGAAAAACATGATTTGGGGGTATAAATATGTTTAAATGTGAAATTTCAGAGAGATGATTTCAACAATCATTCCTTTCAAAGGTAAAGATGGGGCTGAGCACAGTGGCTCACGCCTGTAATCCCAGCATTTTGGAAGGCCAAGGCGGGCAGATCACCTGAGGTTGGGAGTTCGAGACCAGCTTGACCAACATGGTGAAACCCCATCTCTACTAAAAATGCAAAATTAGCCGGGCGTGGTGGCGCATGCCTGTAATCCCAGCTACTTAGGAGGCTGAGGCAGGAGATTCGCTGGAACCCAGGAGGTGGAGGTTGCGGTGAGCCAAGATGGCACATTGCACTCCCGCCCCGGCAACAAGAGTGAGACTCCATCTCAAAAAAAAAAAAAAAGAAATGTTTTGTTTTTATATTATAAACCTAAAAATTTAGTCACTCAGTATTTTTTCATATTTAACAATACTGCTATCTTGTGACAAACTATCCATAACATAAAATTTGCCAATCTAACCTTTATTTTATTTTTTTTTTTTTGAGATGGAGTCTCACTCTATTGCCAGTCTGGAGTGCAGTGGTGTGATCTTAGCTCACTGCAACCTCCACCTCCTGGGTTCAAGCCATCCTCCTGCCTCAGCCTCCCGAGTAGCTGAGACTATAGGCGTATGCCACCACGCCCAGCTAATTTTTGTATTTTCAGTAGAGACAGGGTTTCACCATTGTCGGCCAGGATGATCTCAAAGTCTTGACCTTGTGATCTGCCCGCCTCAACCTCCCAAAGTACTGGGATTACAGGCATGAGCCACCGTGCCCAGCCTGCCTCTTTAGCCTAGGCTGGAGTGGAGTGGTGCCATCTGGGCTCACTTCAACCTCCATCTCCTTGGCCCAAGCCATCCTCCCACCTTAGCCTCCCAAGTAGCTGAGACTACAGGATCGCACCACCACGACCAGCCAAATTTTTACTGTAGAGACGGGGTTTCACCATGCTCCCCAGACTGGTCTCAAACTTGCGAGCTGAATCCATCCACCCACCTTACCAGGACCAGCCCATTCTAACCATTTGGAAGTATACAGTTCAGTAGCATTAAATACACTCACATTGTTATGCAACCATCACCACCATCCATCTCCAGAACTTTCTATGATCCCTAACTGAAACTCTATAACCATTGAACAACTCCCCTTTCCTCCTTCCCCCAGGCCCTGGCAACCACCATTCTATTCTATTTTTTGTCTCTGATGTTGCCTCCTCTAAGTCCTTTATACAAGGGGAATCATATGGTATTTGTTTTTTTGTTACTGGTTTATTCCAGGTAACCTAATGATCTCAAGGTTCACCTGATTGCAGCATGTGTCAGAATTTCCTTCCTTTTTAAGGTGAGCATGGTGGCTCATGCCCATAATCCCAGCACTTTGGGAGGCCAAGGCAAGTGGATGACCTGAGGCCAGGAGTTCAAAACCAGCCTGGCCAACATGGCAAAACCGTCTCTACTAAAAATACAAAATTAGCCAGGCGTGGTGGCGCATGCCTGTAATCCCAGCTACTCGGAAGGCTGAGGCAGGAGAATTGCTTGAACCCAGGAGGCTTGAGGTTGCGGTGAGCCGAGATCACGCCATTGCACTCCAGCCTGGGCAACAAGAATGAAACTCCATCTCTAAATAAATAAATAAATAAGCCAGACATGGTGGGGCACACCTGTAATCCCAGCTACTCAGGAGGTCGAGGCACAAGAATCGTGTGAACCTGGGAGGTGGAGGTTGCAGTGAGCCGACGTCTCGCCACTGTACTCTAGCCTGGGTGACAAAGAGAGACTCTGTCTGGAAAACAAAACAAAAAACCTTCTTTCCTTAAGAAGGTAGAATAATATTCCATCATATGGCCAGACCACATTTTGTTTATCCATTCATCTGTTGGCTATTTAGGTGTTTCCAACTTTTGACTTTAGTGAGTACACTGTAGCAGCATGGGTGTACAGCTCACCCAGGATATTTTGGAAGATTGTTGGCATTTATCTCCAAAAGTTTATTTATTTATTTATTTTTTGAGACGGGGGTCTCACTCTGTCATCCAGGCTTGAGTGCAGTGGTGCGATCTCAGCTCACTGCAAGCTCCGCCTCCTGGGTTCATGCCATTCTCCTGCCTCAGCCTCCTGGTAGCTGGGACTACAGGCGCCCGCCACCACGCCCGGCTAATTTTGTTTCTATTTTTAATAGAGACGGGGTTTCAGCATGTTGGCCAGGCTGGTCTTGAACTCCTGACCCTAGGTGATCCACCCTCCTCGGCCTCCCAAAAGTGCTGGGATTATAGGCCTGAGCCACCTCACCTGGCAGAGTGTGTTTTCCAGACTATGACAATTGCCTGGTAATTTAGCTTAAATTACATTCACCTGTTAGGATTACTGTGCGTACTGTTAATGTCAACTGAATCAAATCATCTTTCCATGACTGCTGCCTAACAAGAATCCATCTCAGCCAGCCCGGTGGCTCATGCCTGTAATCCCAGCCCTTTGGGAAGCCGAGGCGGGTGGATCACCTGAGGTCAGGAGTTTGAGACCACCTTGGCTAACATGGTGAAACCCCATCTCTACTAAAAATACAAAAATAAGCTGGGTGTGGTGGTACACGCCTGTAGTCCCAGCTACTCTGGAGGCTAAGGCAGGAGAATCTCTTGAACCTGGGAGACGGAGGTTGCAGTGAACCGAAATCATGCCACTGCACTCCAGCCTGGGCGACAGAGCAAGACTCAGTCTCATTAAAAAAAAAAAAAAAAAATCGACCTCATAAAATTGATCATCTCAAAAAGAAATTATTCTCATTTCACTTTAATGATTATCCAAGACCCCAGTATAAGAATTAACCCAGCAGATTTCGTTCACATTAATGGCCAGAGTATAATAACCCTTTAAATCTTTAAGAAACATGCTTCAGATTTCAAGTTTTGAGAGTCTTTCTTCTTCTTGTTCTAGTCTATCACTGAAGCTTTTGAGTTTACTTTGTATTTCATCCAGTGATTTCTTCAGCTTCAGAAGTGTCGTTAGGTTGTATTTAATAATATCACTGGAGTTGATAATTTTTTCCTGCAGTACGGTAACTCCTTCCATCTTTTTTCTCTGTTCTTTTCCAAATGATGCTTGTATTATGCCCACAACTGTATAATATGTATATTCAATTCTCTCTCCAAAATGTCTTCTGTTTCTTTTGGATGGGGATCTGCTGCTGGAGAATTACTGGGTTCCGTTGGAGGCGCCCCATTTCCTTGCTTTTTCATGTTTTCTGTGTCCTTCCGTTGAGATCTGTGCATCCTGTGAAAGTGGCTTCTTCCAAGTTTGTGAACTCGCTTTGTAGGGGAGGACTTCTTCCTGAAAATGTAGATAGGGTGTTGGTTAGCTGGGGCACTTTGGCTTTGATTTGGGGTAGTACTGTAGGCTCTGTATGATTTCTTGGGTGGCTTAGGGTGTGGTTATTAGTGGAGGCTGTGGTTGCTGGGGACTAGGCGGCCAGGTGGGCCAGTATTTGGGCCCCAGTGGTGGCCTGATCTTACCTATTCTTTAGTCCCAGAGCAGTGCATGCTGGCTCTGTTATTAGCGGGTTGTGGGGAGTGATTCGTGTGTCTCTAGGTGCCCTGCTCTAATGCTGGTAGTGGCAGCCACTGGCTGGGGGTGTGGCTGATCTCAGGCGTTGGGGCAGTGGGTGTGATGTGGGCAGGGTAGTTGCAGTTGGGGGGGCAACCCTCCGGAATCCAGGCGGTCCCTGCTGGTGTTGGTGGTGGCTGACCAGGTTGGGCGGGCACGCGAGTCCCCGGGCCTGTAGGTAGCCTGAGGTGTTATCCGCAGGCTGGGCCCCTGAACTCAGACACCGGGGAGGAGTGTTCAGCCGCCAACGGTGGCGGAAGAGGCAGAATAGTCACCAATCCCCAGGCCTCCGGCCCGCGTGCGCAAGTCCTCAGGAGGCAGAACCACCAGCGGACTGTCCTGAGGGCCCCGGGGTTCGGTCGCTGGCTAGGACGGACAGGGAAGGGCTGGTCCCCAGGAAAGCTCAGGCGGGGTAGAGCAGGCAAGCGGTTGGTTCGCGTCTGAGTCCCGCGGTGGCGGTGGGGTTATTAGTCTTTTCGGACGTATGAAAGCCTCTGGCCTCCCCGCTCCCTCCCTGGCCCTCAGCTGGGCGGCGGCGGCTGCAGCTGCAGCTGCTCAGGGCAGGGAAGCCCGTGGGCTCCACGTGGGCTCCTGCAACGCCGCTGGGGAATCTCTCGCCCGCTGCCCCCTACTCTGGAGGTCCACGAGGGTCAGGGGGCTGTGGAAGTCCGTGGGGGGACTGCGGAGCCCCCGGGGTCTCTCACTCACCCTTTCCCCGCGCGCAGGGGCTGCAGGCCGTCCTAGCCGATCCGATTTCTCCGCGCAGGCTGCCTGGGTGCCTCTGCTCCGCTCCTCGGGCTCCCAGTGGCTTCTCGGCTGAATCCCGCGTTCTCTTAGCCGATCGGCTGCAAGTGTGAAAACCTACCGGCGCCTTCGGTTCCCGCCAGAGGAGAGGCGCGTGCCGGCGGCATCCACCAGGCCATCTTGAGCCTATGGTCCTAGGTGGGAATGGGTCCCAAGTGCGCGAGTTACTCAAGGGCGTTCCCTGGAGGGTCCGGGTCGGCCCCGCCCTCCCCTTCCAGACTGGTCCGCAAGCTCCGTGTGCACACAGGTGTGTTTGCTAATATAAATAGACTATTTGGCCGGGCACGGTGGCTCACGCCTGTAATTCCAGCACTCTGGGAGGCCGAGGCGGGTGGATCACCTGAGGTAGGGAGTTCGAGACCAGCCTGGCCAACATGGGGAAACCCCGTCTCTACTAAAAATAAAAATATCAGCCGGGCGTGGTCGCGGGCGCCTGTAATCCCAGCTACTTGGGAGGCTGAGTAACGAGAATCGCTTGAACCCGGGAGGCGGATGTTGTAGTGAGCCAAGATCGCGCCACTGCACTCCTGCCTGGGCGACAAGAGCGAGACTCCATCTCACCAAAAAAAAAAAAATCCTTTACGTTGATGTATGCATTTTTGGATGCTTTTTTCTTTTAATTTTAATTTTTTTTTTTTTGAGATGGATTCTAACTCTGTCGCCCAGCCTGGAGTGCAGTGGCGAGATCTCGGCTCCTGCAAAGCAAAAACGCCGTCTCCAAAAAAAAAGAATGATGAATTAACATGCTAGGGTGTGCTTGGCAAAGTGTGGTTCACTCCTGCAATCACAGCACTTTGGGAGGCTGAGGCAGGCAGACCACTTTGAGTTCAGGAGTTCAAGACCAGACTAGGCAACATGGTGAAACCCTGTTTCTACAAAAAGGTTCAAAAATTAGCCAGGAGGCTGGGCATGGTGGCTCAGCCCCTGTAATCCCAGCACTCTGGGAGGCCCAGGCGGGAGGATCACCTGAGGTCAGGAGTTCAAGACCAGCCTGACCAACATTGGGAAACCCCATGTCTACTAGAAATACAAAAACTAGCTGGATGTGGTGGCGGGTGCCTGTAATCCCAGCTAATCTGGAGGCTGAGGCACGAACCTGGGAGGCGGAGGTTGCAGTGAGCCATGATCGTGCCATTGCACTCCAGCCTGAGCAACAAGAGCAAAGCTCCGACCAAAAAAAAAAAAAAAAAAAATTAGACAGGCCTCATGGCTCATGCCTGTAGTCCCAGCTACTTGGGAGACTGAGACTGGATAATTGCATGAGCTCGGAAAATGGAGGCTGCAGTGAAATTGCACTACTGCATTCCAGCCTGGGTACAGAAAGACCACATCTCTAAATAATAAATAAATAAATAATAAAATGCTACAGTGTTTGTCAGGTTTGCAGCGAGGAGGGCTGACATGTAGCTGTGTGGGCAATCTGTTAGAGAGAGTGGCTTTTCTTGACCATGACAATGTACTTCAGCTACATTCACCTGTTAGGATTACTGTGCCTACTGAATTCAGTACTGATCAGATTCAGTAACTGAATCAGATCATCTTTACCTAACTGCTGGATGATAACTAATCTTGCAAAATCGACCATCTCTAAGGGAAATTATTTTTATTTCGCTCTAACGATTACCCAAGACCCCAGAATAAGAACTAACCCAGCAGGTTTTGTTCACATTAATGGCCAGAGTACAACCCATGAATCTTTAAAGTGAGAAAAATGCTTCAGATTTTATGCCCTGAGAGTTTTTCTTCTATTTGTTCTAGTCTATCATTGAAGCTTTTGAGTGTACTTTGTATTTCATCCAATGATTTCTTCAGTTCCAGAAATACTCTTCTGTTGAATTTTAAAACCTCTTTCTGGCAGGTAATCATCTCATATATCTCCCCACCTCTTTTCCTCATTTCTTTATGTTGTTGTTCAAAAGACTCTTCCATGTTGATGACCTTCTTTACAATCAGTCCGGTCAATTCTCTGCTCAATTCTCTGTTTGAGCTTTCCTGAATTTCTTTTGGATGGGGATCTGTTGCTGGAGAATTACTGGTTTCTTCTGAAGGCGTCACATTTCCTTGCTTTTTCATGTCTCCTGGGTCCTTCCGTTGAGATCTGCGCATCCTGTGGAACAGTCACTTCTTCCGTTTGTGAATTCGCTTTGTAGGGGAGGACTTCTTCCTGAAGATGTAGATATGATGTGGTTAAGTAGGGGATCTTGGCTTTGGTTTGAGGTAGAAGTGTAGGCTCTGTACATTACTTGGGTGACTTAAGGTGTGGTTATTAGTGGAGACTGTGCTTGCCTGTTCTTGAGCCCCAGAGCAGTGTACACTGGCCCTGGCGTTAGTGGGTTCAGGGGAGCGATTTGTGGGTCTCTTCGTGGGCGTCTAGGTGCCCTGCTCGAATGCTGGTAGTGACAGTCCCTGCCTGGGCATGCGGCTAATCTCAGGCCCGGGGGCAGCAGGTGTTGATGGGTGGGAGGGGCAAGCGAGTCCCCTGGCCTGTCCGTGGTGGTATCGGCAGGCTGTGCCCCAGACCTCAGACCCCGGGGAGGAGTGTTCAGCCGCCAACGGTGACGGACAAAACCCGCAGCCACCAATCCCCAGGCCCCTGTGCTCCAGTCCTCGCGGGACGGAACCGCCAGCGGACTGTCCTCAGGCCCCCGGGGTTTGGGCTCTGGCTGTGACAGACAGGGAAGGGCTGGGCCCCAGGCTGCCGGCGGAAAGCTCAGGCGGGGCAGGGCGGGCGAGCAGCTGGCTCGCGTCTGGGTCCCGCGGCAGCGGCGGGGTTATTTGTCCTTTGGGACTCCTGAGAGCGCCTGGCCTCCCCTCTCCCTCCTTGGCCCTCAGCTGGCGGCGGCGGTAACCGCAGGCAAGGCAGGAGCTGCCCTCGGGGCTGGACTCTCGGGGTGGCGGGGGCTGCAGCTGCAGCTGCTCAGGGCAGGGAAGCCCGTGGGCTCCACGTGGGCTCCTGCAACGCCGCTGGGGAATCTCTCGGCCGCTGCCCATTCTGGAGGCCCGCGAGGGTCGGGGGGCTGTGGAAGTCGGTAGCGGGACTGCGGAGCCCCGGGGTCTCTCACTCACCCTTTCCCCGCGCGCGGGGGCTGCAGGCCGTCCCAGCCGATCCGATTTCTCCGCGCAGGCTGCCTGGGTGCCTCTGCTCCACTCCTCGGGCTCCCAGTGGCTTCTCGGCTGAATCCCTCGTTCTCTTAGCGGATCTGCTGCAAGTGTGAAAACCTACCGGCTCCTTCTGTTCCCGTCGGAGGAGAGGCGCGTGCCGGCTGCATCTACCAGGCCATCTTGAGCCTGTGGTCCTGGGTGGAAACGGGGTCCCAAGTGCGGGAGTTACTCAAGGGCGTTCCCTGGAGGGTCCGGGTCGGCCCCATCCCCTTCACTCCCGGGAAGGCCCCGCCCTCCCCTTCCAGACTGGACAGAAAGCTCAGTGTGCACACAGGTGTGTTTGCTAATAGAAATGGGAGCAGACTATTCACACTTTTCCACAAAGGTGTGCATTTTTCACTTTTTATGCTGGGGATTTGTGTCAGTACTCGCAGAGCCGCGTTGTTCTTTTCTTTTTCTTTCTTTCTTTTTTTTTTTTTTTTTTGAGACGGAGTCTAGCCCTGTCGTCCCAGGCTGGACTGCAGTCCTGTGATCTCGGCTCACTGCAACCTCCGCCTCCTGGGTTCAAGCGATTCTCCTGCCTCAGCCTCCCGAGTTGCTGGGAATACAGGCGCATGCCACCACGCCTAATTTTTTTGTATAATATTTTTAGTAGAGACGGGGTTTCGCCATGTTGGCCAGGCTGGTCTTGAACTCCTGATCTCAAGTGAACTGCCCGCCTTGGCCTCCCAAAGTGCTGGGATTACAGGCATAAGCCACCAGGCCCGGGCTGCCTTGTTCTCTTTTACAGCTGCGTAATGTCAACATAATCATGTATATTGAAATGTCACATATTGTTAGAAATTTGTAATAATCATTTATGTAAAAATATGCATTTTTTGTGGATGGACTTTTTTGAGACGGAGTCTCACCCTGTTGCCCAGGCTGAAGTGCAATGGCGCCATCTCGGCTCACTGCAACCTCTGCCTCTCAGGTTCAAATGATTCTCCTGCCTCAGCCTACGGAGTAGCTGGAATTAGAGGTATCTGACACCATGCCCAGCTAATTTTTGTATTTTTAGTAGAGACGAGGTTTCACCATGTTGGCCAGGCTGGTCTCAAACTCCTGACCTTGTGATCTGCCCGCCTCAGCCTCCCAAAGTGCTGGGATTACAGGTGTGAGCCACTGTGCCTGGCCTGGATGGACTTTTCATGATATTGAAAAACATGAGTTGAGGTACAAATATGTTTAAATGTGGAATTTCACAGTCATGGTTTCAACAATCAGTTCTTTTAAAGGAAAGATCCTAACCTCAGGTGATCCTCCTGCCTTGGCCTCGCAAAGTGCTGGGATTACAGGCATGAGCCTCTGCGCCCAGCAGCAGAACCATTTTCTATTCCATGCTGAACAAACCAGTTTTTGCCACACATGTGTTGAGATGAAACAACTTTCTTTCTATGAGAGACGTTGCAGGAGCTCATGAAACTCACAGAAGCTAAAACAGCCCAATCATAGGAATTCTGTAGTGCAGCATGGCTCAAGTGAGTGTGAGTGTGTGTGTGAGAGCGATTGTGAACATAGGAGTGTCAATGTGTGCATGTATGTTTGTGTATTTGAGCATGAGGGAGAAGATGAGGGACCAGACGGTGAAGAGCACCTCAGGCCAGGCAAGGAGTTTGGCATCATCTTACAGGCATTAATGTGCCACTGACAGATTTTTTCACGGAAAATTAATGTGGCCAGATCTGTGTTTTTTTATTTTATTTTATTTTATTTTTGAGACAGAGTTTCACTCTTGTTGGCCAGCCTGGAGTGCCATGGAGCGATCTTGGCTCACCGCAACCTCTGCCTCCTGGGTTCAAGCGATTCTCCTTCCTCCGCCTCCCAAGTAGCTGGGATTACAGGCATGTGCCACCACACCGAGCTAATTTTGTATTTTTAGTAGAGACGGGTTTTCTCCATGTTGGTCAGGCTGGTCTCAAACTCCCAACCTCAGGTGATCCGCCTGCCTCGGCCTCCCAAAGTACTGGAATTACAGACATGAGCCACCGCCTGCTGACTTATATTATTTTATTTTATTTTATTAATTTATTTTTTTTTTTGAGACAGAGTTTCACTCTTTTTGCCCAGGCTGGCGTGCAATGGTGCAATCTTGGCTCACTGCAACCTCTGCCTCCCGGGATCAAGCGATTCTCCTGCCTCAGCCTCCCAAGTAGCTGGGATTACAGGCGCCTGCCACCATTCCCGGCTTTTTTTGTATTTTTAGTAGAGACGGGGTTTCACCGTGTTGGCCAGGGTGGTCTCGATCTCTCGACCTCGTGATCCGCCCACCTCGGCCTCCCGAAGTGCTGGGATTACAGGCGTGAGCCACCTCGCCCGGCCTTATTATTTTATTTTTGAGACAGAGTCTTACTCTTTTGCCCAGGCTACCATGCAATGGCGTGATCCCAGCTCACAGCAACCTCCGCCCCACGGGCTGTCAAGCAGTTCTCATCCCTCAGCCTCTTGAGTAGCTGGGATTACATGTGCCTGCCACCACACCTGGCTAATTTTTGTATTTTGGGGGGTTTCGCCATGTTGGTCAGGCTGGTCTCGAACTCCTGACTTCAGGTGATCCATGTGCCTCAGCCTCCCAAAGTGCTGGGATTACAGCGTGAGCCACCATGCCCAGCTCCCACATTGCTTTCTCTAGGTATCCGTCTCAGATCTTCTTCTCTCTTTCTTATACTGACACTTCTAATTGCATCTTCTAGAGCCCACTTGGATACTCCAGGATCATCTTCCCATCTAAAGATACTTAATCGGGCCCAGCGCAGTGGCTCACGCCTGTAATCCCAACACTTTGGGAGTCAGAGGTGGGCGGATCACCTGAGGTCAGGAGTTTGAGACCAGCCTGGCCAACATGGCAAAACCCTATCTCCACTAAAAATACAAAAATTAACCAGGCATGGTGGCACGTACCTGTAATTCCAGCTACTCGGGAGGCTGAGGCAGGAGAATTGCTTGAACCCAGGAGGCGGAGGTTGCAGTGAGCTGAGATGGTGCCACTGCATTCCAGCCCGGGTGACAGAGTGAGACTCCATCTCAAAAAAAAAAAAAAGATCCTTGGCCGGGCGCGGTGGCTCACGCCTGTAATCCCAGCACTTTGGGAGGCCAAGGCGGGCAGATCATGAGGTCAGGAGATCGAGACCATCCTGGCTAACATGGTGAAACCGCGTCTCTAATAAAAATACAAAAAAATTAGCTGGGCGTGGTGGCAGGCGCCTGTAATCCCACCTACTCAGGAGGCTGAGGCAAGAGAATCACTTGAACCCAGGAAGAGGAGGTTGCAATGAGCCGAGATCATGCCACTGCGCTCCAGCCTGGCAACAGAGCGAGATTCCACCTCAAAAAAAAAAAAAAAAAGGAAACTACTCAAGTAGGCTGGGTGCGGCGGCTCACGCCTGTAATCCCAGCACTTTGGGAGGCTGAGGCGGTAGATTGACTGAGGTCAGGAGTTCAAGACCAGCCTGACCAACATGGTGAAACCCCATCTCTACTAAAATTACAAAAATTAGTCGGATGTGATGGCAGGCGCCTGTAATCTCAGCTACTCGGGAGGCTGAGGCAGGAGAATCACTTAAACCCAGGAGGTGGAGGTTGCAATGAACCGAGATTGCACCACTGTACTCCAGCCTGGGTGACAGAGTGAGACTCTTGTCTCAAAAAAACAAAAAACAAAAAAAGATAAAATGAAATAACAAATATGGAATTATTTTATAAACTCTAAACTGTCACATATATTAGAGATTGTTTCAACTACCTTCATCAATTTATTGGGTACTGCATTTTAAATCAGAGCTTCTTGGGCTGGGCACAATGGCTCATGCCTATAATCCCAGCACTTTGGGAGGCCAAGATGGGCGGATCATTTGAGGTCGGGTGGATCATCTGAGGTCAGGAGTTCAAGACCAGCCTGGCCAACATGGTGAAACCTGGTCTCTACTAAAAATACAAAAATCAGCCAGGCGTAGTGGTGGGCGCCTGTAATCTTGGAGCTACTTGGAGGCTGAGGCAGGAGAGGCACTTGAACCTGGGAGGCAGAGGTTGCAGTGAGCTGAGATCTCGCCACTGCACTCCAGCCTGGGTGACAGAGTGTGACTTTGTCTAAATAAATAAATAAATCAGAGCTTCTCAAAGTTCAGTGTGCACACAAATGACCTGAGATCTAGTTAAAAATGCGGACTCCAGACCGGGCACAGTGGCTCAGGCCTATAGTCCCAGCACTTTGAGAGGCCGAGGTGGGCGGATTCTTGAGCTCAGGAGTTCTAGACCAGCCTGGGCAACATAGCAAGACTCTCCGTACTAAAAATACAAAAAATAAAAAAATAGTCAGATGTAGTGGCATGCGCCTGTGGTCCCAGCTATTTGGGACTCTGGAGGCTGAGGTGGGAGGATCCCTTGAGTTTGGGGTGTGGAGGTTACAGAGTGAGCCAAGATTGGGCCGGGCCACTGCACTCCAGCCTAGGTGACATGGTAAGACCCTGTCTCAAAAATCAAAGAAAAAAAATCAATGTTTTAAAGAAAAGGAGTTATGGCAGAGTTAAAGGCCTAAAGTGGCCGGGTGCAGTGGCTCATGCCTGTAATCCCAGCACTTTGGGAGGCCGAGGCAGGTGGATGATGAGGTCAGGAGTTCAAGACCAGTCTGGCCAAGATGGTGAAACCCCATCTCTACTAAAAATACAAAAATTAGCTGGGCGTGGTGGCGGGCAACTGTAATCCAGCTATTCAGGAGGCTGAGGCAGGAGAATCGCTTGAACCCAGGAGGCGGAGGTTGCAGTGAGCCAAGAATGCGCCACTGCCCTCCAGCCTGGGGGACAGAGCGAGACTCCGACTCAAAAAACAGAAAAAAAAGGCCTAAGTCATGTGACTGCACCTGTGTCCCTGTATTCAGGGGTCTTCGGAGAAGCAGTACCCATGCCTGAAACTCAAGGACATGTAGGAAATGAGAGTTGCTTTTGTGTCATCATCCATGTCCTTCCTCGGGTGCCCCAGCCTTGAAGGAAGAGGAGCCCCAGGTGAGGATAAGTGGGGGCGAGGCTTGTTGTGCTTAGGATAGCCAGAGGCCAGCCCTCACAAGGCCATATCTAAACGGGGGCACTCCTCTGTCCTGGTCTCCAACCACCCACCCCAAGAATAGAGGCCTCACTCTAGC